>NC_000010.11:126301864-126613344 GCF_000001405.40 Homo sapiens | reverse complement strand
GAGGATTGCTTGATGCCAGGAGGTCAAGCCTCCGGTGGGCCAAGATCATGCCACTGCACTCCAACCTAGGTGGAGAGAGGAGACAGAGGAGACCCTGTCTCAAAAAAACAAAAACAAAACCAAAATAAAAGAAAATGGTCACCTGTAGCTTTGGTCTTTGAATACCATTTAACTTGTGGCAAAATACAGTATTGTAATTTTAGAGATAAGTCTAGAGCCCTTTAATATCATATACAAATTGTAAGAGGTATTTGCCTCCCTTTCAAGGTATAAATGAATATACTGCTTGAATATTAATAATAATTATATTCAAAGGTGCGTAAAATCCAACATTTGAATGCCTCACGAGACATCAGCCCCCAGAATTCAAGACCAACTCTGCTTTAGTATGTAACATGCCGTTGGAGCTGCGAGGGCGAGCATTTTTCCTATAAATGACTTGCATAACATTTCTAACAGGCTGGAAGCTGAAAAGTATTAATTGGCCGCTAATTTTTAACAGCTCATATGCAGCAACTTCTTTTTTTAGAAACACGTAAATGTTGGCAATCCTTCACAGAAGAGTTTTCAGAAATAGACCATTTTAGATATTTAATATTTCTCATCTGAGACATCCAGGTTTGGGTAGTTGAACCCCGAGGAGTGGAAATCATAGCTTACATGTTCTTGAACTGATTGGAAAACACGATAGTCCACCTGAGAGAGCTTGAGGCCTAACTTTGTGCTTTTCTACATAAAAAAGACACCCTTTTATCTGGCATCCCTAAGAATTCCAAACCTCTTCAGATGGCTGGCAAAATGGGCCATGGGTGATGGGGTACCTCAGCGGAGGGGGTCTGGAGACAAAGCCACTCTGATTAGCGTCTCTCACAGGGTGGCCACGTGTAGGGCCTTTTATCTTTCCTCCTTTCATGCCATCCAATAGAACTTTCTACAATGATGGAAATGTGTTAGATCTGTACTGTCCAATGTGGTAGCCACTGGCTGCATGTGACTTTTGAGCACTTGATTTTTTTTTTTATTTAAGACACAGTCTCACTTTGTCACCCAGGCTGGAGTGTGGTGGTGTGATCTCGGCTCACTGCAACCTCCACATCCCAAGTTCAAGCAATTCTCCTGCCTCAGCCACCCGAGTAGCTGGGATTACAGGTGCGCGCCTCCATGCGCAGCTAATTTTTGTATTTTTATTAGAGACAGGGTTTCACCATGTTGGTCAGGCTGGTCTTAAACTCCTGACTTCAAGTGATCTGTCCGCCGCAGCCTCCCAAAGTGCTGGGATTATAGGCGTGAGCCACAGCGTCTGGCCGACTCTTGAGCACTTGAAATATGACTAATGTGATTGAACCACTGAATGTTGAATTTCATTTTAATTAAAATTTAAAATAAATTTAAAGTTTAATAGTCACACATGGTTAGTGGTTACCATATTGGACAGGATAGGTCTAGAGCATGTGGGATTTGTGCCATTGTGAATTTGTTTGTACTCTCTATGCACCACTTGGGACCCAACTACTGTGTACCCTTGGAGCCCAGAGAGAACCCCAGAAATGGTGAGAGGCTGAGGAAGCAGTTCAAGAGCACCTTAAATCTCTGGCCACTGCAATAAGGAGTTTAGATAGAAGCCACCTGCAACAAAAATCCCCTCTTCTGGGAAATTTAAGAATGAGTGTGGAACCAAAATTTAATAATAATAATATTTGCTGACAAGAGTTTGAAGAAGTTAAAATCCTCATACACTGCTGGTGGAAATGTAAAATAGTGCAGCTGCCTTGGAAAATAATCTGGCAGCTCCTCCAAAGGTTAAATGTAGAATTACCATATGACCTGGCAACTCCATCCAAGAGAAACAAAAACATATGTTCACATAAAACTTGTACACAAATGTTCCAAATAGCAGCATTACTCCTAATAGCCAAAAAATGGGAACAGCTCAAATGTCCATCAACTGATAAACGGATCAATAAAATGTGGTCCATCTATACAACAGAATATTATCCGGCAATAAAAAGGAATGAAGTCCTGGCACATATTACTACATGGATGAATCTTGAGTACATTATGCTAAGGGAAGGAAAGAAGTCCGACACTAGGGACAATACATTTTGTAATCCATTTATACGAAATGTCCAGAATAGGGAAACCCATAGAGCCAGAAAGTAGATGAGTGTTGGCTTACAGTAAGGTGGCTGAGGGGGATAGGGAGGGAGTGGCTGCCATTGGGTACAGGATTTCTTTCTGGGGTGATGAAAATGTTCTAAAACTAGGTAGTAGTGATGGTTTAACAACTCCGAGAATATACTTAAAAACCATTGATTTATACACTTCAAATGGGTGAATTGTGTTGCATAACAAGTACATCTCAATCAAACTATTATGTCAAAAAACATAAATAAAAGACAAAAAAAGAAAGAAAAATAGAATATAGAGACTCCCACCCCACCTCCAGTTACAAGAAGTTGTGTCTGGGGAGTGTGGCCTGTAGGTGAGGTTTTCAGATGGGGCTTCATTTGAGCTCTCCTCTCTGCTAACTTGTTATGTGTCTGTTTTTCAATTATTAACTCTGAGTGGGTGAAGGTTTGATGATAGCTATAGATAAAAATAATGACTAAGGGAGGCAATTAATTTCCATTCTAAAGTGTTTTGAAGCATTTGATTTAATATGTGGAGAGAATGATAATGAATATTCATTTATCATTTATTCATCCAATGAATATTTAATAAATGCCTACTGTGTGCCCAGAATCCTTCCCAATCCTGGAGAATGGCAGAGTGCAGGAGAGAGGTGGTGTCTGCCTTCCCAGAGTGTTATCTGCATCTGAGGCATTGGATCTATGGTAGTCCATTAGTTGGAGGCCTGGAAGGAGACAGAGAACACACTCCAATTAGGTAGTTTTAGGAGAATTTGCAAATGGAACCATTTATGAGATGTGGGCAGGGAAAACTGCAGAGCCCTGGGGCTCCTGTCTGAGCCCTTTGCAGTCCTGCTGGAGGTGGACAGGGGAGGCCAGGTTATAGACGGTAGAGGGTCAGGAGGAGTTGCCTGTAGGAATTGGACTGAGCCAGCCCATAAAGGGCCCACCAGGCAGAGCCAGGGGATTAAACACCCCAACTGCCCTTCATCCTATATTCTACTGTGGTCCCCTTGGGTGAACCCCCTAGAAGCCAGAGGCCAGGGAGCCCTGTGGACATGGTCCATGCAGGTCAGCCTGTGAAGGATGAAGTGGATCTAGAGAGATGGAGAGGGGTCCACCAGAGAACAGGGGTCCAAGGGCACAGGGATACACAGCTAACCCAGACACTCATGATCCTGAGGGCCCCTGGAGGAGCTGACAGAGGGGTGATGTGTTCTGCCTGGAGGCTCCTGGGAAGGCTCCAGGTACAGGTCCAATGTGAGCGGCCTTAATAGGTCTACCCAGGCAAGAAGAACAATTCTGGGGAGATGCATATCCTCCTGATCTCATTACACTGGGAGTCAGATCACATCACACCCTTGCTCAGCATCTCCCATGCCTCACAGCTCTCTCAGAACAAACCCACAGTCCCCCTGCCCATGCAGAGCCACGTGGGCCATCACTGGCATCCCGTGCAGCATCTGGCTGGCTCCCTTGCCTCCTATTGTGTCATTCACAGGCTCCTTCTCCCTGCTCTAAGCCACTGCTCCTAAGGCCCTCCTGTCCCTCTTCTCCCACAATGCTCAACCCCATCATGCACCCTTGCCAACTTACTTCTTCATGTGGTTCACTGTCTGCTGCCCTTGGCAGAACCTGAGCACCGCAATTTGTCTGTTTTGCTTTGTTTCCCCAGTACCTGTTGATAGATAAGCACTGGCAATTAGATACTCAACAAACAGGGACTGAGAAAGCAGTGACAGCCAGCATCATTGAGGGCTTACTAGGGACCAGGTGTTGCATGAAATGATTCACATACCTTTTTTGTTTTTTGAGATGGAGTTTCACTCTTTTTGCCCAGGCTGGAGTGCAATGGCGCGATCTCGGCTCACTGCAACCTCTGCCTCCTAGGTTCAAGTGATTCTCTTGCCTCAGCATCCTGAGTAGCTGAGATTACAGATGCCCACCACCATGCCTGGCTAATTTTTGTATTTTTAACAGAGACGGGGTTTCATCATGTTGGCCAAGCTGGTCTTAAACTCCTGACCTCAGGTGATCTGCCCACCTTGGCCTCCCAAAGTGCTGGGATTACAGGCGTGAGCCACCACGCCTGGCCTGATTCACATACCTTATTTCATATTACCTCCTTTTACAACTGGATAAACTGAGGCAGGAAAGGATGAAATCTCTTGCCCAAGGCCATACAGCTTGTAAGTGGCAGGGACAGAATTTTTAAGCCAGTGGGTTTCTAAGTTTTTGGTCAGAACTCCTATATACTCTTTAAAATTATTGGAGGCCCCGAAGAGTTTTTGTTTACATAGGCTGCCTCTACCCATATGTGCTGAACTACAAATTAAAACTGGGGAAAAATCGAAGTATTAGTTTGTTGACTCATTTAAAATAACAATAGTAAATCCATTAAATGTTGACATAAATAGGATTATTTTTATTAAAAAATAACTATAATTTTCTAACAAAAACAGTATGAGAAGCCTGGCATTGTTTTACATTTCTACACATCTCTGTGATGTCTGGATTAATGAAAACAGCTGGATTTCATATCTGCTTCTGCATATAATCCATTGTGATGTGCTGTCTGGATTGAAATATATGAAGAAAATCAGACATCACTCAGGTATGTAGCTGGAAAAGGAGAAATAGTTTAATAGCTTTTTCAGATAATTGTGGATATTGTTCCTTGATACTACACCAAAACGAGTGGAATTTTCTTTTTTCATTTTATTTTGTGGTTAAGTGCATATATCGTAAAATATAACATGTTAACCATTTTTAAGTGAACAGTTCAGTGATATTAAATACATTCAGGCTAGGCATGGTGGCTCAAGCCTGTAATCCCAGCACTTTGGGAGGCTGAGGAGGGAAGATCGCTTGAGTCCAGGAGTTTGAGACCAGCCTGGGCAACATAGTGAGACCTCTTCTCTACAAAAAAATTAAACAAAATTACCCAGGCATGGTAGTGTGTGCCTGTAGTCCTAGCTATTTGGGAGGCTGAGATCGGAGGATCGCTTGAGCCCAGGAGGTCCAGGCTGCAGTGAGCCCTGATGGCACCACTGCACTCCAGCTTGGGCAACAGAGCAAGACCCTGTGTCCAAAAGAATACAAGTAAATAAATACATAAATAAGTTCATAATGTTGTGCAACATTGACCACCATCTATCCTCAGAACTGAACTCGTTTCGTCTTGGAAAACTAAAACTCTACATTCATGAAACAATTCCCCATTCCCTCTTTCCCCTGACGCCTGGCAACCACCATTTGACTTTCTATCTCATGATTTTCACTATTCTAAGTACTTCATGTAAGTGGAATCATACGGTATTTGTCCTTTTGGGACTGGCTTATTTCCTGTAACATAATAGACATGTAATACTTTCTTAAAAGTTATGAGGTGAATATGAAACCGTATGAGTAAACTCTGACTTTGTTACCTTAAAATTCATTGATGGATCTAATACTTTGGATGGATCTTTTATCCATGTATGATTTTATAACATCCTGCACTGGTTATTTGGAAAATATTGATTCTTTGAGTTATACCCATCTTCTAAATATTGGTACATTTTATTTTACAATATGAAAAGAATTCATTGATATTACCACTGAACTCGTCAGAAAAGTCCCTAATTATTGAGAATCTGTCAGGATAAAGGAGGCACGCAGAAGTTCTCAAAATTCTAATTTAAAATTCAAATTTGATCATTGATAACCCATATTATCAGTTGTTTTCCTTAAAGTGACAGGCTCATTGTGTTCATCATGAAAAAATGTCTGCCAAATACTCATGCCTGAGAAACCATAGTTTGTTAGTATTTCTTTCAAGTTAAAGTGGTGTTTCATGAAAACAGTGGCTAGTTAGATTTGCAACTACAATGAGTAACAATTGTACAAATGATTTTCAACACAGCCAACGCATCACAGCTAATGTGAGTTTCCCATTTTGTTATGCAGGGTATTAAAATGAAGGGTACTCAATGGTAGCTATATAATAAAACACTTTTCCTGGCTTCCTCAGGAACATTGTTGTTTAAGTGTATAAGTAATACTGTGTTAAAGAGTGTGATGACTGATAGCAGAGTTGGGCGCCCCTGCCTTCATTCATGTTATGGAGCCAGCTGCTTCACCCATCATGACTTCCGCACCCATCTGTGCAAATGGTAACTCCATGGCAAAGGCAAATCACAACTTGATAATATTACAGAAATAATTTCAGTTCTTAAGGATCATGGAAATCCCTATCTTTTGAGAATGACAGTTTTAAGAGATGCCTACTTTTAGCAGTTTTCTCTTTAAGGCTTATGGGTCATTGCCATGACTCTTCTGATGGCTATTGTCTGATGTCATGAGGATCATCAGTTACATCTAATGACTGGTTCCTGGTTATGTTCAGGTCCAGCAATGCAGGAATAATCCACAGCATTTGTGTGAATAGTCCAAAATACCCCAACAAAAGCAGCTACGTTATGGAAATGATTGAACTTCATTCAATCAGGAGCCAAACCAGTCGTAGTTCTACTTTCATCCGGGGCCCCACTCCCCATTTCTAAAAGGATTCTAATGCTGCAAATCCTAATCCTAACAGCAAATCATCAGAGCTGCTCAAAGTTCCTCGGAGGTGGGACTCCAGCAGATGGAATGCCTGTACCTTTTCTGTTTGTCCGCGGTGAGCTCACTGTTTTGACTTTCCATGAAAGTCAGTGTTGGAGAGCCCACACCGGATAACTTCGAGAAATGGCATAAACGACTTATAGTATCTTCATTCTTATTCAAAGGGAAAGATAAATCAGATGTTCATGGATCATAGCCAATGTGCAGTAGCCCAACAGCCCCTCGTAAGAACCAGAACTGACCAACAGCCGATGGTGTCAGGGCAATGAGCCATAATCGTTTTCTCTGCCATGTGTTTTGAAACCCAAATCATTTATCATACTGATTATAACCTACAAGGGTGACATTATTCATCTCTTTAATATCATTTCACATCTCCAAGGACATAATCATTCGTTTAATTAATGCATCAGTACAATTCCTGAGGGTATTGTCTTGGAAGTTGCTTCATGGACTGTGGGCAGAGCCCTTGAGAATGCCTGGGTTCCCAGGGTGCAGTGGGACAGCCTTCTCATGCTGTAGCATGAAACTGCATTGCCTCTGAATTGCTGCTCTGTGGCTTAGCTATTTCTTCTATTTAATTTCAAGGCTACTAATTTGAATCTCAAAAGTGGTCTCCTTCAATTCACAGATGAAATTGTTAAATTTAAGGATCATATTTCAGACAGTCTTTTCTTTTTTTAGTGCTGCAATCAAATGTATGTATGTATGTATGTATGTATGTATGTATGCATGTATGTATTTTTAGGTTTTCCTTTGTATCTTTTAGCAGTTCCATGTCATGACATGCCTTTTCCAGGTCTCTGGTTGTTCCTCCACTCTTGGGCTGTTGAGTTCCCTAATCCTAAGCTCTAGTCATTGCTAGAGTCCAGGTGGGTTCTGGAGGCAGCAATGCCACACCTGGCAGGCAGCCTGGCAGGCTCCATCTCTCAGTGCAGTTATCTTCACGGCACCAGCGGGAGACCTTGGAACCTCCTTTTCTCCTTGGCTAAAAAGGCTGGATCCACATTCTCTGCAGAGCTAGGGGCTAGGAGCTGCGAGGATTCAACACATCTTTTCTCCTCTCCTGGATGTCTTGCCAGGACCACTTCCACAGGCTCTTCCCATGCAGGGGCGCAGGGGCCTCTCCAAGGAGCAGTTGTCCTGCAGGAGTAGAGGGACCTCTCCAGGGTCCTCCACAACAAGCCCCAGAGGGAAACTAAGTCTCCTTTTGCACCTGGCAGGGCTTTGGCCCCTGCCTGCTCCCCACAGGCCTGTAGCTGTGCATCTCAGACGAGGGCCCTGTGCTTGCATTGGGGTCGGGAGAGGAGAGCGCTGGAGTCAGAGAAATCCCTTCCTGCTTCCATCTTTCCTTTGGCTTGGCGCACCAAAGCACACGCCCCTCTGAGGGCATTTACGGTCATTCATATTCATGACTTGCTGGCCCAAATTCTGGCTCTACTTAGAATAAATATGAAGCCATTTTTCAGAATAAAGTTTTTATTTCTTAGTTGTAAGTTTAAAATGGCCATTAAATGATTAGTGTGACTGAAGACATGAAGTAACATTCATTTGAAAATCGAGTTCTTTGAATGTGTGCAATCCATTTCATTACCATGTATCTTCTGTGGCTAGTTTTGGCTTTTCTTTTCTGAGCTTTCCTGGGGTGGCACGGGATCAAAAGAGCATGGTGGAGTGAAATGTCTACATTTTATGCAGGGACTACATGACCAAATCCCAAGATCCATTAATGGAAAAATGGATATGCATATACCTCTTGTGCCCTATTATGAAAATGGGCCTTATCTTACCTGATTAAATTGTCAGCTCTTATTAAAATGGATCCATGTAGCTAAAGAAATTCAAGCTTGGTGGAACTTGCAGAGAAGTGTAGCTAAATTGTTACCTCAGTGACATCTGTGTTTCTTATCAGAATCTCAGCCTTTCTGACCCTTTGGATGTGGAGAGATGTGGTAAAAACAAATTGTCTCACTCTATGGCTCCTGAGGGGGAAAGAATCCCCAAATTAACTTTGCTGGGGGTCTGGCGAGAGGGGAAGAGACCACGTCCACATTTGCATTTCTGTGTCTTACAGATTATCTTTCCTGCCTTGAATAGCAGAGCTGAGCTTCTCCCTGAAGGCTGAGGACTTTTTGCTAAAGCAATTTCTCTCTACCTTTTAAAAAAGTGCATATATATGGTGTATTTTTTTTCTTTCAACTGAGGATCAAGTCTGAGAAAGAAAATGAGGAATCAAGATAGCCAAACAATTCAGGCAAAATAAATTACCTGCAGGCATTTTTTTGGTGATGGTTGTTGCTTTGTGAGGGCTTCTGGGTGATGCCCAGGTGATGCTGGTTTCCCCTGGGCTCAGTTTTACTCAGGGACTGAGAATGAGTCCGGCAGAAGACCAGGACAGACTGCTACCCGAGCAAGGCCGAGAGGTCAGATGGCTTCTCCGAATCTGTGTTTCTGGATGGAGCCCAGCCTTGATGCGGGAATCATCCTGTCAAGGTGGGTGGAAGGGAAGCCTCCGGGCAGGAACTGCATGCAGGAAAAGCCACACTTTGGGTTCAGTGAACACAACCATCCCTTCCGCTCAAGCTTGTCCCACCTAATTTCAACTCCAGGCTTCGAGCTCAGCCACTTTTGACGAGCTTGAGTACCTCTTTGCAACCTTTGAGTCGAAGGGGAGGGCCTCTGGATTTGCGGTGAAGCAATCTCCTGTCAAGCTGGCCTTGATGGGCTCCTCCCTCTGCATATGGCTCGTCTTGTCACGCAGCAGATGCTTCCCCCATTCTAATGTTTGTATTGATTCAACCACACCACTGTGAGGCCTTTTCGGCCTGGGAGGTATATAAGAACCCTTTCATAGACAGAGGTTCCCTATCACCTAAGAACTGAGGGCCAGGAGCTGTTTTCAGCACCTTATATGAATTATCACACTTCGCCTTCACATCAACCTGGGAGGCAGGCACAACTCTTAGGGCCCTTTTACAGTTAAGGAAACTGAGGCACAGAGGGCTTCAGCAGCTCACCTAAGTTCACACAGCTAGCAATCAGGGCAGCCAGGGGTGAAACTCAGGTATATTGTTTTATCCACAACATCGGATGACATGCATGATGATATGGTTTGGCTGTGTCCCCACCAAATCTCATCTTGAATTGTAATTCCCATAATCCCCACATGTTATGGGAGGGACCTGGTGGGAGGTAATTGAATCATGGGGGCGGTTACCCCCATGCTGCTCTTCTTGTGATAGTGAGTTCTCACAAGGTCTGATGGTTTTATAAGGGGCTTTTCCCGCTTTTGCTCAGCACTTCTCCTTGATGCCGCCACGTGAAGAAGGACATGTTTGCTTCGCCTTCTGCCATGATTGTAAGTTTCCTGAGGCCTCCCCAGCCCTAAGGGGTTGTGAGTCAATTAAACCTCTTACTATAAAGTACCTCATCTCAGATGTGTCTTTATTAGCAGCGTGAGAACGGACTAATACAGATGACTTCCAGCTCCACCTCCAGACTGGAACTCTCTTCTGATGTCCAAATGTGACTAATGCAAGGCATCATCCCCTCCCCCACCGCACCTGTCCACTCCCTCTCTCCTCCCTCCTTCTCTCTGCTTCCCTCTGTCTGTCTCTCTCACTCTGTCTCTCTCTCTCTCTCCCTTCTCCCCAACTCTGTCCCTCTCTCCGAGTTGCCAATCTGCAGGTGCTGCATTACTCATATTCTGATTTTTGAAAACTGCCCTTTGGAATGTATTTCAACAAGAGGATGAATAGACATGACCACATTTCATGGAATCCAAGACCCACTGATTGTAAGATTCTCCATTATTTTATGCAGAGCTCAGAAAGACCAAAAAAAAAAAAAAAAGCCCAAAACCCTGCCAATGACACTATGATACAGCATCCCTTATAAGACCCATCTTGCTTTTTGAGGGGTTAAATTGCCTCTACTATCAGAGCAAATGAGCTTACAGATCATATTCAAAGCACTCGTGTGGTTATGGGCTCTGTCCAAACCAGGAAAATGGCCCTGCTCTGAGTGTAAACAGGTGCTGCTCCCACCTTTAAAGGGTTGTGTGCTCCTGAGCCCAGGCTGTGTGCCCACCAGGGAATATTCAGGGTCAGGAGTTCCACAGTGGAACCACCCTGTTATGATTGATACCAAGTCCCTTCACACCTAGGTCATCTTGGAGGGTTTCTTACCCTTGCTATATCTCAGCAAGTACCTACCTCACTGTATAGGCATGAGATATTATATTCCAAGTAAGCTAGAGGCCCAGGTCAGAGAAACTTCTGGCTAAACAGTAGCTTTCATTACTATTATCATGATTTTACTCATAGCTGCTTATTTGTCAAGACGGGTGTTCAGTGCATCCAGCAACCCTATTGTAGCTCAAAGCTTAGGAAGAGGTGATTAGGATTACAGTATAATAGCTCGCTTAGAGATGTGATTCATCAGAAGGGCTTGTCCTTAAATACCAGCAATTGAGAGGACAGTTTTCCTGGAGCTGGATCTGTGGGCCTCATTGGGAGGGACAGACTGTGCGCTCATGTAAGAGGGGCCAGCTTTGAAGCGAACGTTTACATAGCAACGTGAAAGATGGCTGTTGGACCATCCCCTGCTTTTCCTAACGTAGGGTACTTGCATGCTGTTTATTCATCTTTAGGACAGTCGCAGCATTTAGATCTGAGACTAGCTATAAACGAGAGCGAGGTTAGCGTATAAGAATGTCTTAGGGGGTTTTCCTGCTCCCTGGAGGCAAGTGGGCAAGCACAGGCAGGGCACGCCCCAGGGCAATGACAGGCAAGCCTCTCCCTCCACCGGCATCCAGGCCTCAGTGGCTTTGGCGGGGTCCCCGCTATTCTTTAGGAGGGCTACTTGCTGGTTATTCTGGGTCCAGGAAAGAGTTTGTGTGGTAGGAACCTTGGAGCATGAAACTTTAGTCAGCCTCTGAATTCTAGGGTATAATTAGAAAAATCACTTTATACTATTTAAATATTTAAAAAGCTGTATCAATCAAATAATTGGTGTATATAAATGTACCAAAATGGCAAGAAACTAGAAATATGGCTTGTTTGAGGTCAAGTTCATATAAGATGCTTTGGGGAAAGTGAAGGTAAGTAAAGCACAGTCCCTGTGTCACCTTTTTAAAAAAATAAATGTTATTGTGTATATTTGAGATTTATAACATGATGTCATGGGAGACACATAGATACTAAAATGGCTTCTATAGTTAAGTAAATTAACATATTTACCATACACATAGTTACTTTTTGGGGGCAAGAGCAGTTACAATCTACTTATTTAGGAACAATTTCAAATACATTTGATTACCTAGAGTCCTCATGTTGTACATTTGATCTCTGGCCTTGTTCATCCCACACATGTGCTGGTTTGTATCCTTTAACCTACATCTCCCCACCCTCAGCCCCTACCCCTGGTGACCCGGGGGCTTTCTGTTCTATCTCTGTACATTTGACCTTTAAAAAAATTCCACATCTAAGTGAGATAAGCAGTATTTTTCTTTCTGTGTGGGCTTTATTTCACTTAGCATGATGTCCTCCAAGCCTGTCTGTGTTGTAGCAAATGACACAATATCCTTCTTTTTAAAGGCTGAATAATACTCCATTGTATACACAGTACAGATGCCATATTTTCTTGATCCATTCATCTGTCAATGGACATTTGGGCTGTTTCCATATCTTGGCTACTGTAAATAGTACTGCCAGGGACTGGAGAGTGTGGATACCTTTACAAGGCGGTTATTTCATCTCCTTTTGGGTAAGACCCAGAAGAGGGATTCCTGGATCCTCAGTGTCCCTCAATTAAGGTAAGATACTGCATTTAAACAGATGCCTGAGGAAACACACACACATACACATGCACACACACACACGCCTAAGAAACACACACACACATTCAGTCTTTTATGTGTAGCTGGGACTGTAATACATCGTATCAATTTTCTGGTTTGAGCACAGAGGAGGACGTAGATATCTTCTGTTTACTTTTAAATTCAGAGCATTAATGAGATGGATTTTCCCAAGCTGGGGTGAGGGGGTTTCTCATCCCTGCTTGGTGTCTCCTGACTCTCTGCAGGCAGTTGGCTTTTGCTCATTTGCATTTGATTGGCTTTGGTTGTCATGTGTGCGCCCATGAGGTCCTCACCACATCTGGCTTTTGTTTCTCATATCTCCTCCCTGCACATGGCAGGCACAGGTTTCTGCACACAACAGGGCTCAGTGACTGTTTTCATCCAATGGCCACAAGAGAAGATAATAATATTGCCCTGGAGATTTTCTGTAGCGTCTCCCAGGGACGGCCAAACCTGCACAGCTTTGGCAGTCTGCACTCCGCATGCCAACGCCGGTGAGCTGACTTCCTGCTGGCCGTCTGGACCGTAAGGAAAGTCACCTGCCTGCACACACATGCGATGCACACACACGTGTGCACACACATGCGATACGCACACACTTGTGCACACACATGCGATGCACACACCTGCGTGCACACGCATGCACGCACACAAGCATGCACACACACACTGTGGAAACCTGCTTCTCATTAACTGAGCCCTCTCTGCTTTAATCGAAATAATTGGACTACAGTGGCCAATAAGAAAATTGTTGGGGGAAAAGATAGACATTTACATCTTAAAATTGAAACACTTTCTGACTGATTAATTGGTGGAAAGCAAAAGATACTCTCTTCTTCCTTTTTGTGTTTCACATTTATTACAGTTTATGCTCTGGAAGTGAAAACGCACCAGTGCTTTCCTGGATGGAAAAAGTAATCCAGATATTACCCTACCAAACTATATTCTCTCTTTCCTCTTTTTAATGAAGTAGTTAGTGTTTGTTAAATAATAAGAGAAAAAAGCACTTTAATTAATATTAACAATTGGAAGGGGATTAGTGCCCTAATCCCCTATTACCAGGTTTCTAATCCACCTTTAATTGTGTAGGCAGCTATAAATGAAGCACCTAAAACTCTACCAAGCTTAGGGGCAGCCAGAGGGTGGCGATCAGCCCTCACATCTCTGAGGATGCATGGGGCCCCATGCAGCCTCTGTCTTCCGATCCTTCCTAATGCTCTGCCTTTCCATCAATTGAATGGCTCCTGGAGCTGATCCCAGCCTTGTCTTTAAGAGTGGAATCCAGCACTTTGGGAGGCCGAGGCAGGTGGATCACGAGGTCAGGAGATTGAGACCATCCTGGCTAACACGGTGAAACCCCATCTCTACTTAAAAAAAAGAAAAAAAAAATACAAAAAATTAGCCGGGCGCAGTGGCAGGCGCCTGTAGTCCCAGCTACTCGGAAGGCTGAGGCAGGAGAATGGCGTGAACCCGGGAGGCGAAGCTTGCAGTAAGCTGAGATCCCCGCCACTGCACTCCAGCCTGGGTGACAGAGCGAAACTCCGTCTCAAAAAAAAAAAAAAAAAAAAGGAGTGGAACCCAATGAGGCCTGGCATTCTTATCTCTGTAGTGCAAAGAGAGGTCTACTTGGTGTGCAGAGGAGACCTTGCCTGAAAAAGCCAAGATCTGGGAAATGTCAGACGGGCTGATGCTGAAGCCTGGTGTCTCCAACAGAAATATCCTCAAGTTTCTCTGTTATTGTCAACAAAATAGCAATGAGAAGTTTGCCAACATGTACATGTGAAGATTTGTTTTGAATATAGAGCAAAGCTGAATTATAGATCATCAAGAAGCAGCTAAGCCTTCATTATTTAATTGGAAGGTAGGAAAGAAGGACGAAAAAAGGAAAGAAAAAAGCACAGTCAGCCTGACTCCCTAGTTTTCATCCATTCCTTTCCCCTCCTTACCCCAATGCCAGAGATGGGAATATTCCCTAGTAAACTCATTAATTTCCCTCAGTTTTGACAGACTGCTTAAATCAGCTTAGAAATGCCACCACTGAATAAGCTTACCCGTGAGTTGATGATTGCTTCCTTCCTAAAGAGCAGCTCACACACCAACTGCAAGTGAAACGGTGTACTCCAAGAGTAGCTTAATTACAGATCTGATAGAGGAAGACACCGAAAATGTGTAAGAGCTGAAGAGACCACAAGCTGAAGCTGTATTGGTGTTATGGATGCTTAAATCATAACCTGTGGGGTGGCATAGCTGGAAGGCAAGGCAGATTTTGTTCCAGACATCTACCTTCTGTGGATTTGGTGCTCAAAGATATTAATTCTCATATGGGCATCATATAGGATGTTAAAAAAAAAAGATGTCAAGAGGATATTTGCTGTTTCTTTTTCTCTTCCACGAGAAGCATGCCAGACATAATTATTCACCTGAGTTTGTAACACATTGCTTAGGAGGGCCAAAGGCTAGCCCTGCTAGACCTGTTACCCAGTCCTACAGCTGCTGGAGAAGGGCCAGGAGTGGGTAGTGCGCAGCATCCTGTGTATGGGACCAGCTCTGCCACTGGTGGGCAGCAATGAGCAAGGACCATAAGCAAGGCTATTGAGATCCCTAGGACAGTTTGCAGAAGGGTGGGTCATGTTAGCCTTCTTCCTTTTCTGATATACTTACCAAAGCAGCAGTTCAGAGGAATGCCATTGAAATAGGGTATCTGGATGCCCACGAGGCATTTGGCCAGGTCTTATGATATCCTTGTGGGGAGGGTGGAAAAACATGGGCTAGGTATATTCATAGCTGGTAGAGTGAAAAGCATTGCTCCAAGTCAACCTGGAAATGGGTAGGGGAGTCTCTTGTCCCTTAATGCATCTTATCTTGTTTCCATATTTGTAGCAATGGCTCAGATGACACACATAGACACTAATCATATTTGTAAGGAATTGCTTATGGCCTGAGTGACAGAATCTAAAATGAAGGGTGGAAACTAAGAAGATGAAATTTAATAGGGATGAGTAGAATAATTTCTCCAAATCTAGTCATTCATTAAATTTTTTTGATGTGATCTCTTAAAGCTCTCCCAAATGCACCCAGTTCTATCCATCATCGCCATCCTGACCCCAGCCATGATCATCACTTGTTGGTCTCCCATTTGGTCTCTCAGCTTCTACTCTTGTCCTTTTACTGTTCATTCTATTGCCAGCATCCAATTGTCTTTTTAAAATGCAAAGCTGATTAAGTTCATCTGCTGCATCAGTTTTTCTTGCCCTTGGAACAAATCCAGGCTCATTAGCATGATTCACAGGGCTCTGTGGCATTTGGTTCCAACCTCCTCTCCACTTGCCCTGCCCCAATCACGCAGCTCCTCAAGCACACCATGTGCTATCTCGCCTCTAGGCTGATGAACACATGTCCCCTCTGCCTGGAATATCCATTCATTCCTTTCTATTGCTGAGTACTACTCTCCATTACATGGATGTACCACCAATGTGATCATGCAGTTATGAACATTCTCATACAAGTCTTTTTGTGGACATATGCTTTCATTTCTTTTTGGGTAGAAATCTGTAGGAGTGGGTTTGCTGGGTTACATGTAAACATATATTTAACTTTATAAGAAATTGCCAAACAGTATTCCAAAGTGAACTGTATTACTTCACATTCCCAACAGCAATATACAAAAGTTGAGATTTCTCCGTATTTTCAGCAACACTTGATATTGTCAGCATTTTTAGTATAAGCCATTATAATAGGTGACTAACGGTATCTCATTGTGGTTTTAATTTGCATTTCCTTGATGACTAAAGATGTTGAACATCTCTTTGTGTGCCTATTTGTCATTTGTATGTCTTTATGAAGTGTCTATTTAAATCTTTACCTCATTTCTCAAAATTGAGTTGTCATATTGAGTTATAAGAGTTATTTATATACAGACAGTCCCCAACTTATGATGGTTCAACTTGTGATTTTTCAACTTTACAATGGTGTGAAAGTGATACACATTCAATAGAAACTATACTTCGGGTACCCATACAACCATTCTGTTTCTCAATTTTACTACAGTATTCAATAAATTACATGAGATATTCACCACTTTACTATAAAATAGGCTTTGTGTCAGATGACTCTGCACAACTGTAGGCTAATGTAAGTGTTCTGAGTACATTGAAAGTAGGCTAGGCTAAGCTTTGATGTTTGCTAGGTTGGG
Organism: Homo sapiens; assembly: GCF_000001405.40. Lineage (NCBI taxonomy): Eukaryota > Metazoa > Chordata > Mammalia > Primates > Hominidae > Homo > Homo sapiens. Next base: position 126,596,558 of record NC_000010.11, on the reverse strand, counting down.
TGAATTAAATGCATTTTTGACTTAGAATATTTTCAACTTACAATAGATTTGTCAGGATGTAACCCCATCATAAGTGAAGAAGCGTATGTAACAGGTACAAGTCTATTGCTAGACATATTTAATGCAAATATTTGCTTCTGGTCTGTGGCTTTTCTTTTTGTTTGTTGTTGTTTTTTTTTTTTAAATAAGTGTCTTTCAAGGAGCACAAGATTTTAATTTTGGCAAAGTCCAATTATTTTTTCTTTTACTTTTTTTTGAGACAAGGATTTGCTCTGTCACCCAGGCTGGAGTGCGGTGGAGCAATCACAGCTCACTGTAGCCTTGACCTCCAGGGCTCAAGAGCTCCTCCAACCTCAGCCCCCTGAGTAGCTGAGACTACAGGTGTGTGCTACCATGCCTGGCTTTTTTTTTTTTTTTTTTAAATAAGAGATAGGGTCTCACTATGTAGCCCAGGCTGATTTTCTTTTTTCTTTCATGGTTAGTAGTTTTGGCATTCTGACAAATCGGTGCCTACCCCAAGGTACAAAGATTTTCTCCTGTGTTTTATTCTATAAGTTTTATAGTTGTAACTTGAACATTCAAGTCTATGGCCCATTTCAAATTAATTTTCATGTGTGGTGTGAGGTACAGGCTGAGGTTTATTTTTTTTCTAAATGTCATAGTCTCCTGAACTTGAGGACTCACAGACACCCAAGAAGAGGTACCTGGCTGGGATATGTATTGGGGTGTGGGGTACTGAGCTAGAGATGTGGACCCCAGCTGCTCCTCAATCCCAGTCAGGGCTCCTCCACTGCTATATTCGCCTTTATTGGTCTTTAGATAAAGTTTCATTTGAATACAGAGTTTCACATCTAACAATGTTAGAATCCTGTCTAGTCTCTGAGTTATAAGATGGGGGAACGGGGCCCAGAGAAGGTTGTAGTTTTGCAGGTGAGTCCATGCCAGAACCGGACCTGCAGGCCAGGTCTCCTCCTAGAGTACCACACCTTCCTCTGCCCCACCTCCACACAGCCTCTGGTGGAGAGCTGCGGGAGATTCCACAAAATCCCTTATTTGCAATTTGCCTTTTCAGCATTTTAAACATTGAAAATGAGTAACACTTAAAGCTAAATAATTTATATCCTCTTTTTCTGATGCTGTCACTTGCAGAGGAGATAAAAGATGAGTTTGTCAGGAGGGGTGGCAGTCGTCCAAAGGCTCTGCAAGCACATTCTGCATCTCAGTGGAAAAGCCCAACCTATCAGTCAATGTGGAGCAGAGGTCAGCTTCATGGATATCAATTAGAATTTCTTTTCCCCACTTTCTGAAATGTGACCTGACATCCTCATGATCTGCTTGGGTTTCCAAAGACTCTGGATTCTTGCAAACTAGCTAATAACTGTTAAGTGCAAGTGGTTGCACAGTGAGAGTTGGAATCCAGAGTTTGAGAACAAGGCTAAAGACTTCTGGAAATCCTTAGTACTGGCTCTGAGATGGGAGAGTGCTATGGTGCCACTGTTTCCTGTACAACATTTTGCTTCTTTGAAAAACTTAAATTCTATTTAAAAACCTTTTAAAGTAGAGTGGTCTCTCTTAGCATGAACCTGATCATGTCTCTCCTCTTCCACCTTAAGACTCTCCAGGGCCTTCCCATTTCACTGAGGACACAGTCCAGACCCACGGGCATGCCAATAAGTCTCACACCTGCCTCTTAGTGCCCTTCTTTTTTCACCTCCTCTCTGTTCACTACTTGCTGGCCATATCCCTTCTCTTTCTGTCTTTTGAACACAGCAAACCCTTCCTGTCTCAGGACCTCTGCCCTGGCTGATCCCTTTGCCTGGAATGCTCTTGCTCTGAATCCGCTGTAGTTCCGTCCTCACCATCATCAGCTACTCAGAGAGGACTTCACCAGCTCCACGCACCATTCCCAATCATGTTACTCTCTAGTTCTGTACACAGCATTTATTCATACCTGAATTACTTATTTATATATTTATTTATTCAATCCTTCTGTCTGAATACAGTCACCAGGAGGGTGCTGCCTCACGGGCTGGTTCACCCTGGATGTAGCATCTAGAACAGAGGTTGGTGTAGGTGAATATTCAGAAACATTTGCTGACTGCTGCAAGTGAGTCACATAACTCAGGAGGATGTCCCCTGTCCACACTCATCTTCCCAATCCAAACTCCCTCCCCAGAGATGATTATTGCTAACATTTTCATGTATTTCCTTCTAGTCCTTTCTCTGAGTATTTACATATATATCACACAATCATGTATGGACACACACACAGACACACGATTTGTCTCTATTTTTGCTCCTTTTTGGTTTTCTTGGCAGATGAGATCTTTCTAGCCATACCGTCCTGCAGCTTGCTCTTATCACTTAGGAATGTGCCTAGAGGGAAGTTTTCACTTCACTTTAGCACATAGAGATTGACTTCATTTTAGGTTAAAAAAAAAAAAAAAAAAGCAAGCCTGGTCTTCTGCAATTAGGTAACTATGTGATTATCAGGGGACACATGGGCCTTTTTCACTCCTGTGGCTCTAGAACTTCATGAGCAGTTCCCTCCCTGGGCTGATCCTGCTTTTAGGTGTTCATTTTTTCTTTCCCTTGTGGAGGCTCCTTTACCATGTGGCCATCTTCAGTCTTTCCTGCCCCTCCATGCAGGATTATGGCAGACGATATCCTGCCTGGAAGACCTAGGATACTGTTTGTGGAGCATAAATATGATACACCCTCAGCCCCTGACTCCTCACCAAGCACAATGTTTGGAAACAACAACAACAACAAAAACTTTTTAAAACTACAGGGTAGCAGAGAACACAATGTATGGTAGGAAATAAACAATTTTCTTTTTCTTTTCCTCATTTTTTTTCCTGCAACTTTGAGTTCTGGGGCACATGTGCAGGTTTGTTACGTAGATAAACATGTGCCATGGTGGTTTGCTGCACAGATTAACCCATCTCCTAGGTATTAAGCCCAGCATCCATTAGCTATTCTTCCTGATGTTCTCCCTCCCCCATGCCTCTTTGACAGTCCTCAATGTGTGTTGTTCCCCACTCCATGTATCCATGTGTTCATGTGTCCTCATCATTCAGTTCCCACTGAATAAGTGAGAACATGGGGTATTTGGTTTTCTGTTCCTGTGTTAGTTTGCTGAGAATAACAGCTTCCAGCTCCATCCATGTCCCTGCAAAGGACATGATTTTGTTTCTTTTTATGGCTGCATAGTATTCTATTGTGTATATGCACCACATTTTCTTTATCCATTCTATCACTGATGGGTATTTGGATTGAATGCATGTCTTTGCTATTGTGGATAGTGCCGCAGTGAACATATGTGTGCATGTATCTTTATAATAGAATGATTCATATTCCTTTTGGTATATATCCAGGAATAGGATTGCTGGGTCAAATGGCATTTCCGCTTCTAGATCTTTGAGAAATCACCACATTGTCTTCCACAATGGTTGAATTGATTTACTTTGTCACCAACAGCATAAAAGTGTTCCTTTTTCTCTGCAACCTTGCCAGCATCTGTTGTTTCCTGACTTCTTAATCATCACCATTCTGACTGGCATGACATGGTATCTTATTGTGGTCTTGACGTGCATTTCTAATGATCAGTGAAGTTGAGCTTTTTTTCATGTGTTTGTTGGCTGCATGAATGTCTTCTTTTGAGAAGTGTCTGTTCACATCCTTTGCCTACTTTTAATGGGGTTGTTTTTCTTTTTTTGTAAATACAAGTTCCTCGTAGACTCTGGATATTAGACCTTTGTCAGATGGAGAGACTGCAAAAATTTTCTCCCATTCTGTACATTGTCTGTTCACTCTGCTGATGGTTTCTTTTGCTGTACAGAAGCTCTTTAGTTTAATTAGATCCCATTTGTCAATTTTTGCTTTTGTTGCAATTGCTTTTGGTGTTTTTGCCATGAAATCTTTGCCCTTGCCTATGTCCTGAATGGTATTGCCTAGGTTTTCTTCTAGGGTTTTTACAGTTTAGGGTTTTACATTTAAGTCTTTAATCCAACTTGAGTTAATTTTTGTATAAGGTGTAAGGAAGGGGTCCAGTTTCAATTTTCTGCACATGCCTAGCCAGTTCTCCCAGCACCATTTATTAAATAGGGAATCCTTTACCCATTGCTTGTTTTTGTCAGGTTTTCAAAGGTCAGATGGTTTTAGGTGTGTGATCTTATTCCTGAGTTTTCTATTCTGTTCCATTGGTCTATGTCTCTGTTTTTGTACCAGTACCATGCTGTTTTGGTTACTGTAGCCTTATATAGTTTGAAGTTGGGTAGTGTGATGCCTCCAGCTTTTTCTTTTTGCTTAGAATTGTCTTGGCTATTTGGGCTCTTTTTTGTTTCCATATGAATTTTAAAATAGTTTTTTCTAATTTTGTGAAGAATGTCAATGGTAGTTTAATGGGAATAGCATTGAATCTATAAATTACTTTGGGCAGTATGGCTATTTTCATGATATTGATTCTTCCTATTCATGAGCATGGAATGTTTTTCCATTTGTTTGTGTCCTCTCTGATTTCCTTGAGCAGGGGATTGTAGTTTTCCTTGAGGAGGTCCTTTACTTCCCTTGTTAGTTGTATTCCTAGGTATTTTATTCTCTTTTGGCAATTGTGAATGGGAGTTCATTCATGATTTGGCTCTCTGCTTGCCTGTTTTTGGTGTATAGGAATGCTAGTGGTTTTTGCACATTTATTTTGTATCCTGAGACTTTGCTAAAGTTGCTTATCAGCTTAAGAGGCTTTTGGGCTGATATGATGGGATTTTCTAGATACGGGATCATATCATCTGCAAACAAAGATAATTTGATTTCCTGTCTTCCTATTTAAATACTCTTTATTTTTTTTCTCTTGCCTGATTTCCCTGGCCAGCACTTCCAATACTATGTTGAATATAAGTGGTGAGAGAGGGCATCCTTGTCTTATGCTGGTTTTCAAGGGGAATGCTTCCAGCTTTTGCCCATTCAGTATGATACTGGCTGTGGGTTTGTCATATATGGCTCTTATTATTTTGAGATATGTTCCTTCAATACCTAGTCTGCTGAGAGTTTTTAACATGAAGGGATGTTGAATTTTATTGAAGGCCTCTTCCATGTCTATTGAGTTAGCCATGTGATTTTTGTCTTTAGATCTGTTTATGTGATGAATTCCATTTATTGATTTGCATATATTGAACCAACCTTGTATCGCAGAGATGAAGCCAACTTGATTATGGTCGATAAGCTTTTTGACGTGCTGCTGGATTTGGTTTGCCAGTATTTTACTGAGGATTTTCACATTCATGTTCATCAGGGATATTGGCCTGAAGTTTTCTTTTTTTGTTGTATCTCTGCCAGGTTTTGGTATCAGGACGATGCTGGCCTCATAACATGACTTAGTGAGGAGTCCTTTCTTTTTAATTGATTGGAATAGTTTCAGTAGAAGTGGTACCGGCTCTTCTTTGTACCTCTGGTAGAATTCAGTGGTAAATCCATCTGGTCCTGGGCTGTTTTTTTGGTTGGTAGCCTATTGATTACTGCTTTAATTTCAGAAATCATTATTGGTCTATTCAGGTATTCAGTCTTTTTCTGGTTCAGTCTTGGGAGGGTGTATGTGTCCAGGAATGCATCTGTTTCTTCTAGATTTTCTAGTTTATGTGCATATAGATATTTATAACATTCTCTGATGGCTGTTTTTATTTCTGTGGGGTCAGTGGTGATATTCCCCTTATCATTTCTGATTGTGTCTATTTGATTCTTCTCTCTTTTCTTTTTTATTATGGGGTTTGTTTGCTTTTGGTTCTCTAGTTCTTTTAGTTGTAATGTTAGGTTGTTGATTTGAGATCTTTCTAGCTTTTTGGTGTGACCATTTAGTGCTATAAATTTGCCTCTTAACACTGGTTTGCTGTGTCCGAGATTCTGGTATGTTGTCTCTTTGTTCTCATTAGTTTCAAAGAGTTTCTTGATTTCTGCCTTAATTTTAATATTTACCCAGCAGTCATTCAGGAGCACGCTATTGAATTTCCATGCAGTTGTGTGGTTTTGAGTGAGATTCTTAATATTAAGTTCTAATTTTATTGTTCTGTGGTCTGAGAGACTGTTAATGATTTCAGTTCTTTTGTATTTGCTAAAAAGTGTTTTACTTCCAATTAAGTGATCAGTTTTAGAGTAAGTGCCATGCAGTGATGAGAAGAATGTATATTCTGTTGCTTGGGGGCAGATAATTCTGCAGGTATCTATTAGGTCTGCTTGATCCAGAGCTGAGTTCAGGTCCTGAATATTTTTGCTAATTCTCTGTCTTGGTGATCTGTCTAATATCGTCAGTGGGGTGTTAAAGTCTCCCACTATTATTGTGTGGGAGTCTAAGTCTCTTTGTAGGTCTGTAAGAACTTGCTTTATGAATCTGGGTCCACCTGTGTTGGGTACATATATATTTATAACAGTTAGCTCTTCTTGTTGAACACTTTACCATTATGTAACGCCCTTGTTTGTCTTTTTTGATCTTTGTTGATTTGAAGTCTGGTTTGTCAGAAACTAGGATTGCAACCCCTGCTTTTTTCTGTTTTCCATTTTCTTGGTAAATTTTCCTCCATCCCTTTAAATTGAGCCTGTGTGTGTTTTTGCAAGTGAGATGGGTTTTTTGAAGACAGCATAATGATGGGTTATGATCAATCTTGCCATTCTGTGTCTTAATTGGAGCATTTCGCCCATTTACACTTAAGGTTAATATTGCTATATGTGAATTTGATACTGTCAGCATGATGCTAGCTGGTTATTTTGCAGACTTGTTTATGTGGTTGCTTTATGTCACTGGTCTATGCACTTCAGTGTGTTTTTGTAGTGGCTAGTAATGGTTTTTCCTTTCCATATTTAGTGCTTCCTTCAGGAGCTCTTACAAGGCAGGCCTGGTAATGATGAATTTCCTCAGCATTTGCTTGTCTGAAAAGTATCTTATTTCTCCTTTGCTTATGAATCTTAGTTTGCCTGGATATGAAATTCTGGCTTGGAAATTCTTTCTTTTAAGAATGTTGAATATTGACCCTCAATCTCTTCTGGCTTGTAGGGTTTCTGCTGAGAGATCTGCTGTTAGTCTGATGGGCTTCCCTTTGTAGGTGACCTGGCCTTTCTGTTGGGCTGCCTTTAACATTATTTCTTTCATTTCGACATTGGAGAATCTGATGATCGTGTCTTGGGGTTGATCTTCTCATGGAGTATCTTAGTGGGGTTGTCTGGATTTCCTGAATTTGAATGTTGGCCTGTCTTGCTGGCTTGGGGAAGTTCTCCTGGATGATATCCTGAAGTACGTTTTCCAACTTGGTTCTGTTCTCCCCATCTCTTTCAGGTACCCCAATCAGTTGTAGGTTTGTTCTCTTTACATAATCCCATATTTCTCAGAGGTTTTGTTCATTCCTTTTCATTATTTTTTCTCTATTCTTGTCTGCCTGTCTTATTTCCCAAAGACAGTCTTCAAGCTCTGAGATTCTTTCCTCCACTTGGTCTATTCTGCTATTGATACTTGTGATTACATTGTGAATTTCTTGTGTTGTGTTTTTCAGCTCCATCAGGTCAGTTATGCTCCTCTCTAAACTGGCTATTCTGGTTATCAGCTCCTGTATTGTTTTATCATGATTCTTAACCTCTTTGCATTTGGGTTACAACATGCTCCTTTAGCTCAGTGAAATTCATTATTACCCTCCTTCTGAAGCCTACTTCTGTCAGTTCAGCCATCTGTTTCAGCCCATTTCTGTGCCCTTGCTAGAGAGATGTTGCAGTCAATTGGAGGAGAAGAGGCACTCTGGCTTTTTGAATTTTCAGTGTTGTTGCACTGATTCTCTCTCATCTTTGTGGGCTTACATACCTTTCATCTTTGAGGCTGCTGAACTTTGAATGGAGTTTTTGTGGAGTCTTTTTTGTTAATGTTGTTGTTGTTGCTTTCTGTTTTTTGTTTTGTTTTGTTTTCTTTTCTTTTAATAGTCAGGCCACTCTTCTGTAGGGCTGCTGTGGTTTGCTGAGGGTACACTCCAGACCCTAGTTGCCTCTGTCCCTCCCACACCTGGAGGTATCACCAGTGAAGGCAGAGAAACAGCAAAAGTGGCAGCCTGTTCTTTCCTCTGGGAGCTCCTTCCTAGGAACCACCAATCTGATGCCGGCTGGAACACTCCTGTAGGAGGTTACTGGAGAGCCCTGTTGGGAGGTCTCACCCAGTCAGGAGGAATGGGATCAGGGACCTGCTTAAAGAAGCAGTCTGGCTGTCCCTTGGCAGTGTGGGTGCACCATGCTGGGGGAACCCCCCTCATGCAGACTGCCAGCAAGCTGGAAAGACTAAGTCATCTGAACCACAGAGACTGCCGTCACCCTTCCCCCTGGGGACTCTGTCCCAGGGAGAGATCAGAGTTCTGGTTCCGACCGCCTGGACTCCCCAGAGCCGGCAGGCTAGAACAGCCAACTGCAACCACAGATATAGCAGTATGGCAGCCACCCCTTCCCCTGGGAACTTGGTCCATCTCTGGCAGTCTCTAACCTGCTGCTGCTGGCCCACTGGAATTCCAAGCCAGTGGGTTTTAACTTGTAAGGAGCCATAGGATTGGGGCCCACAGAACAGGGCCACTTGCCTCCCTGGATTCAGCCCCCTTCCTAAGGGAATGCATTAACTGATCTCCTGTCTTGCCAGAATTCCTGGGGCTGCATGGCTCACAATTGTAATTCAACAAGGGCCTAGTTATACTGGGTTCTAGAGGCACAGTGCCTGCCTACTTTTCAAAGATCTACAAAATGGTTGAGTACTTAAAAAATCATTTTGCTGGCTTCATAATGTGGAAATAAAAAGTGCAAATTAATATTACTAAATGTTTAATAAGTGTCTACAAAATATTACATTATGTCAACTAACCAACCACATCTCACCTCTAAGGCTCTAGCAGAGCATTGCTATGGGCTGAATTGTGCCACCTTGAATACATATATGGAAGGTGTAACCCTCAATGTGATGGCATTGGGAGATGGGGTCTTTGGGAGGTAATTAGGTTCAGATGAAATCATGAGGATGAGGCCCTCAGGATGAGATTAGTATCCTTATGAAAACAGATACCAGAGAGCTTACTGGCTTTGCCTCTGCCATATGAGGATCCAGTGAGAAGGCAGCCATTGGCAAGTCAGGAAGAGGGCCCTCACCAGAAACCAAGAATGTGGGCACCCTGACCTCAGACCTCCAGCTTCCAGAACTGTAAGAAATAAATTTCTCTTGGTAAAGGCAACCACTTTGTGGTGTTTCGTTATGGCAGCCTGAGCTGACTGATACAGGAATTTTAATACATTTCATAGGATGTGGCAAAGTCAAAGATCTTTAAATGCCCCAGATCCCATGCATGCTTTAAAACATAAGTTATCCAGTAAACTATAAGAATGCCTGGGAACAGTAAGGCCTCTGGATGTCCCTGTCGTGATGTCATGGGGCTATGACCTCACCAATGGTCACAGATTGGTGGATTCCAGCATACACAAGTATGAAACCTCAGAGCCAGCCCCTCTTCAGCTATTACAATGGCGTGACTAAAAATGGATGATCACATCACTTTTAGATGGTTTGTTCTGACGCTCTTCCATATGGGTCACCTCCTTTCCTGATAGAGAGAAGACCGTTGAGGACCCTTTGCATTCCTGGCCTCTGAGAGCCCCATCATCTCGGACTATTTTCATCCACTGAGTCAGATCCCTGAGGCTGGGGGGTGCGGGGAGCAGTGGAGAGTCACAGAGGAGCAGCGCCTGTGGTGGATAGGATAACGCAACATATTTTGAGGTTGAAGAGCCTCCTCATTAAACCAAAGCTTTGATCTCCCTCTGGCTGTTCCCCACTCCCACTTTCATGCAGGAATTTAGGAAGTCTCCAGAGCCCCTCGTCCTCCAAGTCCGGCACTTCTTTTTCCTAACTTTTGGGGATTAAGGGACCCAATTAAGAAAATGTTCCGTAGGCATATTCTGAGCAGCTGTATGAAAGTTAAGACTTTCCAGAAAGAAAAGGATGTAAATGGCCATTTCGAAGGTGCCGGGCCAGCAATTACTGACCCGGTTTCCAATCTGTTATTTTGAGAACAGCCACATGAACCTTGAATGGACTCACGAAAGAGCGCCCCGTTTACTCAGAACGCGTGCCGATTTTCCTTTGCCTGCCCTCTGTGCCAGTGGCTTGGGGCCACCTCCGTCTTGGCGTTGCAAACGCTCTTTTGCTTAATTAAAGCCATGGGTTTCCAGGCCACAGCTGCTGGGGAGCCCCAGCGTGAGGCATGCTCAAGGCTCCGGTTTCAAGACAGCGTCCTCATATCTCTTTCTCCTTGAAGAGATTTCCTGTGGCTCTTACTTGTTCCACCTGATATTGGTTTGTGACGATTGCTTCTACACTGTAAATGTTATAGTAGCACAACTGTCCCTGAATAATTAAGGCTGGCTATTAGGAAATACACTAAAGCCAAAAGCATGGAATTAGGACATGTAACAACTTAAATTTTGTATTTACCATTTATCTTTTGAGAGGCTGGAAAGAAAATGAGTTGCCTTGGTTTTTATAGTAGAGTTAAGTCGCTTCTCTGTTCAGTAATCTTCAATGATTCCCTGTTGCTTACAGCACTAGGTCTTAAACTTTAGCAAGTATCTGAATTTCCTGGAAGACTTCTTATTCTGTGGGGCGGGGGCCAGGGTCGCTTGAGAATTTGCATTTCTATGTAGTTCCTGGGTAATGATGCTGAAGTTGATGATGTGGTCTGGGAACTCCACTTGGAGAACCAGTGGTTTATAGCATAAGGCTCAAGCACATTAACCCGGGACTGAAAGCGCTGTTATCTGGCCCTAATTAGCCTTTCCAATTTGGTCTTCAATTCATAAATCCTTTCCTTTGTCCAGTGGAATGCTCTCTATTCTTTACTCTTGACTCATACATGCTGAATCTGACCTACCCTTCCTCATTTCCCACTCCCTTTCTTCCATCCATCCTTCTTTCCTTTATTTTTCCTTCCTTCCTCTCTTTCTCCTGCTCTCCCACCCTTTCTCCCTCTTTTTCTCTCATTCTCCTCTTTCTGCTCTTTTTTCTTTCTTTTCCTCCTTTTCTCCTTCCCCCTCTCTTCCTTTCCTTCCTTCTTCCCTCCTTTCCTTCTTTCCATTTTCCCTCTCTCCCTCCCTTCTTCCCTCCTTTTCTTCCTTCTTTCCTTTCTTTTCTTCCTTCCTTTCTTCCCCCCCTCGCTCCCTGCCTGTCTCCCTCTCTCCCTCTCTTCCTCCCCTTCCTCCCTCTGCTTGCTTGCTTGCTTTCTTTGTTTCTTTTTCTTTCTTTCTTTTCCTCTCTCTCTTTCTTCCTTCTTTCCTAACTTCCTTCCATTTTTTTCCTGCTTTCCTTCTAATTTTCTTCCAGTGTCCAAATCCTACCTTTAAGGATTCAGACCTTACCTTTATTCTTACTTTTATTATCTTTGCTATGCGCAGTTGGAATTCCCAGCAGGAATTCCTGTCTCCAGCATGGACCCCTCCATCCAACCTCCATACTGCTGAGGAGGTGTCTCCCAGATCGAAATCTGATATCACGGTAGCTCTCCTGCTTAGACTCTGCAGGGGCTGAGCATTGGCCACAGCTAACATTTGCCAACCTAGTGGGGGTAGTGCATGTGTATGTGTCTGTGTGTACTTTTAGGGATGAGAGAGGGAAGAGAGGGCTTGTCAAACACATCCAGGGAGCTCTACCAACACACACACACACACATCATATAGTGTCACTCAGGGATCGAGGTGGAAAGGAATCAGAATTGTGAGAAATTCTTAAAAACTAATACTATAAGATTTTAAAGAGAGATAGTATCTCAACCCCCAACCTCCAAGTTCCAGAAATCAGCTCCTCTCAAATCAGTGGGATTCTGAGAGGGGTTTGGGTCCCTTGGTCTCTTGTGCTGTTAGCACAGGGACAGGGGCAAAACATGGGCACACGTGAGCAAAGTACATCTCTCCTGAATGGGAAGGCCAGGCTGGCTTCATTCGGTATTTCCAAATGAAATACCAGGCTTGCATGTGCTCTGTTCATGCTCCCAGTCCCCAGAGTGCAGATGGAGATGCTCATGGTGCCTGTTGAACAGCTCTATAGCTGGATAGACAGACAGGTAGACAGAGGGATGGATGGACAGATGGAAGGTGGACAGGTGGACAGACAGGCAGGTGGACAGGTAGATGGATGGACAGATGGAAGGTGGACAGGTGGACAGACAGGTAGGCGGATGGACAAGCAGACAGGCAGATGGACGAGCAGGTGGAAAGGCAGATGGATGGACAGGCAGACAGGTAGACAGGCAGGCAGGCAGACAGATGGAAAGGTAGACTGGTGAACAAGTAGACAGATGGACAGATGGACAGATTGACAGGCAGACACGTAAATGCATCATTTGTGTTGCTGCTGAGAGTTTCCCCTTCAAGTCAGAGCCCTCATATTTCTTCTGAGATAGAGTCTTACTCTGTCACCCAGGCTGGAGGGCAGTGGCACCATCACAGCTCACTGCAGCCCTGATTTCCTGGGCTCAGGTGATTTTCTCACCTCAGCCTCCCCGGTAGCTGGGACTACAGGCATGAGTCACCATGCCCTGCTAATTTTTTGTATTTTTTTAAGTAGAGATGAGGTCTCTCTACATCACCAAGGCTAGTCTCAGACTCCTGGGCTCAAGCAACCCTCCCACCACGGCCTCCCAAAACGCTGGGATTATAGGTGTAAGCCACCGCACCCAGCAAGAGCACTGAATTTTTATCCAGTTTTGTTTATCATTTCAGCTAGGCCATTTGGCACTGGGAATGTGAGCAGCTGGACAGCCTTCTGGGAAAGTATTACTAGAGGCACCTGGACCTTGTAAGAGCTGGAGAGCTAAGCAGAGAGACTCCGGACAGCTGTGGCAAGGTGGGGGGCAGAGCCAGCTTTGTCTGGCAGGTCCCACAGTCCCAGACTCCTTCCAAATGATAAGAGAAACTACTCACCATGTCAGGCTGAAGTCTGAGCAGAAAAATGCCAAGAAATGATTATTTAAAAGAAAAAAATTGATAGTGTTCAATCTCATAAATATGAAACAGAATGAAAATTTAAGAATATAAATTCAGAGCTTTTAAACCTGAAATATAAAGTTGAATAAGGGATCTGTCAGCCAACCTAGGATCTGTGTTCAATATAAAATCCCCAATAAAGGAAGATGACTTTTGAGAATGAGAGACTTTTAGTTCTTCATATGAGAATTTGTAACCATTTTTTTCTTCCAAATGTTTCAGATAAAAAATTATTACATTGAGATTTAATGAACAACTTTTGAGTTTTTCTTAAGCTACAGCACATATGTGCACATACACACCAAAGTGTTTCTTGCAGTTTGTTTTGGCAAAGTGGCCTATTGTTTCTATCTTTAAAGCAGTGTTTATTGACGGGGTGGTTTTGTCCCCCAGGCACATGTGACAAAAATATCTGGAGACATCTTTGGTTGTCATAACTATGGAGTGAGGTTTACTGGTGTCCCGCGAGTAGAGGTTAGGGATGCTGTAAAACATCCTAAAATGCACAGCACAGCCACCCCCCAACAACTAAGAATTATCCAGAACCAAATATCAATAGTGCCAACCAAGTCTGAGAAATGCTCCTGCAGAATGACTTTGAACAATTTGCAGGAACAGTGTCTTGGTCTGTCATTTTGTGGCACCACCCGCTTCTTCCTAAGAGTGGTGAAAGATATATTTTCAAGTTGTAAGTGGTTCAACACACCTTATATTTCAAGGCTTTTGTCTGAGTCCTTGAGATTATTGGAGGTAACATGGGATATGGCTTGCATGTCTGGATTGCATCATTTTTATGATGTTTAGAAAACTGAAAAGACATATAATCAGGAGAGGAAAATAAAGAGACCCAAATGGAAAGATGCATATCTCCTCATCCATTTTCGTATTTACATTGTTATATATTTGCCCCCATCTCTCTCACACAAATCGAGGATCTTTGTCTCCCTTTTAACCACAGACATTACAATGGAATCTGGAAACACCAACTCCTTCTCGCCGTTCCCCAAGATCACAGCCGACATTTTCACAGTGAACGCTGGTGTCTCAGCAGGTTGCAGATATGCACATCCACCCTCCTTGTTTTCCACACTTCCATGCGGGCTTCATAAGTGTCCTTAGGTTTCAATTGTGGAAAAGGATAAAAGAAACCGTAGAGATCCATCAGGGAAGCAGAGTAAGAAGGCAACTGCACACTTCAAATCCAAAGTGGAGAAGATATTGAGAAGGAGTTGGGGCAGGGGAGATGCATGCAGTCCTATTCTTTAAAGGTGCCCTTAGCACACTCTCAGCACAGGTGTGCTGTACTACCCATGGCTCTTTGTTACATACCACAAAGTCCCTCGCTGTTAGTTTGGGGGACTTATTAAGGACAACATTGGAGGGGCCATGGCAGCAGACTATAGGCTAACCCCAGGAACAAGTCCCACAGCAGCTGCAGGGTGACCTGGGAGAGGAGCTGCTGTGGATGCCGGGAATATGCTGTTCCTCTCATGGTCAGGAAACTGCTCTGTCCCCTTGCTCCCTCCCAGGTGGGAGCCCACTGTCCCTGCTAGCATCAGAAATTGTCACCACAGCTGCCACCCGCCGAATCACATTGTCCTTCTGCAACTGAGATGCTGCCACTGTGCAGCAGTAAGGCGGCCCCAGGTCTCCTTCCACAGCACCTGTCCGAATCAGTCCACAGGCGCCTGTCTGACTGGTGGCATCTGAGTCACATGTCTGCATTGTGGCAGCAAAGTCTGCTGGGAAACATAGTTTTTTTTCTGTTCTTAGAGTGTAGGAATCACAACGTGAGGAATTTTCTAAATAGAGAGGTGTTCAGCATATTTTACAAGGCCACATAAGACACCTGGGTGCTGTGTCTACGTTTAACACTGGCCAATGTGAACTACTGTTCAGCTTGGCTCCAGACATCAGTTTTATGCCTGTGAGGAAGATGACCAACCTGCAGAAAGATGAAAGGCAAAGGTCTGTGCCCTAAGAAAGGAGAAGAGAGGAAACATGACTGACCTGAGGATGGAGGACTTGCGGAGTACCTGGGACCATCTTTAGGGATGCAGAGTGCAGCATCCCTGAAGAAGGCATGATGACAGGACCAGCCAGCATGCAGTCCACGTCACTGGGCCGTTCTCAAACCGCTCTCTCCTGGCTACTCCAGATCAATGATGTGTTCCTAGGAAAATGGCTGTAGAGTCAGACTATCTGCTCTCCCTGGTGCAACACTGCTGATCAAATGCATTCTGGAATTCCCACTGTAATGTGCCCTTTTCCTTCCAATTCCTTTGAGCTTTTGGGAACAAAATACCCTGCATGAATATCTCTGTTGGTCCCATTTTGCCCAGAGGCTACATGAGACGGAGGAATGAGAAAGCTGATCTAGCTAAGGTCTAAGCTAAGCAAACAGCAGGAGACACAGTGTGTGTTTCCGGGATTTCCACTCTGCACGGCGGCTAGTCTAAGCGAGTTGTTGCTCAGACAAGCTGTGAGTGCCTTCTCTGGTTGGACACTTGTAGTTTTGCCTGGGAAAGGTAAATCTATGCCTCCCGCAACAACTGTAGATGTCAGTCATGACTGTTGGAAAAATGGCCAAGAACACAGGGGAGAACTGACAATGTGGCTAGCTACTTATGGGTAGAGGGAGGGAGGATGGAAATGTGTCCAGAAAACACACATGCACAGACACACACTCATACACATGAACATGCACACACATATATACACTTTTGCACACACACACCACACATAGACACACACTATGTTCACACACCACACATGCATGCACACACACAAACAC
Organism: Homo sapiens; assembly: GCF_000001405.40. NCBI lineage: Eukaryota > Metazoa > Chordata > Mammalia > Primates > Hominidae > Homo > Homo sapiens. The sequence continues at coordinate 126,580,735 of NC_000010.11, read as the reverse complement.
AATACATACACGCACACTTCTTGTTTGTGCTGTGGAGAAGGAGAGGATAAGCATCTTGTCTTAATGTCTTTTTTTTTTTTTTTGAGACAGAGCCTCGCTCTGTTGCCCAGGCTGGAGTGCAGTGGCACAATCTCGGCTCACTGCAAGCTCCGCCTCCCAGGTTCACGCCATTCTCCTGCCTCAGCCTCCCGAGTAGCTGGGACTACAGGCGCCCACCACTGCGCCTGGCTGATTTTTTGTATTTTTAGTAAAGACGGGTTTTCACCATGTTAGCCAGGATGGTCTCCATCTCCTGACTGTGATCCACCTGCCTCGGGCTCCCAAAGTGCTGGGATTACAGGAATGAGCCACCACGCCTGGCCTCTTAATGTCTTTTTAAACGTTTTTGTGGTGAGAGAAACCAACTCAAATTAGCCATTGGGAAAATGGATTTGTTAGAAAAGATCAAGATCTCCTAAGATCCAAGAAGAGTTGACTATCCAGGTCTCAGAAGAGAGACAGCCAGGGCATGTCGTTAGGACAGCGGTGGGCATCCACATGCCCTCCTTCCCTCAGGTATTTTCCTTTACCAGACCCTATGCCCCTCTCACTAGGCAGTGTTTAGATCAGCTCTGGACGCTGACCAGAGAGTGGAGCAATTCCCACTGATCAGGGGTCTACCCTTAGGAAATGCACTATGGCCCAGGAGAGGTGAGTTCTCATAGCACCAATACCCACAGCTCACTTTGTGGGTGAAAATCATGCCCAGGTAGAATTCTGAGCACAGGAACCAGGCAGCCTGGTTTGTGTCCCATCAGCTTCATATAAAAGATTGATGATTTCGAACAAATGCTAACCCTCGTCTATGAAATGGGAATGATAATAATCCTTGCACTGTGGGGTTGTCCTGAGAATGAATATGGGTTAATGCACGAAAAGTACCTGCATCAAAGCCTGGCATTTAGTGCTCAGTAAGAATCAGCTCTTTTTTTTTTTTCATTACTTTACAAACATATGTGAGATATTTTGCAATAAAATTCAAGAAAGTGATGGTAGATTTCAGTAAGAGATCACCCCTGAAAAACTTCTGTTGTTTTTTGTCTTTTCTCTAGCCATGAATAATATACATGCTAAACTTTTTACAAGTTTCAAATGGTCTGTGAACAGAGTTCAGCAAAATTTGTTCAGTGTAAACTGCATCAGGAAATACAGATTTGGCTGGGTGCGGTGGCTCATGCCTTTAAGCCCAGCACTTTGGGAGGCCAAGGTGGGTGGATCGCTTGAGTTCAGGAGTTCGAGACCAGCCTGGCCAATGTGATGAAACCCCATCTCTACTAAAAATACAAAAATTAGCTGGGCATGGTGGTGGGTGCCTGTAATCCCAGCTACTCGGGAGGTTGAGGCATGAGAATCGCCTGAACCCAAGAGGCAGAAGTTGTGGTGAGCCAAGAGTGAGACTCTGTCTCAAAAAAAAAAAAAAAGAAAGAAAGAAAGAAAGAAATATAGATTTGTAAAATGCTTGCAGAAGGAAATCTTGCTGAAGCACCTGTATGTAAATGATTGATAAGGCTGACCTGGTGGCCCCTGCTTCTGTAGAGGAAAGGATATGGCGTATGCTGTTGCTACCCTGGCAAGTGACACTAAATGTCTACCCATAAGAGCAGAGCTGATAGGTTTTTTTTTTTAAAAAAAAACTTTTAATTGAAGTACACTATCTATACAGAAAATGCACATTTTACAAGTGTACAGTCTCATGAGTTTTCACAAAATGACTTCACCTATGTAATTGGGAGCCAGACCAAGAAACAGAACATGAATTTCTCCCATGTCTTTTTTTAGCCACTCCCTTCTGGGATTGGCATAGTGGCCAGATCGTTGGCCTATTTTTGCATTTTGTGTCAATGGAATCATGCAATATGTGTTTTTTTGTGTTTGACCTCTTTCACACAACATTATATTTGTGTAATTGTTGTATTGTGTTCATTTATTCTCATTGTTGAGAGAAATTTCTTTGTGCAAACATTCAATTTAGTTACCCATTCTGGGCATTTGAATAATTTCTAGTTTGGGGCTATAATGAACACAGCTGTGATGTACATTCTTATACGTGTCTTTGGGTAAACATACGTAAGCATTTCTATTGTGTATATATGCAGGAGGGATCTGCTGGATCATAGGACATGCCAAATAATTTTACAGAGTGATTTCACTAATATTCACCACCAGCAGCACTACTTGAGAATTTTAGTTGCTCCATATCCTTGCTAACACTTGGCATTTTCCAACTGTTTCTTTTTAGCCATCCTGATGGGTGTGTCGTGGTTTCTGATAGTGGTTTTATTTAGCTTTGCCCTGATGATTAATGTGGTTGAGAACATTTCCCTTTGCTTATAAGCTATTAGAATATTTCCTTTTGTGAAAAGTCTAAGTTCTTTGCTCATTTAAAATTGGGTTGTTTGTCTTTTTATTACTAATTCGCGAGAGTTCTTTATGTACTCTGGATACAAATTCTTTGTTAGATATATGTACTATAAATATCTTTTCCTTTGTATTAATTACATTTTCACTCTCTTAATAGTGTCTTTTCATGAACAGCTCTTAATTTAATAAGGCCCAATTTATTAATGTTTTATGCATTATGAATAAAGCAATTATTTTCTGTTTATGATATTTTGGCCTACTACAAAGTTGTGATGATGTTGCTGTTTAATTTTTCTCCTGAAAGCTTTATTTACTGATTGTTACCTTTTACATGGAGATACTATTAATCTGGAATTGTTTCTTGTGTATGATGAAAATAGGGGACCAGATACATTTTTCTCTCATATGGATATCTATTCCACACAATCCCTTTTTTTGAAAGACCATTATTTCCTCATTACATTACGGTATTGCATTTGTCATAAATTAGGAGAGGGTCTGTTTCTGGACCCTCTATTGATTTCTACTGGTTAGTTTGCCTGTTCTTTCATTAGTATTACACTGTCTTAATTTTTGTAACTTTAGCATGAGTTGATATCTGGTAACATAAGTCCTCCAGCTTTGTTATTCAAGATTACCTGGATTTTCCACCTGAATTTGAAAACCAGTTTGTCAATTTTGACAAAAAATCCTGCTTGAATTTTGCTGGAATACTGTTGAATTTATGAATCAACTTGGGAAAGAAGGAACATCTTTACAAAGTCAGGTCTTCTAATCCATGAACATGGTATATTCCTCCATTTATTTGTGTTTTGTCTACTTCAATAATTTTTAAAAAATTAGTCCAGAGGTCTTGCACAGCTTTTGTAAGGTTTATTCCTAGGTTTTTGATTTCTAAATGTTATTAAAATAAGATTTTTTTTTTGTTTTCTATTCATTTCTTGCTAGCAAATAGAAATACAATTAAATTTTGTGTCCTGGTCTTTTACATCCAGAAATCTTGCTAGTTTCACTTATTAATTTTTAAATTTTTCTTGTTAATTTTATCTTTTAATTGACAAATAATAATTGTACATATTCATGGGGTACATAGTAATGTTTTGATATATACAATGCATAGGAATCACAGCAGGGTAATTAGCATATCCATCATCTCAAACATTTATCATTTCTTTGTACTGGGAGTATTCAATATCCTCCCAGCTATTTAAAATGATATAACATATTACTGTTAACTATAGTCATCCTATTGTGCTATAGAACACTAGGATTTATTCTTCCTATCTAGCTGTAATTTTGTATCCTTTAACAAATATCTCCTTCTCTTCCCCCTACCCTTCTCAGCCTCTAGTATCCTCTGTTCTACTTTTTACTCCTATGAAATCAACTTTTTTTTTAGCCTCCACACATGAGTGAGAACATATGGCATTTAACTTTCTGTTCCTGGCTTATTTCACTTAAAATAATGTCCTTCAGTTCCATCTGTGTTGCCACAAATGAGAAGATTTTATTCTTTTTATGGCTGAATAGTATTCCATTGAAATATATATATAATATGTATATGTACATATACATATTATCTATATGTATATATACATATACATATATATGTATATCTTGTATATATATACATATACATATACATGTATATGTATATGTATACATATATATGTATACATATCTTGGCTGTGGTGAATAGTGCTGCAGCAAACATGCGGGTGCAGATGTCTTTTCAATATACTGTTTTCCTTTCCTTTGGATAAATGCCCAGTAGTGGGATTGCTGAATCATAGAGTAGTTCTATTTGTAGTTTTCTGAGGAACCTCCATATTGCTCTCCGAAGTGTTATGTATTTGTTTACATTCCCACCAACAGTGTATAAAGAGTTTCCTTTTCTCTACATCCTCACCAGCATTTTTTATTATTTGTCTTTTTGATAGTAGCCATTTTAACTAGAGTGAGATGATACCTCCTTCTGGTTTTGATTTGCATTTCCCTGATGATTAGTGATGTCAAAATTTATATCTTTCTTGGCCATTTTTTATGTCTCCTTTTGAGAGATGTTGGCTCAGATCATTTGCCCATTTTTAAATCAAATTGGGTTTTTGCTGTTGGATTGTTTGAGCTCCTTGTGTATTCTGGTTATTAATCTCTTGTTGGATGAATAGTTTGCAAGTATTTTCTCCCATTCTGTAGGTTGTCCTTTCACTCTGTTGGTTGTTTCCTTTGCTGTGCAGAAGCTTTTCAGTTTGCTGTATAATCCCATTTATTGATTTTTGCTTTTGTTGCCTGTACCCTTGAGGTCTTATTCATTAAATCTTTTCCCTTACCAACATCCTGAAGCATTTTCTCTATGTTTCTTTCTGGTAGTTTTATTGTTTGGGGTCTTACATTTAGGTCTTTCATCTATTTTGAATTGAATTTTTTACAAGGTGAGAGGTTGGAACGTAGTTTCATTCTTCTGCCTATAGTGACTCAGTTTTTCCAGCACTATATATTGAAGAGATTATCCAATGAGTGTTCTTGGCACCTTTGTCAAAAATCAGTTGGCTAAAGATATGTAGATTAATTTCTGGGTTCTCTATTGTTTCATGGGTCTATGTATCTGTTTTTATGCCGGTACCATGATGTTTGGGTTACTATAGCTTTGTAGTATATTTTGAGGTACCATAGTCTGATACCTCCAGCCTTGTTCTTTTTGACCAGGATTGCTTTGGCTGGCTATTCAGAATCCTTTGTGGTTCTATACAAATTTTAGGATTTTTTTTTTCAATTTCTGTGAAAAATGTCATTGGTATTTTGATAGGAATTTTATTGAATCTGTGAATAACTGTGGGTAGTATTGTCATTTTAATAATATTAATTCTTCTGATCCATGAGCATGGGGTGTCTTTCCATTTGTTTGTATCCTTTTTCAGTTTCTTTCATCAGTGTTTTGTAGTTTTCCTTGCAGAGGTCTTTCACTTCCTTGGTTAAATTTATTCCTAGGTATTTTATTTTATTTTTGGTAGCTGTTATAAGTGGGATTACCTTCTAGATTTCTTTTTCAGCTCAGTTCTAAGAGTTTCTAGGTAGAGTATTTAGGTTTTTCTGTATATAAGATCATACTGTGTTCAAACAGGGACAATTTGACTTCTTCTTTTCTAATTTAAATGCCCTTTATTTATTTTTCTTGCCGAATTGCTCTGGCTAGGACTTCCTTCACCTATTCTAATAGTTTTTAGGTTCCCTTGGGTTTTCTACATGCATAATCATGTTATCTCTAACAAAAATTTCATTTTTTCCTTTCTAATGCTTCTGTTTTTTATTTCTTTTTCTTGTCTTACTAGGCCAGGCCTTGAGTAGCATGTTGAATAAAAATGGTTGTAAGAGGCGTTTTATCTTATCCCTGAAGCTCAGAGGGAAAGCTTTCAATATTCTACCAAGAGAAATGAAATTTGCTGTTGATTATTTTCCCTCTCCCAAATACTAACCAGGCTTAGTTTCTGAGATTAGGCACATTCAGAGTGGTATGGCCATAGATTGCTGTGGATTTCCTTATAACCCTTTCACATTAAGGAAGTTCCCTCCTATTTTTAGTTTACTAAGACTTTATTTTTAAAAAGTTCATAAATGGGTACTGGAGATTATTAATTAATATTATTAGTTTTATACCTTTTAAGACATTTGTGTTACTTTCCTCTTTTCTCCTATTAATGTTGTATATTGCATTGATTGATTTATTGTTAAGCCACCCTTGCATCCCTGCAATAAATCCCACTTGATTTTAATATATATTATTATTTTTACATATTACTTGCTTTGATTTGCTGATATTTTGTTTAAAATTTTTGCATTATGTTTGGAGACTGATCTCTAATTTTTCCATCTTATGAAATTATTTTCAGGTTGCAATACTTTGTATTTTCTTCTTTATAGTGAGGTCAAACATATTTTCATGTTTAAGGAAATTCTAAATTTTTTTCTTCTGTGAACTTCCCATTTGTATCCTTTGACCGTTTTTCCTTTGTTTTTCCTTATCTATTTTAGAAACTCTTTATACATTAAGAAAATTTATCTTTTGTCTCACATACGAGTGCTCAATATATTTCTGCCAATTTCAAATTTATCTTTTGATTTTGTTCATGGTATATTTTTGTGACTATGCACAACATTCCAATTTTTTATGTAGTCAATGATTTCAGTTTTTCATGACTTCTGTGTTTGAAGTCTTGCATTGAAGGGCATCCTCACTCATACAATTATTCCCTTTTTTATACTTCTATGGCTTTACTTCTTAATGTTTAAATATTTGACTACTAGAATTTGTTGTGGAGCAAAGAACATAATACATTTTTGTTAGACGAAGTGAACTACCACAAACTTCTATTTGTGAAACTAAAAAGTAAGTCCCCCAGAGCAGGGGACTGGGCCTATTTTCAGGCTCTGATCTTCACCTCACTCTGCATGAGGTAGAATTTGAACAAAATAGTAGCCACTGTTTATGCAGGGTTAAAAAAAAAAGCAAAGTTAGAGCTCTTTCTCCACTTGTGAAATACTTTCTGAGTTTCCTCATGCCAGACTTTGTGTTGGGTACTGGGGATCAGTCAGGGAAACAACAGCACCCTCTCAGCTGAGCCTCAGCTTCTGTGAAGGTTGGGGATGCTCTCATTGGAGACATCCCAGAGGTGAGGAGGTGTGCGCAGCATTCAAGGCAGGGGCAAAGTACAGAAGTGTGGGGGCTGTGGAAGGCCCTGGGGCTTTTGGGGGACCCCTCTGTTAAAGTGCTACTGGACAGGGGTCCTGATCCAGACCCCGAGGAAGGATTCATGGATCTTGTGCAAGAAAGAACTCATGGCGAGTCTGTAAAGTTAAAGGAGGAGACAACCCTTCATATTGTCTTATGCCCAATTTCTGCCTCCAAAGAAAAAAAGAAGTAAAAACTAAAAGGCAGAAATGAAACCCACAGGCAGACAGCCTGGCGCCACACCTTGGGCCTAGCAGTTAAAGATCGAGCCCTGACCTAATCGGTTATGTTATCTATAGATTACGGACATTGTATGGAAAAGCACTGTGAAAATCCCTGTCCTGTTCTGTTCTGTTCTAATTACCAGTGCAGGTGCATGCAGCCTCCAGTCACGTACCGCCTGCTTGCTCAATCGATCACGACCCTCTCACATGGACCCTCTTAGAGTTGTAAGCCCTTAAAAGGGACAGGAATTGCTCACTTGGGGAGCTCGGTTTTTGGAGACGTGAGTCTGCTGATGCTCCCAGCTGAATAAAGCCCTTTCCTTCTACAATTCGGTGTCTGAGGGGTTGTTGTCTGTGGCTCGTCCTGCCACAAAGTGAAAGCAAGTTTATTAGAAAAGTAAAGGAATAAAGAATGGCTACTCCATAGACAGAGTTGACTGTTTTTATGGTTATTTCTTGATGATATGCTAAACCAAGGGGTGGATTACTCATGCCTCCTTTTTGAAGACCATATTGGGTAACTTCCTGACATTGCCGTTGCATTTGTAAGCTGTCATGGTGCTGGTAGGAGTGTCAGAGGCATGTGAACCATAGCAACTCCATCTTGAATAGGAGCTGGGTAAAATGAGGCTGAAACTTACAGTGCTGCATTCCCAGACAGTTAAGGCATTCTAAATCACAGGATGAGATAGGAGGTCGGGACAAAATACAGATCATGAAGACCTTGCTGATAGAACAAGTTGCAGTAAAGGAGCTGACCAAAACCAAAATGGTGAGGAGAGTGACCTCTGGTTGTCCTCACTGCTCCACTCCCACCAGCATCATGACAGTTTACAAATGCCATGGCAATGTCAGGAAGTTACTCTATATGGTCTAAAAAGGGGAGGCAAGAATAATCCAGCCCTCGTTTAGCATATCACCAAGAAATAACCATAAAAATCAGCAACCAGCAGCCCTTGGGGCTGCTCTGTCTATGGAGTAGCCATTCTTTTATTCCTTTACTTCCTTAATAAACTTGCTTTCACTTTGCACTGTGGACTCGCCCTAAATTCTTACTTGCGCAAGATGCAAGAACCCACTCTTGGGATCTGGATCAGGACCCGTTTCCTGTAACAGGAGTGTAGCAGTGAGGATGATCAGAGGTCACTCGCATTGCCATCTTGGTTTTGGTGGGTTTGGCAGGCTTCTTAACTGCAAACTCTTTTATCAGGGAGGTCTGTATGACCTGTATCTTCTGCCGACCTCCTATCGCCTCCTGTGACTAAGAATGCTTTAACCTCCTGGGAATACAGCCCAGCAGGTCGTAGCCTTATTTTACCCAGGTCCTATCCAAGATGGACTTGCTGTGGTTCAAATGCCTCTGACAAATGTACTAAGCATCGATGCCGGACCAGGGCATCAGAAGGCCTTTTGAGGTTTTCCTTTTGCCACTACCTCTAGCAGGGACTTCCTCTGAGAGGACAGGGATTCCAGGTGCTGGGTGTCCTGCCAGGAAGTGTATAAGGCCTGACTACCTGCATTGTTAGGTGTGATTGGTGCCCCTTGAGGTTTGGTAGCCAGTGGCCTGAGGTCTTGGGTTTATTTACGCCTGGAGTCCCAGGTTCTGTTCTCTGACAATGTTATTTCCAGTCCTGGTGGTGAACTGTCACCTTGCTGAAGGGTGAGTGGGAAAGTCAACCCCAGTGGGTGGTCTACCTTCCCCCTCAACCCACCCAGTGCCCCAGGTCCCACTTGCTTATTCCCGGAGACACTTCTCCTTTCAAGCCAGGAGGAGAAATGAATGCCTCATTTGCGTCCTTTGAATGGAATGCTAATGATGGAAGGTGAGAGTATATTCATTATTCATGTGCCGCCTCCTCCCTCTGCATCCTTCCAGGGTGCAGGTATGCCTGGAGGCTTCCCAGTGGCAGAGCAACAGGTAATCAGCCTGTCCCTGACTGCCCTGGCTGCTAGGAGTCTCTGCTGCAGGAGCAGCCCTGCAGGTTCCCAACTGCGCTGCTCCTGGGTGACTTGGGCCACCGGGCTCAGGGCCAGTCCTCCTGAGACAAATCGTTGCCCTGGTGAGTCTCACCTGCCCTTTGGCCTGGACAAGTTTGTGGGAGCCCCCTGCCGGGTCAAGAATGAATGATTCTTGTCTTTGAAAAGTGACTGCATTACACTCACTTCTAAAAGAAGTCTCAGTGTCCCCAGAAGGACCTCGTGGGTCAGGAGCTGGGTGCATTGCTCTCACTGGCTGCATCTTCTCACTGCGTTTACGTTTCCAATTGCAGCTTCTTTAAAAGGAACTGGTGCCAAACCTAACATTTATTTCCATGGCAATTTCCTGCGGCAAGCACATCTATTTAATGGAAGTAGATAAAGCTGTGGGCTGAGCACAGGTTTGTGAAATGGATGGGATGGAAATGGCATTGGAGACTGCTGTCTGTGGAGATGCTGCAGCAGGGAGCATTGAGAAAATATGTTTCTGGGATCTTGATACGGGTTCCATTATGACTCAAATAGTTTCACTTTTTTTTCTTTTAAATGAGATCATATTATTTTGAAAGACTGGATTGGAAGTGTGAGAAAGAGCATAGCTGTGGCCTAGTATCATGAAACATAGGGGATATTTAGGAACCTCCCCAAAGAATACAGAAATGGAATAGTAATATGGGATTTGCTTCTCGTAGAAGTGGTGGCATTCTTGTTTGGTTTCTCATTTATTTTCAGCAAAATACCTTCAGTGAGGCTAAGAAATAGTTGCTTTGAGAATGATTTTACAATGGCTCAAAAAACCCTTTCTGAGATTCCCATGAGATAAATATCAGGAATCTCAGTGCATTACTCCAAAATTTTCAAAAACTCATTACGAACCCTGTAGGGTCTAAATTTTCCTAATTAAGTTTTAAAGTCCCTCCTTTTATTGCTTAAAAATCATTGAGCATTACATTATAGTACCGTGAAGTAAAACTGTGCTAACTGGGTCATAATATATTAACTGCTTGGGGTTCATGTAAATGCGTTTCACTCCTGAAACATAGAGAGCACACTGGCTTGGTGGGAAGTTAAAGGAAGAAAGTTAGGCAGTGCGTAAAGTCCACTGTGTGCCAGCACTGTTGAAAATGCACATAACTCTTTACTGATTGACATAAACCTTAATGAAGGGGGCAGGGGCCCCAAGGAGTTTCTGAGTCGCAGGCATAAAGCATACTGTGCAGGGGAATCAAAGGCAGAGAGATAGTGCAGCATAAACCAGGGGCTGCAATTACGTGGGAGAATACGATCAGCGCAGAGCTCAGCATGCAGTGTAACACCAGCACCCGCAGAGCATTTTTGCTTTATTTAATTTTTAAAGAGACATTTCTTTTAGATTGCATGCTGTTGCCTCTGGTTCACAAGGATTACGATGAATCATTTAGTACCGTCACCATGGAATGTGCTGTGAAGTCACCAGCTAAAAAGCAGCATTGTTTTTCTTTTCTTTTCTTTTCTTTTTTAAGCTTGAAAGTGACACACAACCTGCTTTCTCCACAGTTCAGAAACACTTTAGGAGTTTTGGGGTCCCTTGTAAACTTTGTTACCCTGTGCCTTGGGTTGATTTTACTAGGGACAATCAGAAGAGCTATTTTCCATGTTTTGGTTGGCTATTCTTTTATAACACTGAGAGCCATTAGCATAGATTGGCCATAGACACCCAACAGGTTGTGCTGAGAGATAAGACTCCACACTTCCAGTAAATCCCATCTTGTTCTTTTCCCAAGACACACCCTCTTTCTGTTCACCCTGGCTTCTGCTTCTAATTTTTCGTTTTCTCATCTCTTTACAAAAATGTATTGCCAAGATACTTACTTGGTTTATACCCCAACTGTGGCCTGCCTGGGTTTGATGTATGTGATGATTATTTGTGGGTTCATATCAGACTGTAGAACCCTCAAAGGCAGGTCCAGTCTCTCTTGGTCTCTCTCTGCTTAGCATAAAGTGTTGGGGTGAGTTGGACCTTACAGGTTATAAGGAAGAGAGACTCACTCATGCTCCTCCCCATAAAGACAGTTTATTGTAAGGATCTGTGCTGCAATAAAGGAGGCAGGAATCTCGTGGGGCCCCAGAAAGAGCTGCATTTTTTCTATCAAATGTGGCACTAACAAGAGGTTCTCTTGGGACTCCAGAGCCCTCAGGAATCATAGACCAGTTCCTTCTCAAAGTGGCCACCCTGTGGCTACCCACCCCTGGCAGCCACGCTTGGAATTAGAGGCGGTGTCCTTGGTTCCCTGAAACCCCCCACTACTGCTCCCAGACTCTTTCTCCCTCCCTTCTTGAAGAGCCTGACTTGCATACCCTCCTGCCAGCTGACGTCACCCTGCACCCTGCCCCCGGGCTGCTGCCCCTGCTTTCACCCCAGCCCTGCCCCCAGCAGGGCTCTGGTGCCCATCTTCCTCTCCAGACCTCCTCCTGCCAGCCCGGCCTCATCCCTTGGCTGGGAGGTGCCCTAAACCTCCTTGTCTTCATTCCTGAACCGTCCTTAAGATCCTCATGCCCTAACCTCCTTGTCTTCACTCTTCAGCCCTCCTGGAGATCCTCCTGCCTTCTCAGGTGAACTCCTCTCCAGTTACACTGGGAAATGGCACTGTGAGCTGTGAGCCCCTTGGCTTCCCCACTCTGAGCCTCCTAAAGCACCTCTGTCTGGCTGTCTTTTCCCTCTATCTGGTGTAGGCAGAATGCTAAGATTCTGAACCCCTGGGTACAAGCCCTGCACAATCCCCATGCCTTATGTGTGGGTAGAACCCACGAATATGTGATAGGATATAATTCCCATGATTAGGTTACTTGTCATTTGAGGTTGAGTTAATCGAAAGAGATTATCAGGGTGTGTCTGACTAAACCAGTGAGCCCATGAAAAGGTCCTGCCCTTCCTGAGGTCAGGGATGTTCAGGATGAGGGATTCTGTGCTGGCTTTGAAGACGGAGGGGCTATATGGTGAGGACCTGAGGGAGACCCCTAGGAGCAGACAGCATTCTCTGGCCAGCAACAGCCAGTAAGGAAATAAGGACGGTGGTCCTACAACCACAAGGAATTGAATTCTGCCAGCAACAGAAAATGCTGGGAGGAGGATCCCAAGCTTCAGATGAGAACCAGCCCTGGCTAACGGGCTGATTCCAGCCTTGTGTGACTCTGGACACAGAGCCCGGTTGGGTCCGGCCTGACTTCTGAGCTAGGGACCTGTGAGTTATAAACATGTGCTATTCTGAGGGCTCCATTTGTGGTTTTTTGTTAGACAGCAGCAGAAAACTACTGCCTCCTCCCTCTGGCTGTGGAGATTTGCCCACCTTTTAGGTGGCCTAAGCTTAGGAAGTGGCCTAAGCTTAGGGAGTGGCCTAAGCTTCCACTTTGCTTCTATTCCATTTCCTCTCCTTTCCCAGAGGTTTTCTCCTTCTCTTTTCTCCCATTTCTTGTACAATAAACAATACCACTCATTTCTTCTCCTGGATTATTTCCATCAGCATACAAACCTGCCGCATCTTACAAATATCTTTCCCTAGTCACTCCTCCCTCTCAAGGTGCCACTCGAGGCTTCTTCTCCCTTGGAAACACTTCTCAGAGGGGGCACCATCCCCCATCCCTTGTCCCCCTTCTCCACCTGCTCCAGTCTGGCGTTTGCTCTAACAAGGTCCACAGTGACAACACCTCTGTGTCCCCACCTTGCTTGGCTTCCTAGCAGCACAGAATGCAGTCGAGTCTCGATCTTCTTCTGGCTCAAGGACACCCCTTTCTGTGGTCTCCTCCAGGTCACCTTCCAGGGCTTCCGACCCTGCTTTGCTGGTTACCCTCCTTCAGCCAACCCAGCTGTGGGTTTGCTCCTCTCTGAGCAAATCTCCCGGGGGTGGGGGAAGAGGGTCTCATGCCTCCCGATATGGTTTGGATCTATGTCCCTGCTCAAATCTCATGTCAAATTGTCATCTCCAGTGTTGGAGGAGGGGCCTGTTGGGAGGTGATTGGATCATGGGGTGGATTTCCCCTTTGCTGTTCTCATGATACTGAGTGAGTTTTTACAAGATCTGGTTGTTTGAAAGTGTGTAGCACCTTCCCCTTCATCCTTTTCCTCCTGCTCCAGCCAAGTGAAGACATGCCTGCTTGCCCTTCGCCTTTCACTATGAAGGAAAGTTTCCTGAGGCTTTCCCAGCCATGCTACCCCAGCCTGCAGAACCGTGAGCCAGTTAAACCTCTTTTCTTTGCAATTTACCCAGTCTTATGTATTTCTTTATAGCAATGCGAGAACAGACTAATACAATCCCCATGGCTGTAACTACTTCTTTATGACCAGGGCACCCAGCTGTGGCTCCCCGCAGGGTCCCCTCTGAGCTCCATGTTCACAGGCAATGGCCCACCCAGGGCCACCTTTGGTGGGTAATACGCCTCTCAGTATGGGTGTGTCTAAATGGAAATTTTCACTTCCTCTCCTCTTGCCCCCAAATCTTCTCCCTGGGCTTCCGGTCTCAGTAGGAAATCTAGAGGTCATTTTAAAGTCCCTCCCCCACCTGTCTTCCCGATGTGTGCTCCATCATCAAGTCCTGTGTGTCCTGCCTCCCAGATGTATCCTCTTAACTGGTCTCGCTGCCTCCGCTCTTGCCCCTCCCTGGTCCATCCTCCACTCAAAAGCAAAAGTGCTTTTCCTAAAAGGTCAGCACCTGTGGTCCTCCATGCCACTGCCCCACAGGCACCAGCTCCAGTCTCACTGTTCTCTTTCTGGTCCTCAACCTCAACCGACGTCCTTCCTGCTTCAAGGTGCCTGCCCAGGCTATTGCACCAGCCCTTGGAATACCCTTTGCCTTCTCTTTGCCGGTGGCTTCCTTCCTTCTCGCCTTTCAGGTGGCTCTTCAGGGAGCCTGGTCCTGTGCACTCCAGCAAGGCTGCCCCAGTATCCCTCATTGCAGCCCTTGTGTTTCCATTGTGGAACTCACTGAAACTGGCGGTAATTCTTGATGTTTTTCTTTCTTGTTCCCTGAAGGCCTATACTCTTCCTCTGAGTAAAGATTCAGTCCACTTTCTTCACTGTTTTATCTCCAGGACTTAGCACAGTGCCTGACACATAGGGGACCCTTAATGAATATTCGCTTACTTTGAAAACTAATAACATCACGTGTTGGCTTACTGTCTTTCAATCATAGCTACCTCCATTTGATCCATTCTATAACCCCATCTGTAAGTATCATGATCGTGAATGTTTAGAAGGTGAGGAGACCAAATTGGATCAGGTGAAATAATTTATCCAAGGTTATCCTTGCATAAATGCCAGGCTTTCTGGCTTCAGAGCCTGCCTGTCAGTCCTACACCTGGCTGGGCAATGAGCCCACTCACAGGACTATAGTGGAAAATTCATAACTAATGACAATAGGGTAGTCTGAAAATAGCCAGAGCTGCACACAGGAAAATGATCTTCTTTGTGAATATGGAAATGATAAGGGGACGTGGAGGAGCGCTATTTGGGCTAACCATCATGTCTTCAGTGGCCAGTAACATGCTGTTAGGTGCATTTGCTTGCATGTGCAGCACAGCATCTGAGAGGTGGTTCACTCAGTCTCAAAACAGCGGGTGGAGGATGCTGCGACCAGCATCTGGAGCTTTGAGAGAGGAATGTGGCCACTGGGCCACATCAAAGGCTGATGAGACTCTGCTCCCCTCCTGGATGGAGAGTTCTTGCATGGGGATGGCCTCTTTTCATCCTTTGTTTTCTGTTTCCAATTTGTTCAAACAACAAGGAGCTTTGAAGTTCCTTAAGCTACCACAAGTGCAGAGCCTGGACCGCAGAGTGCGAAGTTTCTCGTTTCACTGGAAACGTGCCAGTTTTCCAGATGCTAATAATGAAGGGCATTTTTAAAAAGCAGAGCTCGGTGTTCTACAAGTGCCTTGTTTTTAGGGAGGGTGACAGCAAATTGACTGATGCACAAGTTTGTGTGTGTGTGTGTGTGTGTGTATAATATATATAATATATATAATATATATTATATATAATATAATATATATAATATATATTATTATATAAAATAATATATATTATATATTATATATTATATATAATATAAATATATAATATATATAATATAATATATAATATAAATATATAATATATAATATAATATATAATATAAATATATAATATAATAAATATTATATTACATAATATGTAATATAAAAATTATATTACATAATATGTAATATAAATATTATATTACATAATATGTAATATAAATATTATATTACATATTTAATATTATATTTATATTATATATTATATAATATATATTTTATATATTATATAATATATATTTTATATATTATATATAATATATATTTTATATATTATATATTATATATTTTATATAATATATAATATATATTATATATATTATATATAATATATATTTTATATTTTATATATTATATATATTTTATATTTTATATATTATATATATTTTATATTTTATATATTATATATAATATATATTTTATATATTATATATAATATATTTTATATATTATATATAATATATATTTTATATAATATATAATATATATATAGAGAGAGAGAGTCTTATTCCTAAACTTGTAATTGAGTCATGCAAAGAGGTCTTCATTTCAGTCTTTAATTGGACGCCTTCAGGAGGGTGGGGATGAGTGAAGGACACTCAGTAGTCAGGCCACACATATGTAGGAGGCAGAGAGAAGGAAGCCCAAAGCCAGTCGTGTGTCTGGGTGGCTGTGGAGCAAGGCTGGCCACTTCCACATGAGATGGAGGAGGTTGCTATGGTTTCAATCTGGGAACTTCTCCAGGCTGCAAAAGGTGGGCCCTTTCTTTGCTGTTGAAGGCAAGGTTCACACTGGGTGGGCGCCAGGACACAAACTCCAGGGACTCGGGCTACATGCTGCTTGGATGAGACTATGGCCTCCTCTGAGAGCCAAGCTGTTTGTTCCTTGAAGGTTTGCAGGCTTGGCTGTTGGTTTGTGTTTGCAATGGAAGGAGGATGGCACCCACAGTGGGACTTTGCTGCTGCTGCCTTTGGGACCCAGGTTAGAGTCACCACTTCTAGACCCTCTTCTGTGCTCACCACAACCTGGTGGGCTGGGTCTCCATTCTTGATGTTCATCTGGATGGTTACAAAGCCCACAGAGACTAAAATGCTCAGCGTGGAGAGGAAAGTTGCTGCTGACATTTTGGCATATGCTTCTCCGGATTTCTTCCGAGCCTGCAGATCTACAGGGCCTGTGGTCTAGAGCCCTGTTCCTGGTCCATGTCTCCCCAAGCAGACAGATAGCGAGTGGGAGCCATTTGCAATGTCTGGAGACATTTGTGGTTTTCACACCTGGGGTGGGATGGGGACTACGGGCATCCAGTGGGTGGAGGCCACGGATGCTGCTAACTTCCCACAAGGCACAGGACAGCCCTCATGCAGAGACTGCTCTGGCCCCAGGGGTCAGCAGTGCTGAGATTGAGAACGCCTGTTCTCAGCTTCCGTGGTCATGGCCTTTACTCATCTGGCCCTGCACAGGACTGTGAGCCACTTGAAGGCAGGGCTGCTACTGGCTGATCCTCGGTCGGTGTTGGTTAATGAGTGCAGGATGTCCATCAGCTGCCGCCGCCAATTCCTCTGGCCTCAGGACCAAATAGTTTCACAGTGGGCAAATGAGCAAACGCTGGAGGCAGGATACCATGGGTTGTGTTCCTATGTTTAGTGCTCACAGATCCCTTTGCTGAGCAGGCAGACAGGATATTTGCTCATCATAGCCACCTCTATCACAGCCATCAATGTGGATTGGGCTCACGGCCACCAGGTGGTCCACACATTTTCACACAAATAATCCCCTTGAATCCTCACACAAACCCTCTAAGGATTTGACTGTGATTGTCCTTTTGTTATAGATAGAAAAACAGGCTCCAGAGGTCAGAGCCCTTCTTTCCCACGCTGCACACCCAGTGACCACAGGAGCTTTGCATGTGGCCATTTATGGCTCTGGTTAAACCCTGATCAAGCTAAGGCAGGGCTTGGCCTGGGCTGCCCAGGATCTATTTCACTGCATCTTGGGGGTAAAAGCTGGGGTCTCAAGGCTCATTCTGTCACAGGCCAGATGCGGTGTGAGGGTGGGGGTGGCAGGCGTGCGGTGGACGAGTGGCCCCTCTTTAGCCCCACGCTACTGCAGTGCCAATGAACTCCCCTCTTGGGGCCCAAGGCAGTGAGTGGACGTGCCCAGCATGTGCTGGTCACTTTAAACAACAACCAGCTGGAGTGCGGGTGGGGAATTTTGCCCCGAGTTGTAGCATTTGCCACTTTCTGTGGTGTAAATACTCCGGGGCTGGTTTCAAGTCATCAATGTGACATCATGTGCATGTGTGATGTCACCTGCACAGCCATGGAAAGCAATGTACGTGGGTCCCTCCGCCCAGCCCATGAGAGTGGGTGGCAGCATGCCACTGCCGGTGGCTGGGAGAAGTGAGTTCAGTCAGACACCCTTCCTCTGGGAATCTTGGTCTCTGCGCTGTGTGCGAGTGCAGCCTCAGGTTGGCAGATGGGGTTATGTGCATTTGGTAAATTGTGAAAGAAGGGGCTCGCCTGATGGTTTTACTGTCCTGGTTGGGGAGCTCTGGCAGGCTCTGCTCCCTGGATATTGCTGACTGTCAGGTGGGTTATAGGCCTCTTAGCAGCAGGCTATAGGAGAATTGTCTGTAACCACACAACTGGTGCCCATTAAAACTGATTGTGCCTTCAGAATCCAAAATAGTCCTATCCCAGGGAAGGGAGAGGAACTGCTCATTGAGCGTCTGCAGATTGCTCTGTGCCCGTTTGACAGGTGGGACAATCTGCATATCAGCAAGGTCACTTGGGCCACCCAGGGTGCCACAGGTAGCAATTAATGGAGACTGGATTTCCAGCTGGCTTGTCTGGGACTGTTCTGTCTCATGCTATCTGCAGGAATGAGGGATTCTGTTAAGAGGAATGTCTCATTGCCTGTGTGGTTAGCAGGTTCGTCTTGGTGAGGGAAGAAGGCAGAGTGTTGGTTGTGGATGTCCACTCTAGGGAGAGGCCCAGCCTTTGGACTTGGCTTCCATACAGTCTAAGGGAGGGCAGGGGGTAAGGGAGGGCAGGGGGTGGCTAGGCAAATCAGTTTGGATGTGGGAAGTTGGCAGATGCTAGCACGTGCACGCAGCAGTGAGATGAGGGCCGCATTCTCCCTCCATTAGGGACCCTCTGGGCCATGCTCATAGAGGTTCTGGATAAACTAACGCCGGCAGGAAGCTGCTGGGCCTGCAGTGGCCTCTGGGCAGCCTGTCGCCACTTGGGCAGAGGGGAGAGAACGCTGTCAGCACTTCAGCGGGAGGGCGGCACCCAGGACTCTCCAGCTGAGGTGCTGAAGCCAAAATGAACGCTTCATGTCAGGCCCAAGATCTTTCCTCAGTTTTCTAATTAGGAAGACCTTTCTGGTCATAGCTTTTGCATCTCTAATTCATCTCTCAGTGGGGGGTTCTTTCTAACTTAACTTCCAAATTTACACCTCTCCTCTCTTCCTGTGCTCCTGTCTGGAGGTGTTGACTGGCGCTCAGCAGGCCACCCGGGGCCCGGGGAAAGGGGCCTGCTCCCTCTGTGTCAGGCACACAACTGTCCACTGTTTGCCTGTCCTCTCTGTTCCCTGATTCTCTCTGCTTGGAATGCAGTCATTGTTTCTGTGAGAGAGTCCCTTGTTTAATTTGCAGCTGCAGTTCCAGGAGATGACATTTCTCAGTCACATCCAAACCTCATTGCACTGCGGACTTTCTGTGGCTCCTGCAGCACGGAGAGTGAAAATCTGCTTTCGTTTTTGTCATCGGAATTCCACAGTCCTCCAACCCGATTCTGGGAGCAAATTTTAATGAATTCAGCAGAAACTTGTGTAGCAGTGATAAAATGTAATTGCCTACAATTTCACACCCACAGTCTCCTCTGTGAGCTGCAGAATTTCAGCCAGCTTGCCGCTTTGCAATTTCATCTCCATGGAATCACTCTCTTCTAAGGTATTCAAGCCTCACGTGTGCTTGAATGAAATGTGTGGTGAATTTTCATCATGATACCAAGAGCAGAAGCAGTCAGCAGTGCTATTAAGATTAATTAGAGGTTGAGGGCCCACACTTTGGAAACAGCGGCAGGTTATGAATTATATTCTTGGTGTACTTTCTAAAGATTCTTCCAGAAGTCTCCTGATTTTTTTCCAGCTGTTATGGTACCTTTGGCTGCACATGGTGACTGAATTGTTTGTCCACTCTGACCACCTCTTTGCGAGCAGGTGGTAAAAACCAGTGACAGGAAGTGGAGGGATGCATTGTACTTGTGTCTTAAATTACCTGTGAGAGTTTGGTTTCATCCAAACAGCTAGAGGGATGTACTCCCAACATAGGCTTTGTAGGGTGAATAGATACTGTCCTAGAAGATCAGGTTCCCTGATTCTGTAAGACCTCTGAGCTAAGCATGTTTTCTACATTTAAAATGGATTAAAAGAAGCATAATCTTTTATGCCATGCAAAAATTATACAAAATCCACGTTTCAATGTCCAGAAATAAAATTCTGTTGGAATGCATCCACGCCCATTGGTTGACATATCATCCAGGGAAGGTCTCACACCATGGTGCAGAGTTGAGTAGCAGCAACAGAGACAGCATGGCCTGCAAAGCCTATGATATTGACTCTCTGGCCCTTTCAGAAGACGTTTGCTGACCTCTAGCACAGAAGAGCAGGCGTCTCCATGGGGATGGCTTTGGTTCCTCTGCCGTCACTAAAGAAGCACCGTGCTGGGGCTCTCTTAGTAGGGTTACATTTTCGATGATGCCCATGGGGTCATTCTGGTTTGAGACCTATGCCCTCCAATGGCCCTGAAGGCCATTGTGAGTCAGGACTGGACACAGTGACGAGGCTTCCTGGTGGTGGGACAGGACTGCCCATTAAGATGAAGTCTCAGGGCCTCCAACCATGCACCGTGCGCGTCGGCAGCTTATTATTCACCATTTATCACCGTGCCTCGAACCTTCAGCAAAGTGAGAAATAGTTTGCCAATGAAGTAAAGTGGAAAATTAATTTGGTTTTCCTCCTATTGCAAGTGAATGCTGAAATTAAAAATGAAGACTCGGATCACTGGTGTGTTTTCATCTTAGGCTGAGTCTTACCCACTTACAAATCACTGAGGTTGCGGGGATTATTTCCTTCTGAAAGTAATTCTTGCTGGCCAAGGGGAACTGTCTAGTGAGATTTGTTGGGGGGAACAATGGAGCAGTTGTATAGAAATATAATATTTATTGTTAAGAGCAGATATTATAAACTGAAAATGTATAACCTTCAGGCAGCCTACCTCCACATAAGCTGGCTCTTATGAGAGGAAAGGAAAGAGGCCTAGAACTTGAAACGGCCAAATATGCAGTTCTCCGCGGTGTCTAATTTCACATTATTTATCATTTATAATGTCATGCTGCATTTTCTCTGAAACTCTTGAGGGTCTAATTTCAGTAGAATTTCCGGCAAGTATTTTGAGCATGACTAGGAGCTGTTAGTAAACACTAGGAAAAAATATTCCTGACTTGCTTGCTGAAGGAAACCCTCTGAAATAAGCTGTTATATAAAGTATCCTGACTTGGCTGGTACTTATCACATAAGAACAAGGTGAGGTTTCTTGGTTGGTTTTTTAAATGATTAGGCTTCTGCTTAGAGATGGCAGAGATAATCCAGCTTCTCTGGTACCCATCTTCCGATCAATTCCACCAGCACTGACCTGTAGCAACCAGGCGGAGGCAGAAGGTGAAAGGAGAGGAGGGAGGGTCAGGGGTTGGTGGGGATGGATGGATCCATAGCCTCCTTAAGGCAGGTGGCTTTTCCTGGCTGCCTTCAGTCCTGCTCCCAGTGACAATTCTGAATATCACTGTAAGAGATATTCACTGCTGCAAACACAGAACTTGCCCTCGTCAACTGAGAAATGACAGATGAGAGCAAATGTTATTGATAGAAGGGATATCAGGTGTCCATAAAAAAGCTGAGCCATATGGGGCCCGCTGATGTAAGGAGAAACCCTTGACTGGATTTTACTATGTAAGAATAGGTGCTCATTATAACAGAGCATGCATGGAAACATGGAAATGCTGGAAACATCTGTATTGCTTACTTTAAAAATTTAAGGAAACATACAATAAGGAGTGACATTGAAAATATTTAACAACCACAGGGCATAGGCATTGGCCTATGAGGATAAATGTGGTTGTAAACAACACAGCCAGGTATATAAGAGAATATTGGCCAAATATCAGCTGGCATAGAATGGTTTTACAAAATGTTCCCTATAAATTACTACATGCAAGTATTTTTGGCACAAAGAGATGGACTTCAGTGATGTGGGAAAGCCACGTTCAGGGTACTGGCTTCTCAGTCATTCCAGTAATGAGATCATATTGCCCTTTAGCATTTCTAATGGTGTGTGGCCCTCACATTTCCCCAGGCAGCCTGATTCAGTCCATCCAGCATTTACCCAGCACTGCCAAGAGTGGGCACTGAGCTGGGCCCTGGGGATCCAGAGTACAAGGCACAGCCCTTGCTCTCTGGGAGCCCAACTCTGGTTGGGGAAGAAGAGAGACACATTACTAGTGGGTTAAATCATGACCTTGGATTCTTCATCCATGGCAGTAACATAGAAGTGTTCCAACAGTGTGAGTTTGACATGGGAGCCACAAATGGAACGGATGCTGAGGGCCACAGAGCAAGGAGCCCCACTCAGATGGGTGGAGGCTCAAGAAAGGCCTCCTGAGGCTTCTCAGCTCAGCTGAGCTGTGTCTTGAAGGACCCGTGGCTAACATTGCCCAGGCGAGGAAAGGCAGAACAAGCATACTCAGAGGAAACCATTGCAAGGTGAGGGGGTGCACAGCCCGCCTGCAGAATTTCAACAGCTCGTTAGTGCTGCGGTCTTAGGAGATGGCTGTGGTCTTAGGAGATGAGGCTGGCCAGGTGGGATCAGATCACAAGGAGAGTCTTGTATGTCATGCTTCGGGGTTTGGATTTCATCCTGAAGACAATGAGAAGTCACTGAAGGATTTTTAAAGTGGAGGGGAGGGGATTTGATCAGGTACAAGTTTCTGTTTTAAGAAAATCTTCTGACAATGAGGCTGGAGGCTGGTCTAGTTTCACCAGTAATGAAACTGGCAAAGTAATACAAGTATGAGATGATGGTAGCCTGGCCTGGGATATTAGCAGTTGGGATGAATGAAGGTGAACTTGGACTGAGGCAAGACAAAGAGAAAGCTGGGCAAATACAGCACCACAATATAGGCAAGAAAGGTGGGCTCCTGCTGTGAGGCCTGGAGAGTGAAGAGGATACTGCAGAGTCTGAGGGGCGTTAGGAGGGCTGCCAGCAGGACTGCATCATTGGCTGGGAGAGGAGTGGACTGGCGAATGCTTCCAGGTTCCTGACTCAACACCGTCACCCCCCAAGAGCAAAAACTTAGGAGGAGTCGGGAGGAGGCATGTGGAGGATGTTTCTCCCTTGCCCAACTCATCTCGATGGTCAAAGTAACACCAGCCCCATGGAGGCAATTTGGAAAGTGAAAAACAAAAAGGAGCAGAAAGAAGTGACCTACTCACATTATACAGGAGTGCAAAGGAACTTATTAGAGCTACAAGTGTTAACCTGGGTGAATCTCATTTAAAATATTGAGCAGAAGCAGAGAATTCCAGCAGGGTATGAACAGTACAGTATTATTTGTAAACGTTTTGCAACATGCAAAATGATGTCACAGATTGCTAAAGAAATGGTATATGTGTATCAAAGTAGACTGAGGAAAGGACAGACCTCAAATCCGGGCAGTGTTTACCTGAGGAGGGGAAGTTATGGGGGAAAGGTATAGAGGACTTTTGGTAACTTTTTTTTTTTTTTTTGAGATGGAGTCTCGCTCTGTCGCCCAGGCTGGAGTGCAGTGGCATGATCTCCGCTCACTGCAAGCTCTGCCTCCCACGTTCACGCCATTCTCCTGCCTCAGCCTCCCAAGTAGCTGGGACTACAGGCGCCGCCACCACACCCAGCTAATTTTTTGTATTTTTAGTAGAGACGGGATTTCACCGTGTTAGCCAGGATGGTCTCAATCTCCCAACCTCGTGATCTGCCCGCCTCAGCCTCCCAAAGTGCTGGGCTTACAGGTGTCAGCCACCGCACCCGGCCACATTTATTTCTTAATCTGAATGGTGAGTATGGGCAACCTGTTATTCATTATACATCCATATGTCTTGACTATTCCATGACTTTAAAAAAGTCATCAGAGACTCATCACCTGAGACCATCATTCTAACATAGTTCCTATTAGGTTGGTGCAAAAGTAATTGCGGTTTTTGCCTTTTTTTTTTTTTTTTTAAATTGATTAATTGCAAAAACCACGATTACTTTTGCACCAACCTAATAGAAACAACTTTCTTCTCCCCTCTTATCCAGAGCCTTCAGGAAGAAACGCTGGGGCCCACAGCACTGCCTGCCTCTCAGGCTCCAGGTTTCTGCCTTCCCCACAGGTCACAGCTTGGAGTACAAACCTGTGTTCACAGTGTTTGAACTTCATGATGTCTACAGGAACTCTCTCCTGCCCCTTTTCAGAGACCACAAAACAGATCAGAGAAATAGGGTGTCTGGGTGGCTGCTATGGATTAAGAATCCAAGGTCACGATTTAACCCACTAGAAATGAACTTGACGATTACCTTGTCCCTTAAAGGGTGATTTGTTCTCCCGTGGGGACCTGGTCCCACAGCCAACAATACACTGCCGGTGTATTGCACTCTGCTGGAGTTCCACAGGCTGGTTCATAAATTGAATTTCATTTTCAGAATCAGGAGGAAATGAAGAAATAATTTTATATACCGTACATTTATTGAAATTATATCAAAATAAGCAATGAAGGAAAATTTCTGTTGGTAATATAATTTCAAGGATCACTTCATGAGTTTGCAGCTAGAACAGCATCTGAAAATATCTGGGTTTGATAAGCACAGGGAGAAACTGCCCGTGTTCTATTTAAACGTGGAGGGAGAAGGGAGCGCCCTTTGCAGAGTCCCCACTCAGCTCTCCTCCCATCTCGCTTCTTGCATCCTTGTCCCTCTGTAGTACTCGCTGTTGACATTTTGCAATTGTGCATATCCCAATTTAGATACCATTTCTTTGTCTTGATAGAGGGCCTGAAATTATAGTTACAGGACACAGCACTCAACCCCGGCCATTTTGGTTCCCACATTGGTGTAACTTGACCACATGCCAGACCACCAGCTGGTTTTGATACTATCAGAAAGTGGAGACTCGTTTATCATCTGATGCAGGCTAGGCCAGACATTTTTCACCAATTTTGGTTAACGTGAGGTCAACTCACTTCACAAATTCACAGGTGTTCACCAAAATTGTATCATTTTATTTTAGGAGATTTATGGCAGGTTAAAGTGTGAAATGGATTCTGGCATCGACAGAGTGATATCTTTGCGGAGTATAGTCATTTCTCTCTATTTCTATGAATAAGTAACTTCTGAAGTGAATTAACCATTCATGTGGAGAGAGGGACTTCCATCTGCCAACTTCTGTCAGCATTTCTATCTGATGCTGACTCCACTCGCATTGACCCAAGTGTAAATTTGGAGGATTTGATTAGCTTTTTTATTTATTTAATTTTTATTTATTTATTTATTTATTTATTTATTTATTTATTTACTGAGATAGAGTCTCCCTCTGTTGCCCAGGCTAGAGTGCAGTGGTGCGATCTCAGCTCACTGCAACCTCCACCTCCCAGGTTCAAGCGATTCTCCTGCCTCAGCCTCCCGAGTAGCTGGGATTACAGGCACAGGCCACCATGTCCAGCTAATTTTTTGTTTTTTTTTTTGGTAGACACAGGGTTTCACCATGTTGGCCAGGCTAGTCTCAAACTCATGACCTCAAGTGATCGCGCCTGCCTCAGCCTTCCAAAGTGTTGGGATTACAGGCATGAGTCACCGTGCCCAGCCTGATTAGCTTAAACAGTGTATGATGAGACATATAAATTAATATATCAACCTCTTCCAGTTTCTTTTGTATCCAGGATCTAGTACTTGGATACTGCTCTATTTTTTTGTTTCATTTCCTACTCCTCACCCCTCTGCTACCAAAGCCCAATCCATTTATCCCATAAACATTCAAGGTTAACCCAAAGTCAGGTTGTGAATTAGTAAGGAATGAAACGCTGATGAGTCAGGTGGGCCCAACCATGTCACCACCCCACCTTCCTTATTGAACTTGCTGATTGTAAGGTGGAGTCCTACTGATAATGTGCAGACGCCACATCTCTGAGAAGTTACTCCTTTTGTGTGGACCGCAATCAGATTGTCTTCCCTGAATAAAAGGGAAATCTGGGAGACATTTTCCAGGATTTTAAAAGACTCCTGAGGAAGGCGAGTGTCGTGAGATTAAAGCAAGGAGCAAGTGCTTCTTCAATGCCCAGGTTGTTCGAAGCATCTGATAATCAGCTGTCCTGTCTGCATTTCTTTCCTTCTCTGTTTTGATGTTGGCTTGATTGTGCTATACATTTTGCTATCTTGCCCAAGTATAATCAGCAGGAGGAGTCTTTTGGAATAAAAGCGTCTTTGACTTTCATACACATTTTCTGAGACAGAAGAAAAAATCAGAAGTCGTTTTTAGCTTTAAAAATATTGTACTGCCTCTGCAGTGTTTCCAGAGAAAGTTGGTAGCAGGGAATGGAGTTGAAGAGGACTCTATCACTGTGAGAGTAAAATTAACAAAAATAGTAGAGTGCTAATTTTTTGAGTGATTGCTATGCACTTTGCACCGTGCTTAGTGGATTTTCATTATGTTTAATGAGATAGCACATACGTGCAGCAAACTACACAAATGTGGCTTATAGCTTGATGCATTTTACAAATGTGTATACTTCTATAATCACCACCCAAATCAAAATAGAGTATGTCCAGTAATTCAGAAGGCTCCTACCTTCTGAATTCCGAAGGCTTTCCTCATCCATAACTACTATCTCCAGCTGCCTCACCAAGATAAGCACTATTCCTACTTCTACTGCAATCGATTACTTTTGCCCCTTGAACTTGATGGAAATGGTCATGTAATATATGCTCTGGGGTCTGGCTTCTTTTGCTTGACATTATGTCTCAGATTCACCCATGTTCTAGTGTGTTTCTATGCCAAGTATTATTTATCATAGCTGCATAATATTCCATTGTGTTAATATGTCACTATCTGTTCCACCGTTGGTGGACATTTGGGTTATTTCCATGTGTGGCTGTTATGAACAAAGCTGCCACAAATATTCTTGTGTGTGTGTGCGTGTGTGTCTGTCTTCGGTGGACATGTTAATCCATTTCTCTTGCATATATATCTAGAAGTAGAATGGCTACATCAGAGGGTAGGTATAGGGTTTTTTATCTTTGGGAAGAAGATTCAGCAGTTTTCCAAAGTGGCTGTATCGCCTTAGCTTCACACTAGCAATGTATGGGCGTTGCGGTTTTTCTACATCCTTTCTAAAACTTGATATTGTCAAACATTTTAATTTGAGCATTTCTTCTGTCTTACAGTCATACATCACTTAACAATGGAGATAGGTTCTGAGAAACGTGTCGTTAGGTGTTTTCATCACTGCGGAACTATCATAGAGTATATGTACAGAAACCTAGATGGTATAGCCTACAACATACCTTGGCTAGATGATACAGCCTATTACCCCTAGGTTACAAACCTGTACAGCATGACTGTATTGAATACTACAGGCAGTTGTAACACCCGGCTAAGAATTTGTGTATCTAAACATATCTATACGTAGGAAAGGTAATGCATTGTGCTATGATGTTATGATGTCTATGACATCACTAGGTAATAGGAATTTTTCAGCATCATTATGATCTTATGAGACCATCATCATATATGTGGTCTGTCATTAACTGAAATGTCATTATGTGGTACAAGATTGTATTTTGATGATTAATAGGTGTTGAGCACCTATTCATGTCCTTATTTGTCACTAGCTATACTCTCTTATGAAGTGCCTTTTTAAGTCCTGTGCCTAGTTTTAAAATTGTGTTTTCTATCTTTTTCTTATTGATTTGTAGGAGTTCGTAATAGAACATAAGATATACGTATTGTAAATATCCTTTCTCCATTTATGGCTTGATTTTTCATTATCTTATGGTATCTTTTGATGAATATAAGTTCTTGATTTTTCTTAAGTATTATTTATCCTTTTTTCTCTTAAAATCAGAGCTTTTCTGTATCCTTTTAAAGAAATCTTTGTGCCAAGATCATGAAGATATTCTTCTATGTTTTCTTTTAGAAGCATTTTGGTTTGACCTTTCTTAGTTAGGTCTATTATTTATGTGGAAGTGATTTGTGTTTATGATGGGAAGCAGGGTTGAGGTTCATTTTTTTCCCCCAACCGATGTCTAATAGACCCAAAACGATTTGTTGGAAATATTTTCTTCCTCCAAGTGTATTGCAGTGGCATTCTGAGTGTTTTCCATGTTTTCCATTCATTAATTCTCATAACCCTAAGATATAGATATTGGTTTTATTCCTAATATACATATGAGAAAACTGAGGCTCAGAGAGATGATGTAATTTATCCCGCCATGCAGCAAGAGCTCAAGATCTTGCTACTTCGTCCTCTGCCTTTGCGCATATGCGCGGCAGGTACTGCTGCAGCATTTCCTTTCTCCTGGGTAAATCACGTGGCAAAGCGGAAAGGAAATGCCCACTGAGCCACACGATCGGGCTGCAGGTGGTGGGGATGGCATAGCATCTTGGGTGAGTATCCTTTATAAGACAGCGTCTCCTGGCAGGGCTCAGTCTGGTCTTTGCAGCGAGAACGCCTGGATGATGGACAACCTGTCCAGTTCTTCTCTGTTTGGCAGGAGGACTCTCTTGAATGCCCATTTGCATTGCAGCTGTGTTTCCTCAGGTGTTGTGGAGGGAGGTTCTCGACCAGTGTGGGGACTTCTGTTCTGCGACTGGATTTAACTAAGACAAATGCAAATTTGTGCTACAGTTTAGTGCTACAATTAGTGCTACAATCAGTACCCTGAAGCACTTAAAGATAACAAAGGCAAGCTGTTCTGTTCATTCCTTCAACAGATATTTATTGAGTGTATACTACATGGTTCCCTGTATGGGAAAAATGGCAATGAACTAAACATATGAGGACCCTGCCTCAAGGAACTAACATTCAAAGAAGAATCTTTTATAGAGGCTTTTTTACACTGATGACCCTAAAGCTCTATCAATAAAAGATTAACTGAACTTTACCAATCACTTCTTACCCCAAGTTTCTCCACCCCCACTGGCATTTTGACAACCTAGTTCTTCTAGGTACTAACCTTAGACAGTATCCCAGTTTCTTAACCATTTTACAGTAATTCCTGCTCTATCTCCAAAAACTGGAAAATGGGAGGAGTAACTTGAAATGCCCTGGAAAGGCAGTGGGTCCTATCTTGTTCTAGCAAATGAATTCAGTTGTAGGCTATGCTTTTTGTGGTTTTACCAACAAACGGACACATAGCTGCTACTTTGTTATTCTGCAGGCCTTTTTGAGATAATGTTCAGCAAGCGTGCAAGGCCCTTATCAATAAGGAAAGCGATTTTTGATTTAATGCTGTAAACCACTGGTTTCTCTTCTGTGCCTTTTTCTTTGAGACAATATATAAAATGTCCTCAGATGCAGCCTGTGGTCTGAAACATAAGTATGGAGTAATTGCACCTGGCATAGGAATCTTATGCTCCTTGGATCTGCTGAGATTCAGTAGGTTGCATTTGACAGAGTTGTTTTCATTCTTTTTATTAATCTTCAGTTTTTCTGCCTCAAATTTTTTTTTCCCACACTCACTCCCTCCCCATATAATGTTTAACCATTCAGGAATTCAATCCAACATGTGTTTCTGAGATATCTACTGCATGAAAGACTATGAAGTGTACTTGGGGAAAAGCAAATTAATAGGACCCAGTACATTGCACAAGGACTTTCCAGTCTAGTGGGGGAGGAGCTCATATTTCCATCTATTATTGCACCAGGCAGAGTGGACCAAGTCCACACAGAGGTGTTGGTAGTGGTAGAAACAGTTACCAGCTACTAAGCATTTATTATTTGCCAGTGCATTATAGCAAATGTTCTCTCTAGTCTCAAGACAATCCTTCAAAGTAGATTGAATTATCCCTTGCCTAGAGAACTGAGGCTTGGAGGGGATGAATGTCCTCTTCAAGGTTTTACAGCTTGGATGTGAAAGCCAAGGACTTAAATCCAGGACTACCAGCTCTAAGGCTGGCTCTGCCTTGGAGTATTTGTGTATTTAGAACATTTACATTTAATGTAATGATTGAGATGTTAGGGCTTAAGTCCACCATTTTATTTATTATTTTCTCTTCCCTCTCCCTTCTGTCCTCACCCTGTTATCCTCAGAGGGAGAAAACACAGAAGAGAGGCACATTAATCCTAGTTTAGAGAAAGGCAGTGGCATTGTAATTGTTTTTAGTTGAAGGTTTTAAATATGGTGACAATTATAGGTTCATGTGCAGTTTAAAGAAATAATACAGAAAGAGGTCAGGCACGGTGACTCATGCCTGTAATCCCAGCATTTTGGGAGGCTGGAACAGGTGAATCACCCGGGGTCAGGAGTTCAAGACCAGCCTGGCCAACATGGTGAAACACCATTTCTACTAAAAATACAAAAATTAGCTGGGCGTGGTGGCACACACCTGTAATCCCAGCTACTAGGGAGGCTGAGAAGGGAGGATTCCTTGAACCCAGGAGGCGGAGGTTGCAGTGAGCTGAGATCGTGTCACTGCACTCTAACCTGGGCGACAGAGTGAGACCCTGTCTCCAAAAAATTAGAAAGAATACAGAAATATTTCATATACCCTTTGTTCTATTTCCTCCTAATGGCAACATCTTAAAAACTACACTACAGTATCATAAAGGATACTGCCATTGGTATACTCAAGACAGAGCATTTCCGTGATTACAAGGTTCCCTCCTGTTGATCTTCTATAGTCACACTCACTTCCCTTCTGCACCTCCCTCTTCCTAACCTCTGGCAACCACTTTTCTATCCTCCTTTTCTATAATTTTGTCACGTCAAGAATGCTGTATAGGAGCCAGGCGCGGTGGCTCATGCCTGTAATTCCAGCACTTTCAGAGGCTGAGGCAGGCAGATCACCTGAGGTCAGGAGTTCGAGACCAGCCTGGCCAACATGGCAAAACCCTGTCTACTAAAAAATACAAAAAATTAGCCAGGCGTGGTGGCGGGTGCCTGTAATCCCAGCTACTCAGGAGGCTGAGGCAGGAGAATTGCTTGAACCCGGGAGGCTGATGTTGCAGAGAGCTGAGATTGCGCCACTGCACTCCAGCCTGGGTAACAGAGAGAGACTGTCTCAAAAAAAAAAAAAAAAAAGAAAGCTTTACAGAATTGTATAGCATGTAGCATGTATCCTTCTGGGATTGTCTTTTTGCACTTGGTGTTATTCTTTGGAGGTTCATTCAGGTTGTTGCATGTATAACTAGTCTATTTTTGTTGAGCGTCCCATGATATGGATGCACCAGTTTGTTTAGCCATTCATCCACTGAAGGACATCTGGGTTGTTCTTAAATTTTTTTTTTTTTTTTTGCTATTATGAATAAAGATGTTATAAACATTCAGATGCAGGTTTTTGTGTAAACACAACTCTTCATTTCTCTGGGAGAAGTGTCCATGAGTGAAACTGTTGACTCATAGAATAGTTACATATTTAGTTTTTTAAGGAATTGCCAAATTATTTTCCAGAGCAGCTGTACCATTTTAAATTCTCACCAGCAGTGTAAGAGTAATCCTGTTTTTCTGTGTCCTTGCCAGAATTTGGTGTTGTCACTATTTTTTAATCCTAGCCATGCTGATAGGTATGTGGTGGTATCTCATTGTGGTATTAATTTGCATTTCCCTAATGGCTAATGAGGCTGGACATCTTTTCATATGCTTATTTGCCATCTGTGTTTCCTCTTCAGTGAAATGTATCTTTATGTCTTTTGTCCATTTTCTAATTGGGCTGTTTGTTTTTCTTACTGTTGAGTTTTGAGAACTCTTTAAATATTCTAGATATTAGTCCTTTGTCAGCTATGTGGCTTGCAAATATTTTCTCTCACTCTGTGACTTGTCTTTTCATCTTCTGAACAAGGTCTTTCATAGAGGAAAAGTTTTACACTTTGATTAAGTACAATTTGTCAATTTTTCCTTTTGTGGATCATTCTTTTTGTGTTATGTCTAAGAATTCTTTGCCTAGCCTTAGATTCCAAAGATTTCCTTTAATCGTTCTTCTATAAAATATTTATAGTTTTACATTCAAGTTTATCATCCTGTTTGAGTTATTTTTATATAAGATGTGAGATTTAGGTCAAGGATTATTTTTTGGCCTTTGAGTGTCTAGTTGTTTCCACTTGCTGAAAAGGCTAGCTTTCCTCCATTGAATTGCTTTTGCACCTTTGTCAAAAATCACTTGGTCCTATTTATGTGGATCTATTTCTGGATTTTCTGTTCTATTCTATTAATATTTGGGTCTGTCCCTCTGCCAGCACCACACAGCACTCCAGCCTGGGCGACAGAGTGAGACTCCGTCTCAAAAAAAAAAAAAAAGCTGTGTAATAAATTTTGCAATCCCGTAGAATGTTTTCTTCCACTTTATTTATTTAGTTTTTGGTAAAGATGGGATCTTGCGGCCGGGCGCAGTGGCTCATGCCTGTAATCCCAGCACTTTGGGAGGCCGAGTTGGGTGGATCATGAGGTCAGGAGATCGAGACCATCCTGGCCAACATGGTGAAACTCCATCTCTACTAAAAATACAAAAATTAGCTGGGTGTGGTGGCGTGTGCCTGTAATCCCAGCTACTGGGGAGGCAGAGGCAGGAGAATCGCTTGAACCTGGGAGGCGGAGATTGCAGTGAGCCAAGATTGCGCCACTGTACTCCAGCCTGGTGACAGAGCGAGAGACTTTGTCTAAAAAAAAAAGATGGGGTCTTGCTATGTTTCCCAGGCTGTTCTCAACCTCCTGGCCTCAAATTATTCTTCTGCCTCAGCATTCCAAAGTCCTGGGATTACAGGCACGAGCCACTGTGCCCGGCCCCACTTGCTTTTTTATGAAATTATTTTTGTTATTCTAGTTACATTGAATTTCAATACAAATTTTTAAAGCATCTTGTCTATATCTACAAAAAATCTTGTTGAGATTTTGATAGGAATTATGTTAAGCCTATATATAGGTTTGCCTTTGGCTTTCACATCACATTTAATTATGATGTGTCTTGGTGTAGATTTTTTTTTCTGTTTGTTTATCATCTTTGGTGTTCACTAAGCTTTTTAAATTTGTAGGTTTTGGTCTCTTTTCAAATTTCAAAAGTTTTAACCATTATTTCCTCAAGAACTTTTTCAGTGTAAGCCTTTTCTCTTCTCCTCTGGGACTCCAATGACATACAGTCAGATCTTTTATTACAGTCTCACAGGTTCTTAACGAGGCTCTGTTCAATTTTTTTTCAGGCTATTTTCTCTCAGTTATTCAGTTTGGGCAATTTCAATTGTTCTGTCTTCTAGCTCACTGATTCTTTCCTAAGTACCTTCCATTCTTCTGCTGAGCTTCTTTACTGAGCTTTTTGTTTCATTAGTTTTTAAAATTCTAATATTTTCATTTGACCCTCTTACAGTTTCCATTATTTCTTTGGTGAGATTTTCTATTTTATTTGCTGAGGCTTTTTCATTTCATTTGTTTCAAGTGAGCTTATAATTGCTTGTCGAAGCATTTTTATCATAGCTGCTTTAATTTCTCTCTCAGATAAGTCCGGTGTGTTTGTCCTCTCAGTGTCGGCATCTATTGTCTTTTTTTTTTTTTTTCACTCAGTTAAAGATGTTTCTGGTTCTTGTTGTGATGAACGAATGATTTTCTTTCTTTCTCTTTATTTTATTTTTTTTTTTTTTGACAGTCTTGCTCTGTCGCCCAGGCTGGAGTGCAGTGGCACGATCTTGGCTCACTGCAAGCTCCGCCTCCCGGGTTCACACCATTCTCCTGACACAGCCTCCTGAGTAGCTGGGACTACAGGCGCCCGCCACCACGCCCGGCTAATTTTTTTTATTTTTTGTAGAGATGGGGTTTCACCGCGTTAGCCAGGATGGTCTCGATCTCCTGACCTCCTGATCCGCCCGCCTCGGCCTCCCAAAGTGCTGGGATTACAGGCGTGAGCCACAACGCCCGGCCTTTTTTTGTTGTTTTTGTTGTTGTGGTTGGAGACGGAGTCTCGCTCTGTTGCCCAGTCTGGAGTGCAGTAGCACGATCTTGGCTCATTGCAATCTCCACCTCCTGTGCCTCAGCCTCCTGAGTAGCTGGGATTACAGGTATGCGCAACCATGCCTGCCTAATTTTTTGTAGTATTAGTAGAGTTGGGGTTTTGCCGTGTTGGGCAAGCTGGACTGGAACTCCTGACGTTAAGTGATCCACCTGCCTTGGCCTCCCAGAGTGCTGGGATTATAAGCCTGAGCCACCGCACCTGGTGGTGATGAATGATTTTTCAATGAAAACCTGGACACTCATGTTATAAAACTCTGGATCTTATTAAATCTTCTATTTTAATTGGCTTTTTCTGACACTGCTATGCCTGGGAGTGCCACGTTGTTACTGCCAGGTGGAGGTAAAAGTCCAGATTTCTCACTAGGCTTCAGTTGACACCCAAGAGGGGGGAAATCCTCATTGCTGCTGGGCAGTGAGGAGAGCTCTGCTCCCCACTCAGCCTCCACTGACATCTCCCTGGGTGGGGGGAGGCTTAGGAGTGCCTCCTTACTGCTTCCCACGTGGCTTCCCCTGAACTACCCTGGAGGTGGTCCTGTTATCACTGGTGGGTGGTAAGAGTCCAAAATCTCTACAAGGTCTCCTCTGGCACCATCCTGGTGGGGAGGGGAAGAGATACCTCCTTACTGCTGGGTGGGGGTGGAAGTCTAGGCTCTCCAAGTGATCTGCACTGAACCTGGGGGCAGGCAGGGGTGAGAATTCTGGCTCCCGCTCAGCCTGGCTTTCTCTGACCCCACCCTGCCAGTTAGGTTAGGGTGCTTCTTTCTAGCCTCACAAGTGTGGAGGCATGCTGGCCTTTGCTGGCATGTGGGCATGAGGGTACAGTTTTATTCTGTGGGGTTTGGCTGGAGTAGAGTGGTTATTGTCTGAAAGTTTTCTGTCTAGCTCTGTCGTGTCTTTCTTGGTTTTTGTTTTTCCTAGGGAGCAGGCTTTGCCTGGGGTTTTTTCTGTCTTTGGCCCTTGATGTTTTCAGGTTGCTTGTTCCTGTAGCTTCAAGTCTGAGATGCATGAGACAAAAGAAAATCCAGGGAATTCGTCACCATGTCATTTTTGGGTCTCGAGGTCCATAGCTAGTCTTTCTCCTCTCCACCTTTAAGAGTCTGCTTATGTTAGTTTTATACAGAATAGATAGCTCTTACATATATTTTATATATAGCATCCAGAACAACATCAGTGGTATTTAGTTGAAGAAATAAGAAATAAGTCAGAAATAAGTCACTGCCCTCCCCGAGAAGAACCACCACCCTAACTTCCAACACCTAAACTGGGTTATTAAAAGTTAAGAACCGATTAACTGAGAGAGAAGAGGGGGAGGGGCATTCCATGCTGACGGTGTGAAAACAAGAGTTATATGCTCAGAAAAGTGCTATACGGTGAGGATACATCTTTCTCATATTTGCTTTCAGGAATTCCAGTAAATGGGTTTGCCAAAGAGAAAAGGAGAGAGTCCCATTTAAACATTATGAGAGGTTGCTACCTCTAGATTCTGCAACCATCTTGGGATGGTAGGCAACGGCTAGAGTAAGCCTGAAGTAGCCAACACATGTTGGTAAGAATAAGTGAATACTTTTAAAGGTTTTTTTTTTAAATCAGTGACTAAAAAATCTAAAGGATTTGTATCATTCACTTGGCCAGACAGTGCAGGTCAGGATGCCTTCCTTAACATTATAAAAGGGGAAGAACAAGGAATTAATTAAGGCTACAGGGACACATTGACCAAGAAGGGTTAGGATATTGGAAAACCAGTCGTGGCTTGTACATTTTGTACACTGAACTGTAGTTTCTGGGAGATTTTACTACACTCAATTTCACCTCCTTTTGCATGGGTCCCAGGGGTCAGAGACCTGGCTCCGGAGGATGAGAGAGATCAGAGGGAGGGCTGGGTATGATTACGAAACAGAGATCGAACAAGGGTGTTAGGAGGGCATGGGAAGCGGGGGTGCATTACGCATGACCTGCATGACTTTGGCTAAGCTGTAAGATGCTTATTTTCAGGCACAGGTTAACATTGCACCACATCTTTTAAATAATAGGTCAGCATTTATCTCTTCTGAAAACAAGAGTGGTGTTTAAAAATCGTTTTGTCCACACCAAGGATGGGAAAATCTAGCCTAGGAATTGGCTTCAACATTTGTCACCCTACTGGTGCCAATCAATAGGAAGGGGAATAGTAGTGAAAATCATCAGGCAATCAAAGTCCTCCCCACCACTTTTGGCAGTACAAATGGGCAGGATTGATAGGGCAAGGCAGGGGCATTACACCATCAGGGAAGAATGGACTTCAGAGGACCTCTCCCAGCCCATGAATTATGCGATTATTCACTCACCTCACTTAAGAAAAATCAATTCTGCAGCATTGCCTGGTGGCTTCGTAGTTTCTTTCCTCTAAATCTATCATTCCTCTTTATATTCATTTAACATAATCTTTCTAAAATCTCCACCAACAAAGCAGAAATGCCAAATGTCACAAATTCTGTTAACTTTCGATGGAAAGGAAAAAAAAAAACCTCTCACATGCACTTTCTTGCTTGGGAATGTGTCTTATGGTTTATTTTTCTGAAGTGAGTTGTGTGGATAGCACTGTACAGTTACAGGTGTTATTTCACGCAATGGCCCCCAGCAGGGGTAGTGGCCCACGAGCGCCTGGTGGAGGGGAGGATGGGCCAAGTTCTAGAGGCGGATGATTGACAGGCTGGGGATGGGAAGCCACCTCCCATGTAATGCTGGGCTTGGTAGGACCCAAAGGGTACAGCAGATAGTTTTCCTATGATATTTACAGTCATGGTCTATGAGCAGATGCAGTTTCACATCTGTAAGGACAAATGTATGTCACAGAAGTCACCAACTGGGGCCCCTGGGCCAGGTCCATCTCGAAAAGTCTTTGGTTGGTCCCAGGGAGTTTCTGTCATTTACTTTGAGTTAGTTGACAATATTAAAAAATTGTAAGATTTCACATAAAAATTCAAGCATAGAGTTTTTCTTTAAAAATGAGAAGATCTGGCAACACCGGACCTGTGCTTCCAGCAGCTGAATTGAGAATCACCCACCCCTGAAGCACAGGGCTCGCCAGCTTGCCCTAGTCCTACCTAGCTTCCTTCTACTTCTGCTGACATGTCACCGCGACCCTGGTATGTGGCTGATGTGTGGTGATAGCCTTGAAGCTCGAGTCAGCAGTTCACTGAGGCTTTCAGGGGAGGTCACATTGATACCAACCTTCTGAGTGTTCTTTACCTCTTTTGAGAAAGCATTTTCTTGAAAGTAATGACACTGCTAATGAAAACTGATCTTTCTTTCCAACAGTTTATTTTCCAGAGAACAAACACAGGAAACTCTTAAGCATATGTGCTAATGGTAGAAAGCATAGGCATGGAGAAATGGAATGTGACCATCAGAGGCAAAAGCATATTAGCTGTTTGTCTCCACCATGAGCCATTGGCTTGGTCTCAGGGAATGGGGTCACCTGCAGCTTCCATGGTACTGAGTCCTGATGGGAAGGTCTAATACTCCATGTTAGCATGTGCCTATGCTGCCGTAGCCCTCATCACCTTGAATTATAGAAAAATTGTCCTGAATTACCTACATCTGCTTTCCAAATGTCAACCCCTTGAGTGCCTAATAATATCCTACACTTACTGTGTGCTTAAGATGTGCCAGACATAATGCTAAGCACTTTATCTGAATTAACTTCATTGCTCCTCTCGATAACCTTTTGAGGCAGGAATGTTTCTCATCCCCATTTTTCAGATGAAAGAACAGAGGTGCACAGACGGTTGATGACTGACAGGCAGGCAGAGCTAGCAGGCTTGAATATTTACAAATTTGTTGAACTGTGTCTAAGCAGCACAGCACTTGAGTGATTTCATTTTATTACCGCCACTTTATGAAACTATATACTATACTGTAAATTAATATATTTACACATTTGTATTGCTGTACGGAGTTCACACGAAACACATATATGTAATTTATGGGTGATTTAAGGAATTTTCAAGGGAAATTAGAGACCAATTCATTGTTTACTTTCTTCTCTGAGGCTCTCAACAAAATCAACAACACACATTTGACAGTTTTTAAAATTTTTAAATTTGTTTCATTTGTAACTAAACAAAACACCAGTGAACCGAATATATACATATATACACATATCTTGAGGCACATGTGGCATTGAATCCTATAAGTGAAATAGATGAATCACAAGGTATGTGTATGTACATTGTACATTTTAATAGATACTGCCAAGTTTTCCTCCCGTAAATGTTCTACCAGTCTACATTTCAGCCAATAGTTTGGGAAGAACCCACCTTCCCACACCCTGATGCTGGATTTTTATAGGGGTGTGTGTGTGTATTTGCCATGCTAAAGAAAAGACAGAGTATCTCCTTGTTGCTTTTTTAATTGAGTTAAAATTCGTATAATACGAAATTAACTGTTTTAAAGTGAACAGTTAAGTGGTATTTAGTGCATTTGCAATGCTATGCAACAAACACTTTTATCTAGTTCCCAAACCTTTTTTTAAAAAAAGTATTATTTTTTATTTATTTATTTTTCGAGACAGAGTCTCGCTCTGTCGCCCAGGCTGGAGTGCAGTGGCACAATCTCAGCTCACTGCAACTTCCACCTCCCGAGTTCAAGCAATTCTCCTGCCTCAGCATCCCGAGTAACTGGGATTACAGGTGCCTGCCACCACACCCAGCTAATTTTTGTATTTTTAGTAGAGATGGGGTTTCACCATGTTGGCCAAGCTGGACTCAAACTCCTAACCTCAAGTGATCCACCTGCCTCTACCTCCCAAAGTGCTGGGATTACAGATGTGAGCCACTGCACCTGGCCTAGTTCCCAAACCTCATACTCACTAAGCAGTCATTTCCTATTCCCCAGTCCCTATTTCCCCCAGTACTTAAAAACTGCTAATCTGCTTTCCATCTCTGTAAATTTACCTACTCTGGACATTTCATGTAAAGAGAATCATACACTATATGACCTTTTGTGTCTGGCTTCTTTCGTGTGGCATGTTTTCAAGGTTCACCCATGTAATAGCATGTGTCACGGCTTCATTCCTTTTTGTTGGAATAATGTTCCATTGAATGTATGTACAACAATTTATCCATTCATTTGTTGATGGACATTTGGGTTGATTCCACTTTTTGGCTATTGTAAGTAGTGCTGATGTGAACACTTTGTGAAAGTATGTACCCCTGTTTTTAATTATTTGGGGTTTGTATGCATGATCATATGGTCATATGGTAATTCTTTGTATCCTTATTGGGGAACTGCCATAGCAGCTGCAGTATTTTACATTCCCATTGGCAACGGATGAGACTTTCCATTTCTCTACATCCTCACCAACACTTGTTATTTTCTGTTTTGTTTTAATTATAGCCATTTTAGTGGGTTGGAAGTGGTATCTCATTGCAGTATTGATTTGCATTCTCTAATGACTAATAATGTTAAGCATGTCTTCATGTGCTTTTTGGCCATTCACATATCTGTTTTGGGGAATGTCTACTGAAGTTCTTTGCCCATATTTAAATTGGATTGCTTGTCTTTTGTTGTTGAGTTATAAGAGTCCTTGATATGTTCTGGATATTAAACCTTTATTTGGTATATGATTTGCAAATATTTTCTCCCATTCTGTTGATTATCTTTTCACTTTCTTGATGATGCCCTTTGATGTACATTGTTATTTTAATTTATTTTCTTTAAATGTTTTTTAAAATTTTATTTATCCAATTGCTAAAGAGCTCTAGCATCTTTTTAGTATATATTATCCCATTGTATTTATTTTCCAGTAACATCCATGTTCAAATCATTTACTCACTTTTCTAAAGTGTTTTCTTCTAATACAATCATAGGAGTTACTTTTATAGCCAGAATATTAGTATTTTCTTCCAGTCTGTTAAGCATCTTATTTTTTGTGTGTAATACATTTGTCATATAAAAATTACTTGTTATAGTCCAGCTCTTCATCTTTCACGGCTTCTAGATATTTTGTCTTCTTTAGTAAGACTTCCAGTAGTATCAAAACATCCTTCTATCATTTTTGAAAATTTCACTTTTTTATATTTATACTTTAAATGCATTTTAAATTTAGTTTGGTGTATGGCTTTAAATATGGACTATAACATTATCCCCAAACAGATTACGAATATTATACGCAAATATTCCTTTTGATTTAAAATATTCCTTTCATAAACTAAATTCCCAAATATACATGGATGTCTCACTCTGTTTTCTTCCATGGATCTATCCATCTCTTCCTGTGCTGAGACCACACTGTTTTACTTAATACTGCCTTAGTGTAGGTTTCGATATGCAGTATGGCAGTAGTCCTCTCTCATTGTATGTTCTCACTAACTATCTTGGTTCTTTTTTTTTTTTTTTTTTTAGACAAGGTCTCACTTTGTCACCCTGTCTCCCAGGTTGGAGTGTAGTGACATGATCTCAGCTCACTGCACCGTCTGGCTCCCAGGCTCAAGTGATTCTTCTACCTTAGCCTCCTGAGTAGCTGGGACGGTAGGCACGTGGCACCACGCTTGACCAACTTTTTAACTTTTTGTAGAGATGGGATCTCACTGTGTTGCCCAGGCTGGTCTCAAACTCCTGGGCTCAAGTGATCCTCCTGTCTTGGCCTCTCAAAGTGTTGGGATTACAGGTATGAGCCACTGCACCCAGCCTTTGGTTATTCTTATGGATTCTGTCTTCCACTTCAATTTATAAATCTAATTGTCAAGTTTTTGATTAAATCTGGAATTTCATAAATTAACTTGGGCAGGTATGACTTTACAGTTTTTACTTTTTCATCTAGAAAGATGTTAAGTCTTCTCATTCATTAAGTTCTCCTTTTATTTCCTCCACTATAATTTTATGATACTTTTGATACAGGTCTTGCATATTTGATGTTAGATGTCTTCCTGCAGGTCTTATAATTTTGTTGCCATTGTTAATTTTTTCTCCTGATATTTTCTAATTGATTGTTACTGCTCTTTATGAAAGTTATTTATTCTTGGAGGCTGCTTTGATTCTGGCTAAACTATTCAACACTCCTAGTAGTTCTAACTGCTTTTCAGTTAAAACCCTTGGATTTACAGGTAGATAATTATATCACCTGAAATAGTGATCTTCCATTCCAGCTTCGTGCCTCTTTCTTTGCAATCTTTCTGTGTTAGCAGCACCCCTAGTAAGCCTGGGAATGCTTGCCTCTTCCTAGCATCTAAAGTTTTATTATTTAGCATTTCATGGTTCATCACAAGAAATTTCATTGTTTATATGAAATTAAAAAATTCACAAGTCATGCAACGTATTTAATAACTATTTGCTGGAAAAAGTTAATTTACAAACTTTTCCAAATATATTAGCCTTAGAAGTTTGCCCATTTTATAGAAATCACAAAATAAGTATTATATTTCTTTTGCTTTATTAAAGTTTTTTTCCCTAGGTTTTAGAACTTAGTCATCTCATTCATATTATATTTATGGAACGAATTTATTTCTGTAGTAGTTTGGCTGAAGGTCTGTGTGAATAGAAGAATCACTAAAATGCATTTATTCATATGGCCTCTCATTTTAACTAGCATGGTACATGGCAGTAGCTTCTTTGATATGAAAGCTTCACTCCTGCCATAAAACGCTACTGCAGAGACTCCCATTAACAATCAAGAATCCTTTCACACACATCCTCCCCCCATATGTTTAGTTTTATAAACACAGTGACCTTGTTTGCAGTATAAATTCACCTTCACCTGTCTGTAATAATTTTAGCCTCTCTCTGCTGTGGAACAGAACCCTAGCATGGATTCCACTCACAGCCGATTTGCTTTTCCTGCTAAAGGCGCTAATTCAAATGGGTTGCTGCGCATTCCAAAAGTGAAAAATTCCTTCTGAAGTCTCCTGATCTGCCACTGCGGTGGAAAGGTCCCTGCCTGCTGTCTTGCTCTGAGCTGGGACTGTGGGGACTGTGGGGGCTGCCTCCAGGCTCTTTCTCCCCATGGCCCTGCAGCTGGGGATGTTTAATCAACTTCAAAGCTAATTTTGCTCCAGGCCCAGCTTTATGCAGCAGAAATCTCTTGCCCATCAGCCAAGGACCAGTTCCTGGCTCCAGCTCAGCTGGCATGCCTCACTTCAACATATTAAATATTTCATCGTGCCTTGGCATTGGGGTTTCCCTGGCCTGGTTAGCAATTAGCTGTGCTTTTAGCTACTTTTGGAGGAAACCCTTCATGATCAGGTGATGGGAGCCATATCTAGAATAAGCAGAGGTAGAATGGTACAGGGTTAAGCATGGGCTTCCAAGGCATCCAACTTGGGTTTGAATTCTAGTTCCTTCACTTTGGAGCTGTGGGATGTCGAACAAGTTACTCACTCCTCTGAGTCACATATTCCCTCTGCGTTAAATATGGTTAATCAAACATGGATTTGCTGGAGGAGTTATAGGAGAAGGGGAAAGGATACACCTATTAACAACACGTGGCAAGTGGTAAACCTTTGTGTTAGTTTCATAGGACTGCCGTAGCAAAGCACCATGCACTTGGCAGCTTAAGCAACAGGCATTTATTGATGCACAGTTCTGGAGGTTAGGAGTCTGACATCAAGATGTTGGTCCCTTCTGAGGGCCATGCAGAAGAATCTGTTCCATGTCTCTCTCCTAGTTTCCTGTGGTTCGATGACAATCCTTGGTGGCTGGCAAAAGCATCATTGATATGGTTTGACTGTGTCCCCACCCAAATCTCATCTTGAATTGTAGCTACCATAATCCCTACATGTTGTGGGAGGTAATTGAATCATGAGGTGGGTCTTTCCCATGCTGTTCTCATGACAGTTAGTAAGTCTCATAAGATCTGATGGTTTTATAAAAGGGAGTTCCCCTGAACACACTCTCTTGCCTGCCGCCATGTGGATGTGCCTTTCTCCTTTTTTGCCTTCCACCATGATTGTGAGGCCTCCCCAGCCATGTGGAACTGGGAGTCCATTAAACCTCTTTCCTTTGTAAATTACCCAGTCTTAGATATATCTTTATTAGCAGTGTGAGAACTAATACAATCACCCCAATCCTTGCCTTCATTTTTACGTGGCTTTCTTCCACTGTATGTCTGTTTCTAAATGTTCCCTTTTCTGTACAATAGTCACATTGGGTTAGGGCCCACTCTAACGACCTCATTTTAACTTGATTACCCCTGCAACAATCCTCTTTCAAATAAGATCACATTCTGAGGTACTGGGGGTTAGGATTTCAACAGAGGAATTTTGAGGGGATGCAATTCA
This sequence comes from Homo sapiens, assembly GCF_000001405.40. NCBI lineage: Eukaryota > Metazoa > Chordata > Mammalia > Primates > Hominidae > Homo > Homo sapiens. Next base: position 126,537,793 of record NC_000010.11, on the reverse strand, counting down.
ACCCATAACAGCATTCAATAAATATTATCAGTTAAAAATTTCCAATAGTAAGTTGAAACCTGGGAATTACCTTCAGATGAAAGAGCACTATCTCTCCTGGGCTGTAGAATTTCTTGGGATCCAGAGAACTCTTTAGACAGCAAAGAGTATATTTCTGTCAAGCTGAGCTATAAGAGAACTTAAAAAGTGGTGAGAAATCCAAGGATCCTAATCTTGGAGGAAAACAACCTTCGAAGCTCAGACCCGAGGCTTTTGCATTGGTCAAAGGCCCAAGCGGGAAAGAGAGGACTCCCCGGGCAGCTCTTTACTTTGGTAGCTGCAGGCAGCAGCTGTCTATTAAAGATGTTCCGTTTTCAGAAGATAAAGTTAACCAGCAGGAGTTTTGGGGGGCTAGGTTGCTAGGCAATAGCTTTCTCATTTTCTAGGAAGGCCATAAACTGTCTCATTCCACCTGTTCAAACATCTCTTTTTAGGTAAAGGCTACATTTAGAGAACTGAGGATAATTTAAAGCTTCTTTTTGCAGAAGGAAGGGGAATTTATATGTGTCATCAGTCACATAAACCCTCCTGTTGGAAATGACATGGTAGCCATTTCCTTTGTTGCTTCTGGGCTATTTTTCTTATTGAATCGTGTAAGGGCATCAGGGTGATTTGACTGCTGGGCCTTAGCAGGAGAAGGGGAAGTTAAGGATCTGTGGACTGCAAAGTTTATGTGTGATATCAAGCCTGGCTCCTTTACTTTCAAATTTCAAGTGCTAGTGATAAAAAAGCAATTACCTGTTATCTTTTGTTGGAAAAGAAGATAAGCACCAAACCCACTTACAGTCCTCTTTATTTTTACTTTCCTGTGTTTGTTTAATCTCAGGTGTTCCTATTGCAGGTTCCACAGAGTTGGCAGGGTGGTGGTTGACTTACCCAATCCAGCCCTCAGAAGCTTCATGTTTTAGGGGAAGCACAAAGTCCACGTGATCAAGCAGCCCTGAGCCTCCTTGTGTGGCCAGGTCTCCGGCTGGGAGATTTTCAGGGCTGCCTTTGAATGGGAAACATTTTTATCAGACTTGCGAGGGCCCCAAATGAATTCAAGAACAATTTTGTCTGTAGAAACACAAATGCAGCTTTCCTCACTGGTTCATGGAAGACAGTCTTGGTGTGGAGAGCACCAAAGCTAAAACCTTTCCTTTCCTTGATGCCAGTGTAGCTTGGTGGGACAGCTTGGGTCTGGAGTCAGGCAGTCTGGGTCGAACTCCCTGTCTCTTAGCTGGTTGCTTAGCTGCTCCAACCCTGTGCTTCTCTTTCTTTAAAATGGGGATCTTTCCGCCAAGGAACTAGGCAATCGTGAGGCCTGGGATGATCCATCTGAGGTCCTTACGCAGATAGTACGCAGTAGTCAGGAAAGGAAAGTAGTCTTGCCGTTTCCTGAAATCTTGGACAGCGCCAAGCTCCAGCTAATTGCTGAGGCAGCAGTGTGGGGAGAGTCATCTGTGTTTTACCATGACAGGGAGATGCTTCCTTACCCTCCTCCGCGACCTGCTACCACCATCCTAATGGGCTCTTCCCCAAGTTCAAAGTAGTATCAAAAGCCCATATCCACGTGTGTGTGTGGAGGGGGTTGGGCGGGCATCTTGCATCCAATGGCAGAGCTGATTGTCCCTGTCGAAGGAGGCCCACTGTTCCCATGCAGTGCACCGTGGCCACAGAGGACCCCTGGGAGACCCAAATCTTGCGGATGGTGGGCGTGTACTGTCTTAGCCACGTCCCTTTTGATGGCCCTTTATAAGGGCTGAGCCTTTGTTCCACACAAGTGGAAAAAAACTTCAGTGCACATCTAGATTCTGCTCCACCTGCCCCGTAACGATGGACTCTCTGCACTGACGTCAGATGGTTCTTGGAGAAGAGAAACCCTGAGCAGGGATTCCAGTGCGCACTCCTAGCGTGGGCCTGAGCTGGAAGTGCAGGGGCAGCTCTGCTTCATAGGGGGTTTTATGGCTCATTGTTATCCATGCTGTGCTCTCTAATGAGGGTGTTCAGAAAGGAAAAGCTCGGCTGGCTAAGGCAGAGGAGAGCTCTTCGCTGTCACCTGTGGAAGAAACGGCCATTTTTCTCCACGTTTATTTCCACTGGGGAGAGCTAAGACAAATTTTTTTTTAATTATTATACATTAAGTTCTAGGGTACATGTGCACAACGTGCAGGTTTGTTACATATGTATCCATGTGCCATGTTGGTGTGCTGCACTCATTAACTTGTCGGACAGAAGACAATTTTTTTTTTTTTTTTTGAGACAGCGTCTGGCTCTGTTGCCCAGGCTGGAGTGCAGTGGCGTGATCTCAGCTCACTGCAAGCTCCACCTCCCAGGTTCACGCCACTCTCCTACCTCAGCCTCCCACGTAGCTGGGACTACAGGCACCCGCCACCACACCCAGCTAATTTTTTGTACTTTTAGTAGACACGGGATTTCACCTTGTTAGCCAGGATGGTCTCAATCTCCTGACCTCGTGATCCGCCTGCCTCGGCCTCCCAAAGTGCTGGGATTACAGGCGTGACCCACCACACCCAGCTGACAAATTTTTTAAAAATGAAAAAAAAATACAATTTTGTGTGAATCTCTCTCTCTCTCTAAACATACACACACATATATGTATATATATGTATGTGTGTGTGTATGTATATATATTTATCAGAATCCCTGCTACCAGGGGTTTACATTGTGAATACTTCTCTCACAATCTCACAATATATTCAAAGATCTGTTTTAAAATTTCCTGGGGTGATAATATGTGGCTCTTTCATGAATGTGGTCTCAGATGCTCTGAGCAAACCACCTAGGTCTCAGCTCCTGAAGGAGTGAGGTGGGAAGTGGCCCACTGCTGCCAGGAGGCGGGTGCTAATGGAGTGAGTGTGACCTCCATGGAGGCCATCACGGGAAACAAATGCGAGTGCAGAGCTCGCAGGTCTGTTGAAAGGCAGCACCATCTTCCCACTACGCGGAAACAAGAGATTCCAAAGCCACCGCTTGCTCCCCATTCCTTCAATTTGCTGAGGGTGTAGGGAAAGCAGAAGAAACACACAAACCCAGAGTCCATTTCTAGAATTCTGACATACGGAGTAGAAAAATGAAGGTGGCCCGGACCCAATGGTGATATCATCTTCTCTTCCTTTGGAAGTGGAAGAAGGATATGGGAGAGCTTTTTCTGTAGACATCATGGAAATGGAGGATGTGCTTTTTGGATCTTGCTCAATGACAACAATGATACTCCCATAAAAGGAGAGAGCAGGTCACCCAAACACTGCAGGAGCCTCTTTCGGGAAAAATATCTTTCAGACAGATCCTAAGGACTAAGAGAATTGGAGAGAAAGATGTCCACTTACAACTCTAAGAGCAGAGGCACTGTGAAAAATGGCAGGCATTGACACCATAGAAACAGAAATGGCAGAGAAGAGATGAGCAGAAATTCTTAAGTGGCAAAGCCAGAGAAGTCATTTGGACACAGAGCATAGGAGTTCTGAGGCCCACATTGGAAGCACAGAGTACAAGCAGCCAAGAAACCTGAGTTTGGCACAAGCAGGTAAGCTCTGCAGTGTTATGGTTGGAGGTGGGTTCTGCACCCTGGCTGTGCAATGCAGAGGGTTCTCGAGGAAAGCTGATCTCATTGGGGCAAGATGAAATCCTCAGCCTGAAGGGCTGGCAGTTCCAAGGGAGGACAGGAGGACAGGGAAGAGCAGATTCCTCCTTCTCATAATGGATCCTCACATCTCCTCCTCCCTCTTCTCTATGTGTACAGCAATTTTGGAGGCTTTGGTCTAATGCGGCTCCAGCTTGCACGGGGTTCCTGGTCTCAGTGGCAAGGTGCCACCCAAACACTCTGGATTGGGTCCACTCCCGAAGATCCAGCATTTGTAATTCAGCCCAGTTCAGCAAACATTTAATTAGCTCTCATACCTATTGGCAGCTGCCACTTGTTAGCTTCTGCAATGTGCCAGGCACTTGTGCTAAGAGCATTTGATGCCTTAAACAATTCCCTAAAGTGAGCGTGATGTGTATTCTCATTTCGCAGGCAGGACACAGGCTCTGAGGGGTTAACTTGACTGAAGTCAAACCTGGCCTTGGGTCCTTTACTGTCTGAGCTCATATCTCCTTGTTATTTCCCCATGTCCAGAATTAGGCAATGAGGACTCAAATGTGGGGGCTCCCGTCCCCAAGAGGGTTAGAGTCCATCCAGGGGAATGACCACCCAATCACCCAATTGCTACAATACAATGTGCCCTGAAAACAGGACTGGTTTGTTTTGTCCAGGGACAAAAAGTTCTGAAACAATTTGAGCTGGTTTTTACATGATAAGACAGATTTCCTTGAGTTTAAACGGACTGGTCTCACTTCTGTGTTCAAGGAACGTAGGAATGCTATCACCTTGATCTTAATTTTTCAGGGCTAAAATATGTATGACATGGCTGGGAAGAGATTTAAGCACAAGCATATTATCTATGAAGCCAAGAGAGAAGCCCACAAGTATACTGTTGAAAGTCCCACTGGGTTGATGTGAGGCTTGATAATACAATAGCAGGCCGGGTGCTGTGGCTCCCGCCTGTAATCCCAGCACTTTGGGAGGCCGAGGCAGGCGGATCACGAGGTCAGGAGATCGGGAACATCCTGGCTAACATGGTGAAACCCCATCTCTACTAAAAATACAAAAAACATTAGCCGGGCGTGGTGGCGGGTTCCTGTAGTCCCAGCTACTCCGGAGGCTGAGGCAGGAGAATGACGTGAACCCGGGAGGTGGAGCTTGCAGTGAGCCGAGATAGCGCCACTGCACTCCAGCCTGGGCGACAGAGCGAGACTCCGTCTCAAAAAATAAATAAATAAATAATAATAATAATAATACAGTAGCAAGCCTTTATTTTATTTTAGATTTTTGAAAACACTTGTTTTGTGCTCACTATTTTTTTTTTTTTTTGAGACGTAGTCTCGCTCTGTTGCCCAGACTGGAGCTGGAGTGCAGTGGCGCGATCTCGGCTCACTGCAATCTCCGCCTCCCGGGTTCACGCCATTCTCCTGCCTCACCCTCCGGAGTAGCTGGGACTACAGGCACCCGCCACCATGCCCGGCTAATTTTTTGTATTTTTAGTAGAGACGGGGTTTCACCGTGTTAGCCAGGATGGTCTCGATTTCCTGACCTCGTGATCTGCCCTCCTCGGCCTCCCAAAGTGCAGGGACTATAGGCGTGAGCCACCGCGCCCGGCCATGTGCTCACTCTTTATATGAGTCCAAACCTTACTTATCGGGGGTTCATTTGAGAGTGATGCCACTTTGATTAAACTCTGTAAAACCCACTGGCCAAAGCTCAGAGACCATGAGGGAGCTGTCTTCTCTGAGGTTTCTGGGACCAAGAAACAGGATAGGGAATGGGAGAAAGATGCAATTGTGATGCCAGCCACTGGAATCAGGGCCTCAGACCCCAGACTCTGTGGCCTCTTAGACGATCACATTTACAATGAGGAGACAGTTTACACACTGAGCATTTGATACCGCCCAAGAGGATCATCACAAAGTTACCCACCATCCACAGATAGAGCCACAGGTCAAGTTAGGGACATGGCAGGCTGAGATGCAATGAGATGGAAGAAAACCAGACTTAGCCCTGGCAGGTTGGAGGCATATCTGGAAAAGGTGGAAGTCCATGCTAGCTCCAGAGCTAAGTTGTATATGATCGGGGAGTTCATTGCCCTGGATGTGGGGGGCAACTGCCTAAGTTTATATGCTACACACAGCTACCCAGAAACTAACCAAATGTGTGTGATTTCCAACCCAGTTAGGGTAGTTAAATATTCGGTAACTCCATTTTATATTGGATTGGTTGTCTTTTTATTATTAAATTGTAGGGGTTCATTATACATCCTGGATATCTGTCCTTTGTCAGAAATATGGCTTGCAAATATTTTATCCCAGTCTGTGGCTTCCCTTTTTATTTTCTTAACAGTTTCTCCTTATGAATCGAAGTTTTAAACTTTAATGCAGTCTAATTTACCTTCTTTTTCTTTTATAGTTGTTATTTTCTGGGTGCAAGAAAACTTTGCCTCCTCAGTTTACAAAGATATCCTGCTCTATTTTCTTCTAAAAGCCTTATAGTTTTAATGTTAGAGCAAGGTCTGTGATTTTTTTCAAGTTAATTTTTGTGAAGCATTTGAGGTAAGAGTTGAGGCATATTATTCTTCAGTGGAATATCCAGTTGTTCCAGCATCATTCTTGGGATAAACTCTACTTGGTTGGGATAAATATATCTTGTTTATACATTGTTGGATTTTATTTCTGATCTTTTGTTAAGGCTTTTTGTGTCTATGTCAGGGTTTCTCATCCTCAGAACTGTTGACCCTTTGGGCCTAACAATCCTTTGTCATGGGGCTGTCCCGTGCATCCTCAGGGGTTTCGCAGCACCCCTGATTGCTTTAGCGTCTACCCACCAATGCCAGTTGCATTCTCCCACAAAGGTGACAACCAAAAATGTCTCCAGACATTGCCAAATGTCCCCTGGGCAGCAAAATCAACCCCAGCTGAGAGCTGTTGATCTATGTTCATGAGAGATCTTTGATCTGTAATTTTCTTTTTTCTTTCTTTTTTTTTTTTTTCAGATGGAGTCTCACTCTTTTGGCCAGGCTGGAGTGCAGTGATGTGATCTCAGCTCACTGCAACTTCTGCCACCCAGGTTGAAGCAATTCTCCTGCCTCAGCCTCCTGAGTAGCTGGGATTACAGGCACCCGCCACCACACCCGGCTAATTTTTGTATTTTTAGTAGAGACAGGGTTTCACCATGTTGGCCAGGCTGGTCTTGAACTCCTGGCCTCAAGTGATCCACCTGCCATGGCCTCCCAAAGTGCTGGGATTACAGGCGTGAGCCACCGCGCCTGGCCTGATCTGTAATTTTCATTTTTTCTTTCTCCCTCTCTCTTTTGCTTTTTTTGTTTTGTTTTGTTTTTTTCTCTTTATCAGCTTTTGCAGTTAGGCTTTTGTTAGCCTCCTCTATTTTCTTATGTTTTGTAGGGTTGGCATGTTTTCTTCCTGAAAAGTTTGATAGAATTCATCTTTCCCGCATGTGCCTGCAGGCTGCCTGGGCTCGGTTTGGTTTCTTCCTTCTCATTCTATCTTATTCTATCCCTTTCATTTTCTTGTCTCCAGTGAGGCTACCTGAATCTGGCATGTTCTTTATGGGACGATTTTTGATAATGGGTCAATTCTTTAATAGATATAGGGGTCCTAATACTTTCTGTTTCATATTGTATCATTTTGGTAAGGTATTTTTTTTCAAGCAATTTGTATATTTTTTTCTAAGTTGAATTTATTCACATAAAAGTTATTCATAATGTTCTCTTATTATCCTTTTCATGTCTGTAGTCTCTGCAGTGATGTCTCTCTTATTCCTGACAATAGAAATTTCTGTGTGTTTTAAATTTTTTTCTTGACTGATTTGTTTTTTTTTAAGAACTGCCTTTTAACTTTGTCAAGTTTTTCTATCATTTCTTTTCTGTTTTATTGATTGATTATTTTCTGTTTCCATTCTTATTTTGGTTTGCTTTTTCTCATCCATGTTAATGTGCATACGTATAGTTTATTCATTTTCACTGATAGATAGTTGAATATTTCACAATTTATTTATAAATCCTCTTGTCAAAGAACATTTTTGTTGTTTTCAGGGGCTTTTTTTGACACCATTAAAAACTGATGCAATAAACAGTCTTATATATCCCAGTGCAAATGTACAAGAGGTTTTTTAATGTAGATACTACATTTCATTTAGTTTAAGATCCATTTTTTTACATTTCAATATCTCTGAAACCAGAATATGTATTAAAATTAATGACATCTTAGAGTATAATTAGCAGCTTTTTATTCCTTGATGATACATTTGTAAATGGCACATCTTAATGCAGTATTAGATTTTGATGGAATATTGTAAATAAGAGCAGAATTGCTAGATGTTAGGTATTTTCATCTTTCTGTTGACCAGGTTACTCTCCATAGTGATCGTATTAGTTGCTGCTTGCTGATCACACATGGGAACTCCTGTTGTCTGATGTCCTCACCAATATTTAATATCACTGATTTTTTGCCAATCTGGGTAGATGCGGAATGGTCTCTTATTGTCATTTTATTTTGCCTTTCTCTCTTTACTAATGAGGTTGAATATCTTTTCAGTTGCTTAGGGAAAAATATGATTCTATTGAGAAATGCCTATTTTGTCTTTGCTTATTTTTCCATTGAGTTGCTGTTCTTTCTCAAATTAATTTACGGGGGGTTTTAAAATTAGTTTTAAATAACCATAATAACCCTTTGTCTGTTATATGGGTTACAAACATCTTTTTCTAAATTGTGGCTTGCCTCCTCTCTTTATGGAATCTTTTGATGATCAGAAATTATTACAGTAAAAATGATTGAAATTATCAAACTTTTATTTAATGGTGTTTGTCTTTGGGAATATTCTAAAGACATCCTTTCCTATTCAGGATCATGAAAATATTAACTATTTTATCTTTAAAGAATGTTTTAAAGTTTTACCTTTTGCGTTTAAGGTTTTAGATTATCTGGAGTTGATTTGTAGGTATGGTAAGGAAAAGGTGTCTAATTTTGGTTTTTAAAATAATGGTAGCTAATTGTCCCAGCGTAATTTATTGTAGTTTGTAAAATGTTGTGTTTATTGTGTATATCCACTGACAGATAGTCTCACCTCATTATTTTTCACATTTCCATATATGTGAGGGTCTCTTTTTGGGTTCCTTATTCTTTTCCACTAGCCTGTTTTTGTTTATTTCTGTAGCAATGACCTACCTTTCTTCTCACCTTTATAATAAGTTTTGATATCTGATAGGGCAGATCCCTGGCTACGTCTGCCTTTGTAGATCTACCTTTCTCCAAATGGCAGTCTTGTTGATAACTGCTGCCTACCTAGGTTTGACTTATCCTCTCCCGCTCACACATACAAAGGGGCTGCTGTTGTCTGGTGCACAGAGAACTCCACAGTGAGCTGAGAAGCAGCATTGCAGGCTGTGGGAATGTCCTCTAAGAAGGACCTGAGAGTCCAGCCTCAGGTCCAGATGGGGTCAGGGTTATTGAGCCCATTTCGCAGATGAGGAAACCAAGAGGAGGTAAGTGACTCGCTTGGCTCCCAGTGCTGGGCCGTGGTGGAGCTGGCCTTGATCACGGTCCAGCTGGGTATTGCCACTGCAGAATTGCTGACCTCTAAATAGAACCGTGTTTCTCATGATCTCAGAACTTCATTTACTCAAATGAGTTTCGCCACCACGCTTCAGAAGCATTCTTTAGCCTAGGCTAGCAGTTTTCCTGTAAATCAGTCTCATGTTCAGCCCCACTCAGCCCTGTTGGACCTGTTTTTCAAGCATCAAGAGGTTCATTCCTTGCTCTTTCTTCCCACACACGCTTCTCCTTTTTTTTATACTTAAATAATTATTTTGATGCTTCTAAAACTCCCCAAGATTAGTAAGTGTATTTATTGGTAAGTATTATCTCTCTCTTTGTCTAGATATCTGGAAATGCTAAATCTGGTGTTCGCTCCTTCTTTTTCCTGTTCCTGAGGCCTGGTTGACCCGCGGCCTATGGCTTCTCAGGCACCTCTCCTTCCCCGTCTCTCTCTACATAGCAGAGACAAAGGAAAGGCCATACTGGGACCTGGCAGGAGAGCTGTAATTAGTGAAGCTAATGCTTTGTCTCACTCTAAAGTTCAAGTTCATTAGTGAAACTTCCTTTATCTTGTCTTCCTGGTTTCTGGTTTCTGATGAGCTCGTACTTATTTTGCAATCAAGGGTAAAAATGTTAAATTATAATAGTAACTAGCATCATTAACTTTTTAAAGAAAGTTAACTGCACATAAGCTCCACAAGGGCAGAGACTTTTCTGGCTGTTTTGCTCATGCCGTGACTTTGATACCTGGACCAATGCCTGGCCCATGGTCAATGCTATCTAAATATTTGCCGGATAAATAAAAAATAAATTGTATTAGGTGCTTCCTACATGCCAGGCAGCGTGCTAAGGGCTTTCTATGTGTCTTCTTTCTTAGCTCTCATAATAATCTGATGAAATAGACATCACAATCCCTGTTTCGCAGATGGGGAAGCTGAGGCCTAGAGAAGTTAGGTGACTTGTCTAAGTCACAGATTTTATAAGTGACCAAGCTAGATGCAAACCCATGTCTGTGGGACACCAAAGAACATTCTCTCAGCCCCCTTGTCAGAAATGACAGAAATGCTCTGCCATTGAAGGTGCAGAGATACGAGATGCTGCCTTACGGAGTCTGAGAATCGTCACTGCTTCTTTCACTCATTGGCAGGGGTAGGGAGGCGTCATTAAGCACCTTTTCCCCAGAAATCCTAAGAAAAGACAAACAGCCCAGTTATAAAATGAGCAAAGGATCTGGATAGACATTTTTCCAAAGAAGAAAGGCAAATGGCCAATAAGCACATGAAAAGATGCTCCACATCATTAGCCATTAGGGAAATGCAAATCAAAACCACAATGAGATACCACTTCACACCCGCTGGAATGGCTATAATCCAAAAGACGACAATAACAACTGTGAGGAAGGCTGGCGAAAAATGAAACCCTCATACATCGCTGGTGGGAATGCAAAATGGTACACTTTGGGAAACAGTCTGGCAATTCCTCAAATTTAAATGTGGTATGTGGTGTGATCATACGACACGGCAATTCCACTCCTAGGTTATGTATAAGAATAGAACACATATATCACTCAAAAACTTGTGCATGAATTTTCACAGTAGTAGTATTATAAACCCACAGGGGGAACAACTCAAGTGTCCATCAGCTGTTGAAGAGATGCAACATAGGTGGTCTACCTATGCCCTGGAATATTATTCAGCCTTAAGAAGCAAGGATGTCCTGATACGTGTTATAGCATAGATGAACTTTGAAAGCATTATGATAAGCAGAAGAAGCCAGAAACAAAAGCCCACATATTATATGATTCAATTTATAGGATATGTCCAGAATGGATAACTCCAGAGAGAGACAGTTGTTGAGTGGTTGCCAGGGGCTGAGGTCAAGGGATCATGTGGAGTGCTACTAACAGGTATGGGACTTCTTTTGGGGATGATGAAAATGTTCTGGAATTTGGTGATGGTTGCATAACTTGGTGAATATACAAAAACCACGGAATTGTGCACTTTAAAAGGGTAAACTGTATGGCTTGTAAATTATATCTCAATAAAGCTGTTATTAAAAAAATTAGTTGGCCAGGTGCGGTGGCTCACACCTGTAATCCCAGCACTTTGGGAGGCCGAGGCGGGCGGATCACGAGGTCAGGAGATCGAGACCATCCTGGCTAACACGGTGAAACCCCATCTCTACTAAAAATATAAAAAATTAGCCGGGTGTGGTGGTGGGTGCCTGTAGTCCCAGCTGCTTGGGAGGCTGAGGCAGGAGAATGGCGTGAGCCTGGGAGGCGGAGCTTGCAGCAAGCCGAGATTGCACCACTGCACTCCAGCCTGAACGACAGAGTGAGACTGAGTCTCAAAAAAAAAAAAAAAAAGTCAATTGCAGAGAGAGAAGAGATCATCTCAGGCCATCAGGAAGGGCTGTGTTTAGAAGAGAATGTAACTAAAAGTCAGAGACATGGGGACCTCTCTTAGACTTGACTGAGGGAGCCTGACTTTGTGACTTCCTAGCTGGGGCCTCTCTGGAGAGCCCTGCCCCTCTTTGCCTCTGCTTCTTTTGTGTGTGTGTGTGTGTGTGTGTGTGTGTGTGTGTGTGTTGTGGCAGGTGTGGACAAGCTATTTAGGCAGCTTTGGATTCTTATGTGCCTACCCATTTAAGAGGACGGTTTCCCTGTTCTTGCCTAAATTGAAGGTCTGCTATACAGCAGGGAATAGCAGAAGACAGGCAGTGCAGGGCTCCTTGCTCCATTAAACAACAACAACAGCAAAAACAAAAAGCCAAAGAACTCAAAACCAAACCCACACCAGGGAGAAGAACAACCTTGTTCTAATTGTCTGGCTTTGCTGATAAGCCGTTGGAGAGTTCTGTAGAGAGGCCACTTTGAGTTTCTAAGTGGGGACACAGGATAATGGCAGTGGTGTGAACATCTTGAGCCTGGGTTTTTCCTTTGATGCTAGGCTCTCGGACCATGTCCAGTTTCAGTGTCTCTCCAGACCCCCGATGTGCAGCGTGTGGCTAATGGCTCTTATAATGAGAGATTTACAACTTGGGCTTTCACATGCTGCCCCAACCTCATTTGTCCAGCTCACGGCGGAGCCTGTAATCATCTCTGCAGGCTCCGGCTCTGGGCTCTAGACATTCTGCTCCGGCCAATTCAGCTGAACAGATGAGAGACAAGAAGCCCCACAGTCCCACAAACAAGAATCACATTGTTGCTGGGGAAGGAGAGGAAATCCATTCTGACATCTTATGAAAATATTTTTGTGTCTTGTTTACATAATGAATCTGTCTGTTAACGAAAGAATCTGAGGTGACAAATTCTTTGGTCTCACCGACGTGTGTGGCTTTGCAGTGGGCCGAATGCGCCTCCAGATCCTCTTCTGCAGGAAGTTTCAAGGACGTCCCATTTTTCTTCCTGGTGGGTTGCTTGTTCACCAGTCCTGAACTAAAAGCAAATAATTCATCCGTGCTCATCCTACAGAAAGTTGCCTGACTAACGGGTCTGGTAATTGGGACCCTGTTGCAGCATGGATCTCCCTTAGGGGGAAGCTGGGGTGGCAGTTGAGGGTGGCATCTCTTTCTGGCCACTCTTGTCCACAGAAGCATCCCAATTTTCTGCCACCCACCTGCAAGGGCAGAAATGGTCCCCTCTGAAATCAAACCACACTATGACTTTCAATACTATGTAATAATGATGCTTGTTCAGTGAGCTTGACAAAGGAGGGAGTACATAGTGATGGAAATAATGGCGTTTTCCACTTAATGGGAGAAGCAAGCTAAAGTGGAGACTGCCTCCCTCTCACACATGCCCTCCCTCGATGGCCCCCAGCTCTTGTAGGACAAGCCCTCATGGCAGAGCTAGATGGCACCCTAGGGGCCATACAGGTGCGTGCACTCCTTGCCTCGCGGATGAGGAAGATGAGCCCAGAGGAGGAGCTGACATGGCTGAGTGGCCAGGTGGGATCTGGAGCCTAGTGTCCTTGCCGTCTGGACCCCTCCCAGCATATCATGCTGTGTCCTACTAAGGCTCCCAAAATGGGGACAAACTTTTCATCTTTCAGCTTCTCCCAGTGCACCTTCTTGCTGCCTAAGCCCTGACTCTCTGCTTAGGTGAGGCTCCTAATTTCTTAGTCTTCCCAGCAGGATTCCTGTCCCCGCTACCCAGGCCTCAGTTCTCCCTGACCTGGGCTGCCTCCCAGCTCTGAAATCTTTCTGAGAGGAGAGTGCCTCCTCTTCCTGGCATATTGATGTCCACATTGAAGGTGTTTGGGTTGCACAACAGAGACTACCTGTGTCTAACTGCTTATATCCATCATGGTCTGAAAACAAGACCCTCATTCTTATATCCTCCTCCCTCTGCACATGTGGTCATGAAGGGAGGAAGGAATGTTTTTAAAGATGGTTTTAAGATTACTACCAAAATTATCTATCCAGAGATCTATCTCCTTGCCACCCCCACCCACCTCTCAAAACAAGAACTAGTTTGTGCTAAGAAAATATTATATAATAAGATCAAGAACCATAGCATGAAAGGCAAAAGACAATTCTTAAGAAGGAATTGAAATCAGAGACTTGGATACATGTTTGTACAACCATGTTCATTGCAGCATTATTTGTAATAGCTAAGCGGTGACTAGTGTCCACTGATGGATGTATGGATATGGATATTGTAGTATATACATTCAATAGCATATCATTTATCCTTAAAAAGGAAGGAAATTCTGACACATGCTACAACACGGATGAACCCTGAAGACATGCTAAGTGAAATAAGCCACACAAAGGCAAATACTGTATGATTCCATTTGTATAAGGTTCCTAGAGTAGGCAAATTTGTAGGAACTGACAGTAGAATGGTGGTTGTTAGGGGCTGGGGGAAGGTGGGAAGGGGGAGTTAGTGTTTAATGGGGAGAGAGTTTCTGTTTTGCAGGTTAAAGAGTTCTAGAGATGGATGATGGTAATGCTTGCATGTTAGGAAAGTATTTAATACCGCTGCACACTTAGAAATGATGAACATGGTACATTTTATGTGTATTTTATCACAGGTTTCAAAAAATGAGACAACTCATGAGAGAAAAGAAAATGGTCAGATCCGCAATGCATGGAAAAATATCTCTTTATGTGTGTCATCTCCTCAAGACTGTGAGTTCTTCCAAGACAGGGATTCCTTGTGTTCTCTGCATCTTTGCTGTCTCAGCACCCAACTCAGGCCCTCAAAAGTGCTATCTTCTCCATAAATGTTTGCTGCACTGAGATAGTGGCATGATCACATCAGTGCGGTACCCATGAGCGGGGTGCTTTCACGTGCATTATTGTATTTGGCTGTTGTCATCATCCTTGAGTCTGGTGCCCCTGCTCTGTCACCAGGAGAGACCCACACTCCAGCCACAGGGAAAGCAAAGCTGGAACAACCCACCCTGGCTGCCAAGGGCCAGAAGACTGTGCTTCACACTCCAGGGGTCTCAGATTCAGCTAGAGCCCAAGTGACCACAAAATTCAGTAGAATAGGCTTTTAAAATGTCTTTATTATAAACCATAATTTTCTGAGAGAGATGGAAACTATGTGTAAAACTGTATCTAATAACACACTGTTTTTTGAGGGAGCGTTCCATGATAGCACTGTGCTGAGCCCATGAAAACCTTTATTTGCCTCATTTAATAATTCCCAGCCCAACAAAGCCTATGCCAGCCTCTCTCTTACAGAGGAACAAACAGAGGCCAGGAGGTTACGTGGCTCGTCCAAGGCTAGACAGCATTAAAATGTGGTGGCACCAAGAGTCAACCTGGACCAGGCGTCAAAACTCAAGCTGTTCTACTTTTACCTTCTCCTAATCATGTACAGTGATTATTCATATTGCAAACTCGCAGCTTTAGTCTTACTGGAGGGGTGACACCTGGTAAGAGACTTAAATGGAGCTCAACTTCCTCATCTGTAAAATGAGTAGTCATAGTGCCCTCTCCACAAGGTCATTTCTTCCATTAAAGGAGATAACACCTGTCCAGCGTTTAGCAGGTGTGTGGCTCATGATAAACGTGCAATGCGTTTTAGCCATTATGACATGACGGAGACACTGACCAGACGCAAGGGGCTTGAGATTATCCAGTGAAATTTACATTTGTCTTGTGTTTGTGAAACTGCTTACAAAGCCACTATGCATTTATGTAATGACTGAGGCTTTATCCCAGGAGATAAAATGGCTCTCCTTATAAAATTGTGTATTTCATTGGAAAGGCAATAAGTTATGCAGTTTCTCACATTTCCCCTTTTGCTTCAGCAGTGGGGAACTCACCCTGTAGTTGTGATTCATCTGTACCAGTGCCATCTCTTTTTTTGTTTGTTTGTTTGTTTTTGAAATGGAGTTTCACTCTTGTTGCCCAGGCTGGAGTACAATGGTGCTATCTTGGCTCACCGCAACCTCTGCCTCCCAGGTTCAAGCGATTGTCCTGTCTCAGCCTCCCAAGTAGCTTGGATTACAGGCATGCGCCATCATGCCTGGCTAATTTTGTACTTTTAGTAGAGATGGGGTTTCTCCATGTTGGTCAGGCTGGTCTCGAACTTCTGACCTTAGGGGATCCACCCACCTTGGCCTCCCAAAGTGCTGGGATTACAGGCATGAGCCACCACGCCAGGCTGCCGGTGCTATCTTTAGCCCAGGCTTTTGGGTTTGAGTCAATGACTTCTCCAGCTCATTATGTGCTTTTTTTAAAAGTCAGTTTTACTGTTTTTAAACTGCATTATTAACTATAAGCTACCTCAAATTTGGTTGGGTATAAATTATAAAACAATGCTCATTATAATTTAGTGTCAAAGATATTTCACTAAATTGAAAACCAATCAGTCTTATAAGAGCTTGCATGGTAAACTGTTATATTGCTCAATTTTCTACATAAACCATTTGTAAAAAAATTGGTAACAAGTAGATTAATCACCAGTGTGACGTTATCTGGATGTATTTTAATACTAAGAAAACTTTTAAATAACTCTCATGCAAACTTGTTTTACTCATCAAAGAAGCCTCAAATGTAAACATCAAAGAGACGATTGCTGCTAACAAGAAATGTCACAAGGTGGGCTTGTATGCCACCTCCCCTGGTTGCCCTGTAAACATTCCGGTGACTTCATTACATATAGAGCTTTGAGGTTCTTTGGCCGAGGCTGGAAGGTGGAAGCCTGACTCATTCTGAGCCTAGCCACAGAGGTAAACTCCGGACATTTTTTTCTTTCATGTCGCCAAATACATCCTTGTCATTAAAAGACCTTTGAAACTGAGTAAAATGGCTTTGAAACCTCAGTAGAATATGCTCAAACTGTCTGGAGAAGGTATGTTCTAATTTTTTTCCACAGATATAACCCTTATTAAAATATAAAGTAATCTGTTCATTCTGTCCACGCTGAGTATCTTCTGGGCCCAGTACTGTATGAGGCCCCAGGGGAAAGGAGATGAACCAGGTATCTCTAAAGACCTGGGCCAACTTGGGGAGACACTCAGGAACAGATCATTACACAACAGCATGAAAAGGATGCACGGTAGCGCCTGTTGGGGGCGCTGGTGTGGGCTGGCTGAATAGTGTTCTGAAAAAGATACGTTCCAGGCCTAACCCCTGATCCCTGTGAATGTGACCTTATTGGGATAAGGGCCATTTGGATAAGGACCTTTGCAGATGTCATGGAGTTAAGATGAGGTCACACTGGAGTAGGGTGGGGCTTATGTCCAATGACTGGTGTCTTTATAAAGGAGAGAGTTTTGGAGGCACATTCAGGGAAGATGGCCATGTGCAGGTGGAGGCAGAGATTAGAGAGGGGCTGTCCCAAGCCGAGGGACACAGAGGATGCCAGACACCACGGGACACTGAGAAGGGCAAGGAAGGGTCCTCCCCTAGGGCCTTCAGAGGGAGCACGGTCCTGACACCTGGATTTCTGGCCTCCAGAACTGGGAAGGAGTAAATCCCTGTTGTATCCAGCTGCTCCCTTTGTAGTCACTTTTCACAGCAGCGCTGGGAACGAACGCAGGCACCAATCCAGCTTGGGGGCCATGTGGGGTAGCAGCGGATCGGGACTTCCTTCTAAGAGAAGCGATCTTGAGCCGTGTCACGGGTGAGGAGTTAGGAGTTAGCTCAGTGGGGAAAAGGTGAAGGCAGCACTCACGGTCATCAAGCCAGCCCCTGTGGGAAGCAGGCTGGGTTTAAGGATTTCTAACCTGGGCTCCTTGAACTCCCAGGGTCCCCCTACATGTGTGCTTCAATTTTGCACCTTTTCTTGGGGAGAAACGAATCCCTTGCATTTGAGTTTTGGAGGACCATGTGGCCTTCACGGTCACAAACTGGCAATGTCAAGAAGGTTTGGCAGGACCGGCTGGGAGATGAGGCTGGTGGGGTCACCAGCTTGATTGTGACCTTGCTGACACCAGCAGGGCAGGGAGGTGAACTGACGCAATGGAGCAGAGCCTTTGTCTCAGGAGCAAACCAGCCTTGGCTTTCAGTTGGATGTTGGAGGTGAGGGGGAGGGTGCAGAGTGGGCGCCTCTGTTTCTGATGAGGGCAACAGGAGGGTGGGGAGGATGTTGCCCCAGATGAAGTCAGGCGTTTGGTTTTTGCTCAACCACTGGCCAAGGCGATGACACAGGAGGAAGAAAGGACAGAGAACCATGAGGGGGCTTGGTTTCCTTTTGCAAAAGCTGTTTGAGGCAACTTGGAGGCAGCCGGCCTCTGAGGCGGTGCTCACGGAGGGGATCTGGCCTCTCCTCGGCTGGATTGGTCCCTCAGGTTTGGGAAGAGGGCACAAAGGCAGGACAGAGAAATGTCAAGGAGGAAACCCCCAAAAGAAAGTAAGACACACTAGCCAAGAGGAAAAAGACAGGAGACCAGAAGTTGAAGACAGGAAGACTTCCCAGAGAAACTGTGTAGTCAATAGCGCCAAATCACACCAAGATGATTAGCTGAATTTAAAGCTGAAAAGTGATTCTCTCTGAGAAACATCTGTTTTAAAATATTAACAGAGAGTATTTTTAAAAGGATGGTGAAAATTCAGAATAAACCTTGACTTCCATAAGACTACAAATAAGAGAAGGCATTTAAAAATCCAAGAAGTAAGAATTTGAGTGCCCCTTCCCTGCCTCTGACACTAATGATGTAGGTAGGAGAGTAAGTGTAATTATTAAACAGACTGAAGGCCTCTGGGCATTTGCCATTTGCACATTTCTTGGGTGGATCGATTCATGAGGCAATACATGATGGTGCTTGTCTGCTACTTTTGTAGAGATAAGCCAAGCGGTATTGGGCAACAGATTGGAATTAGACATAATTTTTAACCATATTCTATGCTTCACCCAATATTCTACTTGCTATTCTCCAAATAGGCTGGGTTTTTCTGCTTTCATACTTTATCTTAAGCCATTTCTGCCTGTCCCTTTGACTGTGGCTTGGGCTATGCCACCATCCCTCTCCACTCTGTTCACCTTTATCTAAACCCAACCCCATCTGACAAGGCCATGTCAAGTGTCTCCTCCCTCCCACCAACTTTTCCTGGTTCCCTCTGCTGGAAGGGCTCTGTCCGTGGCTTATCAAGGCTGGGGATAGCAAAGCCGTGACTTTC
Organism: Homo sapiens; assembly: GCF_000001405.40. Classification (NCBI taxonomy): domain Eukaryota; kingdom Metazoa; phylum Chordata; class Mammalia; order Primates; family Hominidae; genus Homo; species Homo sapiens. Next base: position 126,519,028 of record NC_000010.11, on the reverse strand, counting down.
TCTTAGAGTTGCTGGAAAAAGAAAGCATCTCTCCCACCTTTATCTCTCAGCTCAGGGCCCCACACACCCTGAGCACTGCCTAAATTCCTGCTCAGTTGGATTCTGTTGCTGAAACACACACCGCCCTCCAGGCAGAAAACCGGGATTCTGGAAGTACTTGACTCAGGGCCTTGTGGTGTGTTCAGTCATGGTGGTTGTAGTCTCTGGGAAGGGGCTGAAAGTGGGGAATGGTTTTGGATGTGTGGTTCAGGCGGATGGAGACAGCAGCGGGTGCAATCCTTCCAGTCATCTTAGGAGAGAAGAGCTCTTAGCACCTACTAGTGAGCACACACACTCCCTGGGCACAGAGGGCAGGCGTGCTGGGCAGCAAACACAAGTGAGTCATGAACCAGCAATAACTTTGGGTGGTTAATTGAGCTGGTTTTTAATTACTTTCAAAATAAAAGCATGCTGGCTCTCATGATGTTTGTTTTTTTTTTCTATGACGGTTTTATTTGAATTGAAACCATTGGTGAAAAGCCTCATTGAGATTCCCATGCCCACAGACTAGGTGTGGTTTTTCTAAAAGTCGTGGAGTGGTTTTTGAATCAAAGCATTATGATTCTCTTCTGGGGCTTCAGACTCACCATCTGTAAAAGATGTCTTAAGCTGTCTTAGATCAACAAGCACTGCTGGACTTGAGCTGTGCCAAATGTCCTGGAATGCTTGCTAAAGCACAGGGCTGAGCCTCCTCAAAACTCCTCATTTGCTAGGTCTGCAGGTCAGTATGTGAGACACAAGAATGTGAATTTCCAACAAGTGCCCCCATCGTGTGGATGCTGCTGGTCTGGGGGCCACATTTTGGGAGCCCTTGCTGTTGAACAGCAATGCGGGGTAGGACCCTGTCTCGGGTCAGGTTTCCAAAAGGCAGAGCCTGAGGCAGGGATTGAGGGCAGTGGGGCTGGGCTGCTCTTCAGGAAAAAAAAAAACATACAAGAGTGAGGGAAACCTGATAAGGAAGGGGAAAGAGCCAAGCAAGGATGTCATCTCAGATGAAGTCAGGCATTTTGGTTTTTGCTCTGGAGCATAAAAGGCAGAGTTGTCCTGACCTTTGTATTCCTTTTTTTTTTTTTTTTTTTTTGAGATGGAGTCTCACTGTGTTGCCAGGCTGGAGTGCGATGGCGTGATCTCAGCTCACTATAACCTCTACCTCCTGGGTTCAAGCGATTCTCCTGCCTCAGCCTCCTGAGTAGCTGGGAATACAGATGCACACCATCATGCCTAGCTAATTTTTGTATTTTTAGTAGAGACGGGGTTTCGCCATGTTGGCCAGGATGGTCTCGATCTCTTGACCTCATGATCCACCTGCCTTGGCCTCCCAAAGTGCTGGAATTACAGGTGTGAGCCACTGCCCCTGGCCCCAACCTTTGTATTCCTAAGAGTCATCCTGGGCCATGCTTCAACGTGGAGGGTCATTCTCAGAGTGAAGCTATGAGCCATTGTCAGTCACTCTCCCAATAGCTGGGGTATGGGGCAGTTCCCCAGCAAAGGGCAGGACTCAGACAGTCTTGACTGCATATTCTAATTTCACAGATAGGGGCATGGGAATCAGTGAAGTTAAGTTAGAGACAAAGCCCTATTTAGTGTGTATGCTGCTGTGTTCAGGGCCTGCACACCCTCTGCCCGTTTCTTTAACCAGGGCAATTTCTTGATGCAGTTACAACTTTACTATTTTTTTAGATTCCTACACACACTTTTTAAATGTTGCAGTCATGTGGTTCATAGGCTTTTTCTTTCTTTTGATAAACATAGCATTGTAAGCACTTTCTCATGTTGCTATGTAGACTTTATATTCCTTATTTTAAAGGCCCTACATTACATCCAACACATCTACCTCCATCTCCCCAACTAGTCTGTGGTGGGCAGAATAATGTCCCCTCCACCCCCAAAGATGTTCATGTCTTAATCCCTGGAACTTATAAATATGTTACTTTGGCCAAAGGGACTTGGCAAATGAGATATAGTTAATAACCTTGAGATGGGGAATGTAGCCTGCATTTTCCAGGTGGGCCCAATCTAATCCAAGGGTCCTTACAAGAGGGAGGAAGAAGGGTCAGAGTCAGATAAGGAGATGTGATATTGGAAGCAGAAGTTTGAGTGATGCGGGGCTGTGAGCCTCTACAAGCTGAAAAAGGCAAGGAAGAGAATTCTTCCCTAGTGTTTTCAGAAAGGAACCCAGCCCTGCCACCACCTTGATTTTAGCCGAGTGAGGCCAGGTTGGACTTCTGAACTCTAGAACTGGAGCATACCACATTTGTGTTGTGTAAGCCCTGAATTTGTGGTCGTTTGTCGCAGCAGCCACAGGCAGCTCATGCTCAGCCTTTGTGTATCTGATCATGGCAGTCCCTCCGCCTCCCTGCTGGAGACGAGGCATCTCCCCAAAGCTAGTGTTTACTGTATGTTGTTATGTTCTGAGCATTGCACTAAGGGCTGGTTATGTCATTTAATTTCTTTCAGTAACCCTCTGAAGTGGATACCCTCATTGTCTTCATCTCATGGTGAGGAACCAAAGGATGCTAAGTAACTTGCTCAAAGCCACACGAGTAACAAGATCTGGGATTCAGGTGCTGGGACTCTGTGGTGTGATTCCAGTGGCTTTCTGACCACTGATGCCACAGTGATAGCAACCAGCTGGGTCTTGGGGAGGGCTGCCTTGATCCTGCTCATTGCCAATCACAACTGGTGTCATTTATCAAACATTAACTCCACACCCCACCCTGCCCGAATGCTTTCCATACGATATCCTCAGTGCTCGGATGGCAAAGCAGCATTTTTGCAGGAGGTGTTATTGCATGCATTTTATAAAAGAAGAAACTCAGAAAGGGTACACAGCCCATCCACTGTAGGTCGGCCTGGGGCCAAGCAGGATGCAGGCCTAGACCTGTCTAGCCTCAGCCTGTGTTGACTCCAAAGTTCTTAACCACATGCGATGCCACATGACCAGAGCAGGTGATTTCTGTCTTCATCAGCTTTATTGTCAGTTCATCATGATGCATCATCTCTGCGCAGGAATCCAAAAGACCTTTCAGCCCTTATATTTGTGCTTCACGAAAAGTAATCTGTGCACGTCATCTTGGATAACTGTCTCTGTCACTCAATAGCAGTCATAGATGGAGGCAGGGCCCCACATCTGAATTAGAGCTGATGGCGCTCACTGTCACCCAAGGACAAGATGAGACATAGCCAGGCTCTGGACAGGTCAATGGTGGCCCTTGAAATTCCCTCAAGCCATGTCCTGACCCTTTTGCAAATCTTCCAAACTTGAAAATATTAGAGCACATTATTTTCCTCATAAAATGCTTTCAGTTACAGTCAAGCAGTGCTTCAGGATGGGGATATGTTCTGAGAAATGTGGTTGGAGGATTTTGTTGGTGTGTGAACCTTGTAGAATGTACAAACCTAGATGGTATAGCCTCCTATGCACCTAGGCGGTATGGTATGGCATATTGTTCCTGGGCTAGAAACGTGTATAGTGTGTGACTGTGCTGAATACTGTAGGCAATTGCAGCACAATGGTAAGTATTTGTATATCTAAACATATCTGAACATAAACAGGATACAGTAAAAATACAGGCTAAAAGATAGAAAATGGCCTACCTGTATAGGACAATTCCCGTGAATGGAGCTTGCCGGACTGGAAGTTGATCTGGATGAGTGAGTGAGTGGTGAGTGAATGGGGAGGCCTAGGACAGTATTGTCTGCTACTGCAGACTATGAGCACTACACACTTAGGCTACACTACTTTTATTTAAACAAACAATTATACTACAACGTTCTGATGGCTACAGCGTCAGTAGGTGATAAGAATTTTTCAGCTCCATTATAATCTTATTGGACCACTGTCATATATGCAGTCCTTCATTGACCGAAAGGTTGTCATGCAGAGCGTGACTGTATATCTAAATTGTTCATGAAACTTTTTGATGAGTTGATAAAGGCAGAACTCTAGGGAGCTGCTTTCATAAATCTCTTCTTTCTCATCACCTGCACTAGCAGTTGGGGAGCCATTTATTACAGCCCCTTGAAAAATCACCTTCCCTAGAGTATTTCCATTGCAGAGGCAGAGTGGTTACCCTGGGCTGCAGAAAATGGACCTCTTCCTGGACTTGCTTCCTACTTCCACGCTCATACCATTTCCCTGTGTTTGGTTCACGTTTCTACATTAGCGACCTGACAAAGGTCACTTTTAGAGATGGGGGGTGGAGAGGGGGGCGCAGGGCGGTGCTGTGGCTGCTGAGGGTCTGTAGCGTAAGGCTGTGTAAGCCCTGGGTAGGCTTTGCAGTACTGCTGGCTTGCAGCTAAGAGAAAGCTTCTGCTCAGGACTCCGTGAGGTACTCAGGGCAGGTGTGGTGGATGAGGAATTCAGGCAGAATAGATCCATAGATATATCCACTGTTATTAAGCCAGTGTTTGGGGCATCCAGCACTAGAATCCCGGTTCTCCAGTTCTTGGTCTACTGCTCCGTCCAGTTGGATCTGACAATATTCTTAGCTATCTTTGTGGCAGATACTCACAGAGAGGCACATGTGGGGGATTTTACATAGAGTGTGTCATTATATGATCACTAAATTATCCTCAGAGGGTCTAAAACAGTGTTCATATCAGTTTCTGAGTCATCCATGACCCCTCCAATGATGGTTGCATTAAGAGGCTGAATGAAGATCAGTATTGTATTTCACCCATTCTTAGCTCTAGTGATGTTGGGACATCTATAGATGTGAGTCTCTCTTCTGCTGAGTATAAACTTGGGACACTGGTGAATATGATAGGGCTAAAATTATGCAATTGTGACTGAGTCTAAGGGACACAAACGATCATATGGAAGAAGAAATCTTGCAGCTGAATAAACTAATAACGAACCCAGAGAGGTTAAATGGAGGGCATGAAATAAGAGAAGTGTACAAGGTTTTGTCATGGTTAGACTATCCTGGATTTACTGTTGGCTGATAGAATATGTGAGTAGGTGACATTAAATTTTACAGTAGAGTTATATATTCCATTTTATCCTTTTATATACTAAAAAGTAGCAATATTATCTTCTTTTGCCTAGGATTACGGGACAGCTACCACAGTAGAAGAGATCAAATTGCCCTTAAAAATCTCCAGTCTGATGTCACAGAGGCAAAATCTGACTTCACCAAGGTAACATACATTTCTAACTTCTAGAATAGTCAGCAAAATGCACCCATCTATAAAATATAATCACTGACCTACTTGTGATGTGATTGCATTTTATTTTATTTAGTCAAAATTGAATTAATGTAGCAAACAATCTAACCGTGCTATAGATTTAATTATTCTTTTATCATCTTCAGCAACAATTTGTAAGCTTGCAGCATCTTAGAATATGGCAATTGCTCCCAATTTTAAACTAAAATTTATCAGCTAGAGAGAGACATAGAAAGAGAGGGAGAATTATGCCATACAGCATTTTGAAGATGCGAAAGAGGTACTCTGAAATCTAACAAGCTGGTATAGGTTGTTAGAACTGCAAAAAGTGTCAGTGGTCTGAATAGGGAGGAAAATTAGAGGTCATATTTATAAAATGAAATATTTCAGATCGTAGGGAACAAAAGAGCTTGGTGCACAGTGGTTAATATCGTCAATGTATCATACACCAGGCTCTGTCTAATCGACTGATGCAGTTAATCCTTCCCATAGCCCCACAAGACAGGTACTGCTCTTATATTAATACCTAAAAATGAGAAAACTACAGCTTCAGTAGGTGACTTGCCCCAAATCTCACAGCTCGTATAACCTGCCTGGCTCTGGAGCTTTTGTACTTAGCTTGCTCTAAAGGACTGTCATGGTGGAAATCCCTTTTGAGTTAACCAGATTTACAGTATGGACTTTCTCACCTTAAAAAACTGTCCAAGATGTTACAGTTTACAAGGCATCTGCTATCTGTCACAGATGGAGATTCTGCCGCCAAATTTTGTAGTTCTAAGAGAGAGTGGAATTATAAGAATCAATCTCTCACTACAGATTAAAGTGGCAAAGATACCTGTTAAAATATTTTTTTACCCAAAACGCTTGTGTTAGGTATTACTTTGATTTAGCTCCGTATTTAATAAAGCTCAACATTTCCTTCAGAGACTCCGGGCCTGAAATCCCACAAGATGGAGAAAGGAAGTTATTTGGGGTCCTGAGATTTACTCATCAATATTTAAATTCCTTTCTATGTGAAAGCACCAAGCTCACTGTCTCAAGATGTAAAGATGCATGGCTATAATTAATTTGTTCCCTCGGAGCAGGAGTCAGAGCCCTAGGTTTGGGGAGGAAAATGAATGCAAAGAGCAGTGGATCACTGAGAGCTGTCCTTGGGTGGAGATGCCAGTTAGGAGGAGAGAGATTGAGTCAGGGAAGGGCATGGGGGCGATTCTGCTGAGCTCCACTGCTACACTTTTTTAAGAAAGATATCAACTGAGGATATTTGTCACCTGTTTTTCACACCGAGCTGGCAAATTTCAGCATTTTCCTATTGATCTCAAAAATTAATTAGAGTTTAGTCACTAATGTTGATGTCAATGTTTGTGGCTATGTGGCTGGATCCCTGTAACACACACACACACACACAGACACACAGACACACACACACACACAGACACACACACACAGACACACATACACACACACACAGACACACACACATACACACACATAGAACACACACACACACAGACACACACACACACACACACTTCTGTCTCTCTTTCTCTCTCTCTCTCGCCCCTTTCGCTCTCATGCTTGGTCATTATCTGTGACTGAGTTCAATAACTCTGGAAATTATACCTTCTGACCACCTGCTCTGGAATCATCTGGATTATCCAATTTGGTCAGTAGGTGACTCGAATTTCCCTCTTAACTTGGAAGGTTTAGAGCTTGTCCCTGGGCGTGCGCTAGAAGGCTGCCATAAGATGATGAAACACTCCAGGGACTGCCCTGCTGCCCTGTGACTGTGGCTGCCGTAAGTCTCCGCCTCTTCTCCAGGGCCCATACGAGATTGATCACTTTTCCTTCCAAAATGCATTCAAGCTGTAGCAATGATGGGAAGTCACCTTTTCTGCCAAATGATTATTTAAAAGGAGTAAATGCAGAACGGAGTTCTCTTCTTTAAGAAGTTTTTTAAATTTTCCTCTTAATAAAAGTAATAGCAACCCCATGCAGAAACAGGAAAATACAGAAACATATAAATAAGAAAATATCTGTACATTTTCCTCTATTTTCCCCAGCATTTTAACATAAGACTGTGATGCATATTAACTTTTGTAGCTCTCTTGTATTATTCTCTTATAATACCCCTCATAAGCAATTCCTCATGTCATTTAAATTATTTGTAATTTGTATTTTTAATTTCTGCAGAATATAAGATGCAGTTGTGCAGTCATAATTTACTTACCCACTCCACCTTTAAAAAAAAAAACAGCGATTCTTGGTGGTTGTCAGAGAATGGGGAAAAGGGACTGGGAAGTTAGTATTTACTGGGTATAGAGTTTCAGTTTTACAGGACGAGAAGAGCTCTTGAAATGGATAGTGGTGACGGTGGTACAACATTATGAATGCACTTAATACCACCAAGTTGTACACTTAAAAATGGCTAAGAGAGTAAATGTTATGTATATCTTACCACAAGTTAAAAATTGGGGGAAGAATAGATTCTTTCTGGCTTCTCACTGCTCTATATCACACTGCAGTGAGTTGTTTTCAGTAACTGCACGGAAAGGCAAAATTTCATGATGGAGAGTGAGAAAAGCTCAGATTTTTCCATTTGTCTTCAAACTGTCTTCCCTTGTTGCTACATACCAGAGCAAGTTCATACACTGGAAAATGCGCTTCCATTCGAGATGAAATGCCCCTAGGCTGACAGATTATCTAGTGACCATGGCTCCAGATCAACTCAATGGAGGAAGGCAGGTTTGCAGCAAACGCGGAGAGGACTGCAGAGTCTTCTGTGGGAAGCTGCAGCCAAAGAATTGTTGGGCAAGTACATCGTAGGCTGCAGAGCAGCAATGGGGAAAAATTCAGGTTTCAAGGTAGAGATGGGAGGAGAGCCTTATTCTTTGGAGAAATAAATTGCTACAGGAATGGAGGCATCGCCTCTCCAGTGGCTTAGGAGCCGATTCCTCTGATCATCTGCTACTTGACTCTTTCTGGCTTCAATTTATGAAATTATGCCCTTCTTAGAAATACCTCAAGGCATAAATATAAAGTTAAAAACAGTCAATAAAAGCATAAAACTATGAAAGCAGTTACCAGCACTACAAAATCATCTTTGAAACATTTAAGAGAAATCAATATCTTAAAGCAGCATCTATGAGAAAGAAAATGTAAAAAAATGTGTTATGTGGTGCTGGTCAGGAAATGGATGGTTCACCAAAGCAAGACACAAAACCCAGCCACTCATCTGACCTCTCTCCAATGCGAACGTTCTACCATAAATATGAGATGATTTTCATCCTCCTTTTAAATCAAATCTGATGTCAGTTAATTTTATTTTAGATGAAAGAAATCTCTTTGTAAAGACATGTTTCGTTAACCCAGTAGAAAGGAGGATGGAATGTCACCCTGAAACAGCTTAATTTGAGAAGATATTTGGTGTAAAAGATGTAATTACTTTCTAGAGAAAATTTGCCCAGTTTTAAAAGTAGTCGGCTGACTTAGGAACATTGAATAACCCCCCATCTCATCCCCTTCTTGGTTTCTGAGACCCAGAAGAGGGATGCAACACAAAGTGATGTGTTAGGGGCTGAATTGCATCCCCCACTACCCCCACTAAATTTATATGTTGAAGTCCTATCCTCTACTTTCTCAGAATGTGACTGCATTGGGAGGTAGGGTCTTTAAAGAAGTGATTAAGGTTAAGTGAGGTCATTAGGGTGGGTCCTAATCCAATCTGGTGTCTATATAAGAAGAAAAGATTAGGACCCAGACATGGAGCAGAGGACAGAGGGAGGACCGTGTAAAGATGCAGGAAGAAGATGGCCGTCTACAAGCCAAGGAGTGGCCTCAGAAGAAACCAACCCTGTGACATCTTAATCTCAGATTTCCACCTCCTAGAACTGAGAAAACTAGTTCAGTTGTTTAAGTCACACAGTGTGTAGTACTTTGGTGCTATGGTAGCCCTGGCAAACTCATATAGATTTTTAAGAGGTTGGACCTTATCTTCAATCATTTAATGGGTCTCACTGAGACACTAGGGTTTAATACACAGAACTTCCCATACAAGAGTGTCCTGTGTTTTAAAGAGCAAAGAGTCCGCCAGTGTTTCCTTTTCAATATCTCCGAGTTTGTTGTTTGGGGACTTTTTGTCAAAGCTGAGACAATACACTGGGAAAATGCAGCACTTGGCTCATAGTAGGTGCCCAAATAAATATGTGGAATGCACAGTTAAAGAGTTTGACCGTGACTGTATGTATGAATAACAGAATTGCACCTAAAAAATTACATGACTTCTACATTTCTATCAGCAAAATTTCAATGTATTGGATATACAATGAGTCATTTCTATTTATGTCATTCAGGTAAACCCAAATGCATTCCATTGTAAATTCCACTGAAATATGGTATCACTTTGATGTGAACACCTCTTACTCCTTTGTAGGTTGGATTATGTCAGATATCCACTCGTTTCTGCTGGGTCATGGGAAGAGTACTGGAGAATTACATCACACATTGGTATTTTGAGAGGGCAAATCTATTTTTCTTTGGAACTGGGCATTCGTCAGTATCTGTGCCTCAGGAGCAGTGTCACCTTGACATCCTGAGTGATTCCAGGGCTTCAGAAATAAGTTGAAGTTCATGCCATTCATGATTGCTCTTCCCTCATCCGTTCACATCTGATAGAGTCAAAACTCACGGTCACGTTTGCCAGGCCCCACTTAATGAAATGGTGGCTAATTCCTTATCCCGTCCTCTGGGCCTCTAGGTCCTTCTGGAGGGATGTACCGGCCTGCAGCCCCTCAGCACAGCCTGGGGGCATCCCTCAGCATGCACAGCCCTGGGCTCTGGCTGTGGCTTCAGGGCTCGGTCCAGACGTGTAGTCAGAGTCAGGTATTTCCCATCCCTGTTGTTCCAGGGTGAGATGACATTCACTCATTCCCAGCAACACACCCCTCGTTGATGCCAATCTCATGGGTGTCATGGTGTCCTAAGCCTGAAGAGTAGGTACTCTCTTGATACTGGAGACCACAGTACGAGGAAGCCTGGAGGCCCCCGCCCGAGAACCACCCCTGTTTTCTCCTTGCTTAGCAGCTGTGGCAGCCAAAGGCCCTGTCCAAGGTCCTGTAGCCAGTATGGGAGTCCCGGCCCACGCTAGACCCAGGTGGCCTGAGTCCTAGGCCGGCATCTTTCCCACCATATCCATGCAGAAGAATCACCTGGGAGCTGGTGAAAGATACAAATTCTAGGCTTTATCCCCATAGATCCTGAGCAACCTAGGCCCAAGGAAGGAGAGGTCTAGAAATCTGCGTGGCCTGAGTCCTAGGCCGGCATCTTTCCCACCATATCCATGCAGAAGAATCACCTGGGAGCTGGTGAAAGATACAAATTCTAGGCTTTATCCCCGTAGATCCTGAGCAACCTAGGCCCAAGGAAGGAGAGGTCTAGAAATCTGCGTGGCCTGAGTCCTAGGCCGGCATCTTTCCCACCATATCCATGCAGAAGAATCACCTGGGAGCTGGTGAAAGATACAAATTCTAGGCTTTATCCCCATAGATCCTGAGCAACCTAGGCCCAAGGAAGGAGAGGTCTAGAAATCTGCATTTTTAACATGTCCTCCCCACCAACACACACACACACACTCTCTCTCTCTCTCTCTCTCTCTCTCTCTCTCACTCACTCATTCACTCTAGGTGGTTTCTATGCAGGCAGTCCCTGGCGCAAACTTTGGGAAACATTGCCCTATAAAATAAGACCTATACTGCAGTTTCCAAAGTGGGTCTTTTTTTTTTTTTCTTCAAAGAGCAGTGTCAAAGGAGTTCCTACTGGGTATGATTGCACTCCTCGTGGGGTACACAAGAACAATTATGATCAGAACTAAATTTAACTAAAATGGGAGGGAATGTGTACCAAGTGAAATAGGCAGCAGGTGCATTTCAGTTTTTCTTATGTGTAAACTACATCCATAAAAAGTGCTACAAGGGGAAGGGATTCAGGGTGCCGCAGAAATGTTGGGGCTACAGGCTGGAATCTCACTGGAAGCTCTAAGAACACTGATGCCTGGGCCTCCCTGCCCAGGAATTCTAATGTAATTTTTCGGGAATGAGGCCTGGGCATTAGAGTTTGGATGAGTTCCCAGGTGACTGATGAACCCTGGGCTGACAACTGCTGGTGAGGAAGCCCCACCTGGCAGGACTTCCAGCAGCATTAGCCTCAAGGAAGCAACGCATGATGTGATTGGGAAGTGTGAGGTAGCCGCTGGGCTAAAAGAGAGGGCTGAAAGTCCCCTTTCATGACTCAGTGCTACTGCATTGACCTTTTTTTTTTTTTTTGGAAAAAAGTAGCCATGGATATTTTGATTTATTTTTAAATGAAGTAAATTTTAAAATGACTCTCCTGTCTATTTCTTCTTTTTCACTCATCTCTGGGTATTTGAATGTACAATTCCCCATGTATTTTTTTTTTTTTTTTTTTTTGAGATGGAGTCTCGCTCTGTCACCCAGGCTGGAGTGCAGTGGCGCGATCTTGGCTCACTGCAAGCTCCGTCTCTCGGGTTCACGCCATTCTCCTGCCTCAGCCTCCCGAGTAGCTGGGACTACAGGCGCCTGCCACCACGCCCAGCTAATTTTTTGTATTTTTAGTAGAGACAGAGTTTCACCGTGTTAGCCAGGATTGTCTTAATCTCCTGACCTCATGATCCACCCGCCTTGGCCTCCCAAAGTGCTGGGATTACAGGCGTGAGCCACCGCACCCAGCCCCATGTATCCTTTTTTTAAAAAACCCACATATAATGTGATGGAGATTGTCATGCAAAACAAGCCAACCATCTTCCCATGCCTGACTCTGAGGACACAAAGCCCCTCAGGTGGCTAAGATCACACACGCACGCACACACACACACACACACACACACTGGCCCTCCTGCAGCCATGTGGACTTGCCATGCCAAATGTCCAGCTAGTGGGGAACATGCAATTATTTGAGTCAGTAAATATTAGTCCTGCCCTGAAGAAAATAAAAATGCTACTGTGCTTGCTGTCACATCTTGGAATGAGCAAATACCCTGCTTCCAACACACATAGGCCCTTCCTCTCCAAAATGTGTTGTCTTGAGAAGACCAGCAGCCTCATGACTTGTCTGTGTTTCTCAAAGTGTGTGACCCAGATCACCTACATCACAATCACTTGAAATGCAGTTGAAATGCAGATGCCTGGGTGCCACCCACAATCTACAGAATCAATCTCTGGGGTCTGGGGAACTTGCAGTTGTAACATCCCAGGCCATTCTCTGCATGTTGGGATTTGGGAGCTGCTGTGGCAATTGTTGGGCATCCAGTTATGCCCTCAGGCCCCCAAAGCAAAGATTCTCTGCAAGCAGTGGGAGCTTAGCGGTTACATATATTATTCCAGATCCTGTGCAGCTCTATGCAAGGATTCATTGTAAGCATGTTCCATAATGAACGTCTAAACGGGGGCCAGGACCCTGTTAGCCTTCACTAAGTGCTGGGGTGTAGTCCATCTTCCATGTTGTATTTTGTAGTGCTTCACACATAACCATAATAGAAACAAATGAGTATAGACCTGGTTAGATGCTTTGTTAAAAATCATAGCATACTCTTTTGGACACATGAGCAATTTACTGTTAGGACAAACAATCTGCTGATTAGGAAAAATGAAACACCTTGGTCATTTAAAAATACTGGACAAAAACTGATACAACCGATCATTGAAATGCAGCAAAGCTACATGTGCCTTGGTCCAGTGTCCCCTGTCCCCCAATTCTGATAAGTGAAATCATCTGATTGCCATAGTGTTGGTCTGGGCAAACGTGGGCATTTGATTTTTTTTGATTGTTTGTTTAATGTTTGTGTGTGTGAGAGAGACGAAGTTTCACACTTGGTGCCTAGGCTGGAGTGCAATGGCACAATCTTGGCTCACCACAACTTCCGCCTCCTGAGTTCAAGCGATTCTCCTGCCTCAGCCTCCCGAGTAGCTGGGATTACAGGCATGTGCCACCATGCCTGGCTAATTCTGTATTTTTAGTGGAGACGGGGTTTCTCCATGTTGGTCAGGCTGGTCTCAAACTCACGACCTCAGGTGATCCGCCCATCTCAGCCTCCCAAAGTGCTGGGATTACAAGTGTGAGCCACCATGCCCAGCTGGGCATTTGATTTCTATTGTTTTGCTCTCTGGACCTTGACTTCCATGATGCCAAGCAGCAGGGAGCAACTGAATTAGAGTCTAAACCGGCAAATGTGGAGGACTCCAAAGGACCAAGGTAGGGAGGGGGCTCCTGGTAACCACCGTTGCTGTTTCCTTTCAGGACTACTGACTAATCTCCCACATAAACCTGTGGCCCCAAGTTCCAGCCACCTCCAGAATTCTGTCTTTCCTCTCCATTGAGGATATGAGCCTGTATTCAGGGGTTCCTGGGCTTGGCGGAGGTGGTTATCGAATTAGATGATCCCCGTTGACACATCATTAGATAAATTAAGAATAGATGCCCAGCAGAGAAAACCAATTCATGACTCAGGCCAATGTTTCCAGAACGTGTAACTTGTCATAAACATCTAGTTTTCCTGCCCTTCCTGCCATCTCTGAGCATCAGGTGTGCAGTAAAAAGCCTTGGACAAGACATCTGAGTGTTATGAACCCAGTGCTCTGGCATCCTGGTGGCCCTTGAAAGAGAGTTTACTGTCTATATTTCAATAGACTGCTTGAATAATCGGGATCTTTTTCTATTTGCAGGAGACCCTGGCATCACAAAACACAAAAATGATTTCATCCATAGTCATCTCCCAGATGATTGATGAGAATAAGTCAAGAGAAAACAGGGCCTCCTTGCCCCTACCGTGTGCCATTGCTCAGTCTCGTGCACATCACGCCAAGCAATCTCTGGCTAACCGCAGCGGAGTCAACATTCACAGAGCATTTGCGTTACTTCCGGGCAGATTAGGAATCCCGGCACCGTCAGATGAGCGAGGACCTGAGGCAGAGCTGCCGCCCAAAGAGGAGAGACCCTGTGGGGGCCCCCGCAGAGGGTTTGCATCCATCACCATCACGGCCAGACGCGTGGGCCCCCCAGCCCGCGCCCTGGTGTGGGGGACTGCTGGGGACTCTCTGTGCCCCAAGTGCAGGGCTGAGGACACACTGTTCCAGGCGCCCCCGGCTCTGGCCAATGGCGCCCATCCAGGTCGGCATCAGAGATCTTTTGCCTGCACAGAGTTCTCCAGAAACAGCTCCGTGGTGCGGCTGAAGGTTCCCGAGGCCCACACTGGGTTGTGTGAGAGACGCAAGTACTGGGTCACCCATGCAGACGACAAAGAGACCAGTTTTTCTCCAGACACCCCACTGTCAGGAAAGAGCCCGCTGGTGTTCAGTTCCTGTGTCCACCTCAGGGTGTCTCAGCAGTGTCCAGATTCAATCTATTACGTAGACAAGTCTCTCTCCGTCCCCATTGAGCCACCTCAAATTGCCAGCCCCAAAATGCACAGATCCGTCCTGTCGCTCAACCTCAATTGTAGTTCCCACAGATTAACAGCAGATGGAGTAGATGGCCTAGTGAACAGAGAGCCAATAAGCGAAGCCCTGAAGCAGGAGCTCCTGGAGGGAGACCAGGACCTCGTAGGCCAGCGCTGGAACCCAGGTTTACAAGAAAGTCACTTGAAGGAAACCCCATCGTTGAGGCGGGTGCATTTGGGGACCGGCGCTTGTCCTTGGAGTGGTTCTTTTCCATTGGAAAACACAGAATTGGCAAATGTGGGAGCTAACCAAGTCACTGTAAGAAAAGGGGAAAAGGACCATACAACTCATTGTCACGCCAGCGATCATGCCAACCAACTGTCCATTCACATTCCTGGCTGGAGTTACAGGGCAGGTGAGTGGTGCGTCCATCTGCAGGAGGGTGACCTGAGTAAATGTCCTAGCAAGGTGACTGTTGAGTGAATTTCTTATACAAAACTTATTCTAAGAGGCATTTCTCAGTAGACTTGCAGTGATCTGCTCTGCTCATAGTTGACAACTGATAGCTCGGCATCGATGTCTGATTGGATAGATTTTTTTAGTTGAGACTTTTGTAGATTGTAAGAGGCCTTCTGTCAAATTCTTGTTCCCAATAGTTCCAGACCATATGTAATGAGAAGGAAATGAGGGCCTCCAAAGGAAGTTAATTTACAACATGCCCAAATTGCGTTCCAAAAGAGGGTGAGAAGAATGAAATGCCATTCGCCCCCAGATGTTTCATCTCTCTCGCCAAACATCTGCGTGTTTGGAAGTGTCCAGATTTCTGTACTTTCTACTTTTCAAGTTAGCCTCATTGATATAAAAGCTAGACTGCAAAGCTTCATAATGGAGCGTGTAAGTGTGAATGTGTGTATGTGAATGTGTGCGTGTGTGCGTGTATAATAATTATAGGACATTTTCTAAATTAGGCAAGTCAGGGACTCTCTGTGCCAAATAGTAGTAGCAGCAGCAGCAGCAATTTTCTGTCCCCCTGGTTTTGTCTTCTGGGGCATCTTGACCAGGATTTGTTGCTGTTTCTGCCATTTCCAGGGCCGGGAAGAATTCCCAGGATGGGTTGCCCTGAGGACTCTGCACCTTTCTTGGGAAATCAAAAGAGGAAAGCAGGCATTTTTTGGAAGAAAGAGGCCAGATTTCTTTCTTTCTCTGTGTAAACTTCTGATTTTCAACTTTGCTTTCTGCAAGAGGCTCTGGTTTATGAATTACTTTCTATTTGGAAAAAAGTATTTAAAGATATTAGTATACAATTGAAAATGCAGGATATGCATCATAATTTTACGGTACAACTTTTATTCATTAAAGCTTTATTAATAAAAATGACTGTAAAACATTTAAAGTTATAATGTGTATAGAAATGTTAAATGATGTAATTAATTTTAACAACTGTATATATATTGAAATATTGAATGCTCAGAGATTTTTAAGGCAATTTTGGCATGGCTTTCAGATTGATTAAACCATTGAAATGCATGTCTTACAGACTTATTACAAGAAGGACAACATAAGCAGCTATCAATGTTCCAAAGATAAATCCCACTTTAGTGGTTAAAGAGATTGCTCAAGCTAAGCACTTCGTCTTCCTTATTGATGATGATTCCAGAAATACACCACTGCATTGTTGTATGTTACCCCAGTTAAAGCACATCCTCATTTTTAAACCATGTGTCATGGTGTGAAATAATAATTTGGATTTATAGTACTTTTCACCAAAGGCTCTTCATTAATAATGAGAGCCAGATCTCAAACACTCATACACTCATCTCAGAGGAGGGCAGCAAGAGTGTGGACACTTCCCCCAACTTACTTTTTGGCTTTGGTGGTGCAGAGAAGATTTTTGATTGTGATTTTGTGAAATGACTGCTCCTCTAAGGGATTATCTTAGGCAAATAGTATAAATTTATTCTGCATCCTGCAGGCCAACATCCCCCAGAAAAAGCACAGATCCCAAAGATTCACATGTGAAGCGTTTCAGTGGCTTTAAGCCATGAGGCTTCATTCTACCATTTGAGGAAAGAGATAGTCACAGACACCAGGGGAGTCTTGAATACCTTTTTTACAATTTCAGTAGCTTTGGGAGTACAAGTGGTTCTTGGTTACATGGATGAATTTTACAGTGGTGAATTCTGAGATTTTAGGGCACCCGTCACCCAAGTAGTGTATATTGCACCTAGTGTGTGTGTGTGTTGTGTGTGTGTGGTGTGTGTGTGTGTGGTGTGTGTGTGGTTGTGTGGTGTGTGTGTGTGGTGTGTGTGTGCGTGTGTGTGGTGTGGGTGTGTGGTTGTGTGGTGTGTGTGTATGGTGTGTGTGTGTGGTGTGTGTGTATGCGTGTGTGGTGTGTGTGTGTGGTGTATATGTGGTGTGTGTGTGTGTGTTTATCCCTAGGCCCACCTCTCACCCTCCCCTTTCTGAGTCTCTGAAGTCCATCATATCACTCTGTATGCCTTTGCGTACTCATAGCTTAGCTCCCACTTATGAGAACATACGGTTTTTGGCTTTCCACTGCTATGTTACTTCACTTAGAATCATAGCCTCCAGCTTCAACCAAGTTGCTGCAAAAGACATGATTTCATTCCTTCTAATGGCTTAGTAGTAGTCCATGGTGTATATATAGACCACATTTGGAAGAACTTTTTGTGGAGTTGCTGATCTATTATTTCTAGCTCAGTGAATGTGGAGGAGTGATACTCTCTGAACTCCTCATCTGGGTAACTAGAGCAGGGGGTAGATTGGGTGTTTTCGAGGTCCCATCAAGCTTAAAAAATTTCAGCTCTATTTGCCCAAGGTGGACTCTGTAAAGAAAAGAGGCTCCGTGGGATTCTGGACCCCTCAGTTGCAAAGTCCAAAGCCACAGAGCCCTGGGGTGTGCTGTGGGGCACTTGCCTCGGATGCCTACAAATGCACACCTTCACCTACACGTGCACCCCTGGCTGTGTGCTCCCTCACTCAGAAATAATTTCCAGTGGACTCTATTTCTTCTCAGGTGACAAGAAAGCACATCTGTCCATGCTGTAGAATTCTGGCCTGAAATTTACCAGCACAGCTCATTGACTCTAATGACCACGGGCTGTCCTTGCACAGCCTGCACAACGTGTGGAGGGTGAGCTTGCTGACCTTCAGATTCCACAAAACCTTTAGCCTTAATGCAAGAGCTTTCAGACTGCAGCAGTGCTCATTAAAACTCAGAGGAACTGTTTATATTTTCCTGTCTGAAACTGGAATCCTATCTGAGACATTCTTGACAGCCTCCTGTGGTTACACATGCTATTAGCAGTCTTCTTACTTCATAGTTACTGAATCTGATTCTTTGTATCTGAAGGATTCCAAAATACCTCATGAGCAGGATCTTCTGTTGGCTGGCTTACTGACATTCAGCTGCTTGGTGGGTACAGCCTGGGCAATTCTACAAACAGAGGCAAAGCAATTTTAGTTCTAGTCATTAGGTCGTTGGACAGAAAGTTCTACAAATTGTATTCATGAATGAGCCTCCAGGATATGCACCCAAAAGAGAAGATGAGGAAAAATGAGACACAAGCACATCATGCAATTCAAATAGCTGTTTCTACTGAGACATAGCATTCCAATAGACGCGTGAGCACCTGCTCTCATCTCAGGCTGAATGTTAAGAAATTGGTTCTCTCTTTGCTCATCTCCTCAGTCCCTGTATGTTTTGTCTTTACATCTCTACTACTGGTAAGCATTCAGATAGCACCAAGTAGGTGGGCATTGGGCAAATCTTCGAATCTATCATAAAAAATTTAATCCCCATTCTTGTCATCATCACCATCATCATCGTCATCATCATCATCTTATTCATAACCACAACATATGTTCTAGAAGTCCTAGGCACCAGGCCCTGGGCTGCATCCATTATTTTGAATCATTCAACCATCTGTAAAGAGTATCATTATCTTTATTTTTCACACAACACAAATGAGGCTTGAAGATTAAATGATTTGCCCAAGTCCACGTGGCCAATTGGTGCTAGAGCTGTGTACTTGTCTCCTGCTGTTCCCTTCTCAGTGACAGCCCCAGGCAGGGCAATTAAGATGGTGGTGACTCAACGGCAGGCCCCACCTCCTCTGCCACTACCAAAGGTGGTATCTGAAGGCTGCTTATGAACATCTGGAGTAATACTGGTATTTGGTTGCCAGTTACCCCGGTAGACTATTAGGAGAGTGAACTGCAAGTTAATTTATGAAAAAATGTAATAAGCCATATCATTTTATGCGATTAAAATGTATTGGCTCAGAAATCCTCCTCAGCCTGAAATCCAGTTCTTTGTGGTGGTCTGTGAAATATACAGTGTTGATCCAAATGGTTCCCACCTCACCGGATGTGCATGCCTGACTCACTATTGACTTAGACACATTTCTTACTGCCAATTTTATTGTGCATCTGTGGCTTAAATCTGAAGCTTTTTACCATTTCTGAGATATCCAAGTAGAGGGAGCAAAATCTTCTGATGATGGTAGATGCTATTGAAGAGGAGACTAGTGAATACGCTGTCCACATCTATTTGCGTTCGCGTTCTATGGTGGGCCCATGTTGCAACTCCCTCAGTCAGTTCACAGGCTTTGGTGGCATTGGTCTGAGATGTCCTCGGTGGAGTTTAGCATCACTAGTGAATAAAGATGTGGATGACTGGAAGGCAGAAGTCCTTGCCAGGTCTCCAAATGAGCACTGTGCCTACTCACACTTAGATGGTATGGTCTGCCACATTAATAGCGAGTGAGGCTTATCTCACTTACGCCACTCAAGGGCAGATAACAAACCATGTACACACAAGCCAAGCCTACCTGTAGGGGAGAAGCCTGCATTAGACTCCCACTCTCATCCCATGAGGACTTTTTTTACTAGAGGGACCAGAAGATATTTTACAAATGTGATTTTTTTTCTTCAATGATCTAGAATTGGGATCAGCAAACTTTTCTTTTTCCCTTTTGTTTGTGAAGGGCCAGATTGAAAATATGTGTTTGGCTTTGCGGGCCATATGGTTTCTGTAGCAACTACTCAACTAGCAACAGTGTTCAGATACCACCTTTGATAGTGGCAGTGGAGATGGGGCCTGCCATTGAGTCACCACCATCTTAACTGTTCTGTCTGGGGCTGTCACTGAGAAGGGCACAGCAGGAGACAACTTGCTGTTGTAGTGCAAAATCAGCCATCAACAATGCATAAATACATAAATGTGGCTGTTGCCAATAAAACTTTATTTACACTAACAAGCAGTGGGCCAGATTTGGCCTGCAGTCTGTAATTTACTGACTTCTGGTCTAGCATTCAAATAAATCCATCCCCCAAGGTAAACTTTACCCTGTTCCCCAGTATTACATGTTGGATTCTCTAGAAATCAGACTCTGAGGTGGAGATGAATGGGTAGGGCATTTACTGGGGAGTGTTCTGGGATATGACATCCAGGAAGGGAAGCAGGACTGGGCAGAGGGAGAAGGTGTTCTGCGGTGCAGTCATAAGCAAGGCCTCTGCCAGCCACTCAGGGAACTCTGAATCTGGGATGGCCCTTCAAGGTTATTCTGAGTTGCCATAAGGGCCTGGGCCCTTATATTCCCCAGGAAGATATGTGAACTTGGGTGAGGCAGCTCTCTTCAGTCAGCCAATTCCTATAGGGTGGATCGCCGCCGAGGGCACTCTTCCTACAGGACTTCCAGCAGCTGGGGGAAGAAGCTCTTCTTTCCTGAAGGGAGATCTGAGCAGTGTAATACAGTGTCCATCACACTGCTGAATGGCCATTCTGCCATTCAGTCTGCGTTTTCCGCTCTGTGACTCCATAATGCTCTGAAACAAGTCAAGGATCTTGCTAGGCTAGACCTGGGGCAGGGGGTGGTGGTGAGGGCTATAGACCTTAGCACCCGTATGAGGAGGCTAGTGCAGAATTCCACTCTCTCACTCTTGATGTTTGTTCATTCAGCAAATATATATTGGACAATTGTCCAGGAGTGGGGGCAGTGACTTGGAAAGGGTGGCAGGAGTGAAGGTATTGAGAAGTGGTCAGATTCTGGGGCTATGTGTTCAGGGTAGATCAACAAGGTTTGCCAATGGATCAGATGGTTTGGCAGTCCCACACTGACTCCAAGGGCCTGCCCATGTGCCTAACCCCTCCAGGTTTTCTGGAGCCGCCTCTACCCTGCAGAGCTTCCACCACTAGACGCAAAGCCTTTCTGCTGCTGGCTGGTGGACATTCACACCACAACTACCCAGTTCTTCCTAATGAATTGGGTGCATGGTTGAGAATCAGGTAAACAATCTTACGATGGTCTTTTCTTATCTTTAGGGAAGCCAGAAGAATTGAGCAGAATGAGTTTTTGTGTTTTGTTTCATTGTTAACAACAAGTAACCCAGAGAGTGTTAGAATCAGCTGATGAATGGACAAGAACTCAGCCCCTGGTATGTAGCAGCAGCCCTATGGCAGGCATGAGCAAACCACCAGGAGGCCGAGTCCAGCCTGCTGCCTGTTTTTGTAAATAGTTGTATTGAAAATAGCCATGCCAATTTAGTTATGCATTGTTCTGTGGCTGCTTTCATACTGCAACAGCAAAGTTGAGTAGTTGGGACAGAGACCTTATAGCTCACAAAGCCTAACATTTTTACTATCTGGGCCTTTTCTGAAGAAATGTGTGACCCCCCCTGCTCCAGGGCAGACCCTCTGGGTGACTTTGGGCAGGTCACTTGCCTGCGAGGTCTCTGTTTTTTCCATCTGTGGAATTAGAGAGGTGGACAAGATCATCTTGTGAATTCTGCTCTCCTTGTTTGTTAATTTATCCATTTTTGGGGCCTATGGTTTTCTGCAACAGGAGCTGTCAGACAAGCCAGCTTCTCTGGTCGATTCTTAGAACGTGGTGAAGAAGCGATGCTCAGAGTCAAAGGGAAGAGCTGTCAGCCTCCTTGCGTTGTTTGCTCTTCACCTTTTCTGACCAATACCATCCCGTCTCGCTCTGACTCTCTTCCTGTCCCGGAAGAGCTTTCAGCCTCCCTGCGTTGTTTACTCTTCACCTTTTCTGACCAATACCATCCTGTCTCGCTCTGACTCTCTTCCTGTCCCAGAAGAGCAGGTGCCCACTGCAATTCAACCTTGGCCTCCAGCTTGCCTGCCACCTTTCCCATCAGCAGCAAGAACAGGTGCTCCTGTGCTGGTCATTTTGATTCAATAAGCAGGGCCCTGGCACCTCCTGCTGGCACCGCAACAGCCTCCCCTCACTCACTTGACATTGATCGTGTCAGCTGTGGTACCAGACACTGGGCTCTTCTCTGGTTCTGCGATGGTGACACATAACTCAGACCTGGTCTCCTTGCTATGCAGGTAGCAGCCTTTTAATATGATGCATTTGCTATTTTGTAGAGGTCATTGTTATACTTGCACACTGCACATTCCTGGACGGCAGGATTCAACTGAGTCATTGGCATTGACCTCATCTTACCCAGTAGGGAGCCAGGGAGCAATGGCTCACAGAGTGGGTGCCCTCGACCTGTGGGCTGGGTGGAGGACAGGTTACGTTGATGACCCAACAAAGCCCATGCTTATGTCACGATCCCTTAAGTGCTTGATGTGTTTCCTTCCTCAAACTACCTTTCCCCATCCCCATATTCAAAACCTCTCTGGCAAGGAAAGGGTGAGGAGCGATGAAAGACTCACCGCCAAGAGGTAGGTTGTGAAAAGTAAAGTTAAAACTAGAATCCCCACTTGGTTTAAAATTGAAGTGGAGGGTGGCGGGGGAAATGTCTCAAAATATTGTTTCCCTTTAGGAACTCGGTAAGAATAATCAAGTATTGTCAAGGAACAACTTTATTGTCCTTCATGTGGTCAAATGTAATGTTAAAGAAGAGAAAATATATAAGCAATGTTGCAAAAATATTTTGAAGGTTTCTAAGAATGTTTTATTTATCTCTTGATAAGTCTTGATGAGATTGTGTCATTTTCCTCCTCATCATAAACACGGTTTCCAGATCATTCCCAAGAGTCCATATGGTATCTAAAGGTTGCTCATGTCAGCCATCCCGGCTAGCTTCGTGGAGAGAATGGCTTTGTTTTTTGTTTTTTCTCTGAGTAACTCTTTCAGTTATATGAATAGGGGGTGTCCCTACACTGTTTAGGAGAGAGTCATTATTAATGGGCCATTTACTCAGGTTTGCCAGGAATAGATTAAAAGAAATGGATTCAAAGCCTGAAGCAGGCTGACCAGGTAATGGGCTGATCTTTTAAATTAGGGATATTGCAGAGCAACTGTCTATACATGAGTAACAGTGGGTAACAGGGTAACCTAGAAGAAGCACCACGGGCTTGGGAATGGGGCCCATCTGAGGCTCCATTTATACTCCACCAGTTGCTTGCTTGTCCTTTACAAGGTAATTTACGTAAAGAGTGCCGAGCAGTTGGGCTCATGGTGGGGACTCAAACCATTTTGTAATTATCATTAGTCTTCAGTATCATCCAAGCTGTCCACAGGAAGTGAATTTAGAAGGGATCTTGGAAAAAGGCAGTGGTAGTAGCATGATGAGTTCTGAAAGAAAAAGTATTCTAGATACAGATGACCCTGGAAAATAGAGCAAAAAATGTGAGAAATAGATGATGTGTTTCATTCCTTTGACTTGGTGAGTTTTTCTCTTTTCCTAATAATCTTAAAGCAAAGTCCATATCTTTCTGTAAAATGTGATTTTCTTTTCATCAATAATAGCTAATTTTGGTGAACAAAGAAATAAAGATGGTAAAGCCAGCCCATTAATTCTTCTTAAACGATGTTGTCAAAGTAGTTTGTTGTTCAATGCAGAAATATTTTTCATACTGCTATCAGATGTTCTTTTATTTCCCCTGCTAGGTCATAGCCCCATGAGGGCATTACTGCAAACAAAGTACTGCAGTCTATGTTTGGAGCATTCTATTGACCTTAGGTGGTACAAGGGTTTTATCAGAGAGTGTGAAAAAGATGTTCTTAACCAGAGAGGTGCATCAGACATGGGTGGGGTACGTTTTCAAAACACACTCACTCCTGGCTTCAGGTGATCCACCCGTCTCGGCCTCCCAAAGTGCCAGGATTACAGGTGTGAGCCACTGCACCCAACCAAAACACACTCATCCAATGCTGCAGTGAACATGTCTCAGTCAGTGCCTCCCTGGTTAAGAGCTCTGTTTGGGGGATAAATTAGGATTAAATTAGGACACTGCAGAGCACCGTCTATACATGAGTAACTGTGAGTGTCAGGGTAACCTAGCAGAAGCACCATGGGCTTGGGAATGAGGCCCATCTGAGAACATCTGATAGCAACATGAAAAATATTCCTGCATTTAACAACAAACTACTTTGACAACATAGTTTAAGCAGGTCCATTCTACAGTGTATTTTCTCAGCTATTCATGGGTAATGGGGAGATTCTTCAGCGTTAAGGTCCCTATGAGGGCCTGAAGGGCAGGTGCACAGGACAGGTGTCCTCTTTGCAGGGAACACAACCTTTGTCACTTAAGATTAGAAGCTGTTCCTCAAATGCCTACTCTTGCCTAATCCAGTTCTTGAAATAAATGCCCTTGTAGGAACCGCGAAAGTCATACAGATGAGAAGTATATAAACTGGTCCATTATATGGCTGTTGTCTATAGAATCGGAAGTTAAAGTTTTTCTTAACCATTTCCTCAGTTGAGTGAAACATTTGCATGCAAGGACCGCATCATGGCGGTCTCTTGCAGAACTATGCTGGTTTTCTGTGTGCTTTGGTGTGGTGCAGAGCCTGCACTGAGCCTGTGTCTCATTCATGTCATTAGACAATGCTATTCATGTGCGCCCCACAGGAAAAAAAATCTAAATTCTTTCTTTTTTCCAGAGTCGTGCATCCTCTGAACAACTCTAGTTTTTCTTTCTCAGAGCATTTGACCCATGGGGCAACAAATGTGCACTTCGTTGTGTGTTAAAATTCAGAGTCAACCTTGAGGCCCATATCTTGCAAATATGTGAGCTCTCACAGTGATATTTGGTGTGCAAACCTCACTCCTGGCTTTGTCCTACCTTTCCCATTTATAAATACATAAGTTTGATGAAATAAAGGGAAATTTATGCAGTTTTACTTAAAATCTACTCAATCTTCAGGTGGGATGTGAAAGTCTTTGGTGTATATTCAGCAGATGAACGGCCCTGGTGTTTTAAGAAAATAGAGGCTTATCCATTTCTGCATATAGGTGGGTCGTATTTAGGCATTTTTGATCTGATGGCCTCTGTAGGTAGTGAACAAATGACTTTGAGTTTCTCTGACATCCTCTCCTGAACCTTCATAAATATCCTTGTGCATGTAAGAGCACGTGGACCACTGCAGTTCCGAAATTAGAGCCAAAAAAGCTGTGAACAGTGGAGCATCAGACCCCAGCCAGCGGAGCTGGGGAGGGGTGGTCCATTGAATGTCACAGTGTTGTACATTTGGAAGATATAGCATGCTAGACATCAGGGAGAATTTACGCTGATGGAATTCACTGTCAAAACCCTCATGAACTTTGTGGCCTCAAAGCCTACCATGGCTGTTGGCGCAGCTGGTAACTGGTTTCTTTCCAGGTCTAGCATCATTCACTGAAATGTTGCTTAGAAAGGAATTTAAATGGAATCAGTTTCTTCTTCATTTCATTTGATTTTCTAGGGCTTCATTTTTTCTTATTGAAAAAGCAAAACACAGCCAGGCTTGGCTGCTCACTCCTGTAATCCCAGCACTTTGTGAGGCCGAGGTGGGCGATCACCTGCGGTCAGAAGTTCGAGACCAGCCTGGACAACATGGCAAAACTCCTTCTCTACTAAAAATACAAAAACTAGGCGTGGTGGCAGGCACCTGTAATCCCAGCTACTTGCGAGACTTAGGCAGATGAATCACATGAACCTGGGAGGCAGAGGTTGCAGTGAGCTGAGGTCATGCCACTGCACTCTAGCCTAGGCGACAGAGCGAGACCCTGTCTCAAAAAAAAAAAAAAGGAAAACATGTTTATTATAAAACTTAAAATATAAATAAGCAAAAAGAGGAAAGTGGAAAATCAACCATAATCCTACTGCCCAGAGAGAACATCATGGTTAACATTTCAGTAGATTGTCCCAGACAGATTACTTGGAATCTCTCATAAATGCAACAAGCTTTTCTTTTTCTTTGTTTTGTTTCATTTCCTTTTTTTTTTTTTCAACAAAAAAGAGGGATTATGCAAAATACATACTGTTTTGGAAGGCTTACTTTTCTCAACAATGGATTTTGAAGTTCCAGTACCTGTCGAACGAACTTCCTGTTAATCGTTTAATGGCTACGTGAGCTTCCATTGTATAACTTTATTTAAACTGCTTTTTAAAAACCTTATTAAATAGATTGTTTCCATTTTACATTTTTATAGCAATGTGTTGATAAATGTCCTTAGAGAAAAATGTGAGCATTTTATGTGATTTTCTGAAGCCAGATTTCTAGAACTTCTGGTCAAAGAATAGGCACAAATTTAAGACTTTTTAATCTAGATTTCCAAATAACACTCCAAGTTGCACTATCTGTACATACATATCAGCTTTCTTAAACATGCACAAGTATTGGATATTGTCATTACAAAAAACTCCATGCCATTTTGATGTGTGAAAAATGATACTTATGATTTATTAATTTGCATCTTTTCAGAAAGATATTGAATGTTCTCATATGTTTGTTGTACATCTGTATTTCATCTTTTGTAGGTCACCTCTATTTTCTTCAGTTTTCTTCAGAGTTCTCATATTTTGCACTTGTATTTATGCTGAAAATAACCTGTATTTTACTTTTTAATGTTGTCTGTGGTAATTTTTAAAACTTTGAATTTTGAAATAATTTTGTATTAACAAGAGTTACAGAGATAGTAGAAAGCATTCCCATGCATACATCCTTCACTGAGCTTCCCCTTAACATTTACATCTTACATAACCACAGTACATCTATCTGAGACAGAGTTTCTTGACCTGGGTGCTATTCACATTGTGGGCTGGATAAGTCTTCATTATGGGCGGCTGTCCTTTTCACTGAAGGATGCTTGGCAACATCCCTGGCCTCTACCATTAGATGCTGGTAGAGCCTCCCCTTCTCCCCCTAGCACACAACCAAAAATGTCTCCAGGCACTGGCAAATGTTCCCCAGGGAGCAAAATTGGTCCCAAATGAGAACAATTGACTTATAAACTAAGCAATTAATATTGGTACACTACTGTTATCTAAACTACAGACTTTATTCAGATTCTATCAGTTTTTCTTCTAATGTCCTTTTTCTGTTCCAGGATCCGATCCAGGATGCCATCTTGCATTTAGGCATCATATCTGTTTCTGGTAATTTTTCACATTCAGATTTCTTCTTCATCTTTTCCCCTTTGTCTTTTCACAGACAGGCTTAGAAAGGACTTCTGTAACCTGCATACCTGTCTTGTACTTTTATTTAAATCTGTAGTCCTTCTGGATGTGTTTCCTGTACAGTGTAAGTTTGGAATCTGCTTTTCCTAAATGATTTGCCAGTTGTCCACAGACCATGGATGAGATAATTTGTTATTTTTCTACCGGTTGGAAATGCCAATCACACATTTAATTCTGGTTTATATCTTGTTTATGCAAGGATTTCCCTGACTTATACAATTGTTTCCTTCTAGAAATTCTCACGCAACTTGAATATTGTGTGAATCACAAAAGCTCCTCTGTTTCCGTCTGCGGATTTGAAGGATGAGGAATCTTTCAGATGCTCCTAAGTGTGAATGGTTAGCATTTCACGTACTTCATTACTGCAGGAGTTAGGGAGTGAGAGAATCCCGATGCCATCATACTTTTTCCAAATTTTAATTTTATATTTTAAAAAAGACCCGGTTCTGTACTCTGTTGTTTGTTTTTTTTCCTTTTACATTGGCTATTTGGAGACATAATATACTTATATTAAAGTGCACACATTTTATGTATATACCTATGTAACTAACCACAATTAGATATAGATGATTTCTGTCACCTTAAAAAGGTTTAATCTTTTTGCATTCAATCTTCCTTCACCCCCAGTCCTGGGAAACCACTGATCTTTCTGTCACTATTCTAGAATCTATATAAATTGAAGCAAATTGAGCATACTCTTTTGTGTATGATTTCTTTCACTCAGGCTAATGCTTTTGAAATTCTTCCATGTCATTGCATGAATCTTTAATTTCTATCAGCAAAGTCTTGTAGTTTTCATTATAGAGATCATTTACATATTTTGCAAAATTTATCCTTACCTATTTTATATTCTGAATGCTAGTATAAATGACTGATACAGATTTTTAAAAATTTCCTTTCCAGCTTTTCTGCTTACTTACGGAGATATATCATTTCTGTATGGGAACTGAATCCTGCAGCTTTTGCTACATGCACTTAGTAGTGTTTTTGTAGATTCCTTAGGATTTTCTATGTAATAATATTATATAGGAACAATTTTTTTACGTACTTTTTCCCATTTTGATGACTTCTATTTTATTCTTGCCTTATTGCTCTAGGTAAGGCTTTTCGTACAATGTTGAGTAGAAGTGATGGGAGGGAACATCCTCGCCTTTATCCTTTGTTAGCTGTGGGGATTTTCAAAAATAGAGATATATAGATTCTCTCTATATCTATTTAGAGAGAATTTACCAGGTTGAGGAAGTTTCCTTTTATGCCTAGTTCTTTCTTCTTTTTTTAAATTTTGATAAAATACACATAATATAAAGTTTACCATTTTAACAAGTTGTAAGCGTACAGTTCTGTGGCATTAAGTACATTCATACTGTTTTGCAACCATCATCACCATCCATCTCCAGAACTCTTTTCATCTTGTAAACTCCACATACCCATTAAACGCTATATACCCATTCCCTGGAAGCCACCACCCATACATCCATTAAACACTAACTCCCCATTAAACACTAACTCCCCATTAAACACTAACTTCCCATTAGACACTAACTCCCCATTAAACACTAACTCCCCATTCTCTGGAAGCCATGACCACTCTGCTTTCTGTCTGTGAATGTGACCACTCTAGGTATGTCATATAAGTGAAATCGTACAATATCTGTTCTTTTGTGATTGGCTTATTTTACTTAATGTCCTCAGGGTTCATTTATGCCGTTGCATGCGTTAGAATTTCTTTCCTGTTAAGGTTGATATTCTAATTGTATTCTAACTGCATGTGTATATTCTAATTATATGTATATATAATATACATATAATTAAATAATTATATACATATATATTATATATTATATATTATTATTATATTATATATTATATATTATATAACATAATATATAATATATATTATATATTATATATTATATATAATATATATAATATATAATATATATTATATATATATTATATGTATATATACACACACACAGATATGTGGCATATATTCCCCTCTTTAGCCTCCAATTGTATGCATGTATATGTATTAAAGGGCTAATATTCTATGTATGTATGTACCACATTTTGTTTACCCGTTCATCTGTTGATGGACACTTGGGTTGCTACCACCTTTTGACTAGTATGAATAATGTTATTAATATGCTGCACAAGGGATATGCAAGTACATCTTTAAGTCTCTGCTTTCAATTCTTTGGGGTATATGCCCCAATGTGGAATTACTGGATCATATGAAAATTCTATTTTTGATATTTTGAGGAACTGTTATTCTGTTTTCCATAGTGGTTGCTCCATTTGGCATCCCCACCAGCAATGCACAAGGGTTCTAATTTCTCCACAACTTCACCAACACTCGTCGTGCTCTGTTTTTTCAATTAATATCCATCCTGATAGGTGGGAAGTGTTATCTCATTGTGGTTTTGATTTGCAGTTTCCTAGTGATTTCCTAGTAATAACTGAACATCTTTCCATGTTTTTGTTGGTCATTTGTATATTTTCTTTGAAGCAACAATTATTCAAGTCCTTTGCCCATTTTTATTCAGGTTTTTTGGGGTGTTTTTAATCGTTGTTGTTTCTATTCCTAATTTGAGAACTTTTTTATGCATTGGTGTTGAATACTGACAAGTGCTTTTTATGCACCTGTAGAATAATAATGGGATTTTCTTTCTTCATTTTATAAATATGGGGAATTACATTGATTTTTTCATATGTTACATTAACTATTTCCAGGATAACTATTTGGTCATGATCCATTATACTTTTAAAAAATAAATATATTGCCGGATTCTATTTGCTAATATTTTGGGGGATTTTTTTTATTTATGTTTGTGAGGAATATTGGTATGTTGTTTTCTTTTTAAAAATATTTTTGATTTTGGTATCAGGAAAAAGGTTTATACAATGAACTGGGAAACGTTCTCTCCTCCTCTGTTTCCGAAGGAGATTTTAGAGGATTGGAACTATTTCTTCTGTAAGTGTTTGGTAGAAATCACCCATGAAGTCATCTGGCCTGAAGTTTTCTCTGTGGGAAAGGTTTTAATTATGAATTCAATTTTTTATTTGCTGTATGACTAGTCAGGTTTCTACTTCTTAAGTGTTTGGGCAATTTGTGTCTTTCAAGGAATTTGCCATCTCATATAAGTCTGTTTTGGCAATCTTCTGTGTCTTTCAAGGGATTTGCCATTTTATCAAAGTTATTTAAATTATTGGCATAAAGTTCATAGTGTTTTTCTATTATCCTAAGATCTTCAGTGATGTCCTCTAATCTATTCCTGATAATGATAGTTTTGTCTTTTCTTTTGCCCTTATCAGTCCAGCTACAGGTTTGTCCATTTTATTGATTTTTTCCCCAAATATCCAGGTTTTATTTTATTGATTTTCTCTATTGTTTGTCAATTTTCTTTTATATTGATTTCTGCTTTTAGCTTTCTTATTTCTATTTGTTTATTTATTTTGTCCTGTATTTGTTCCTCTTATTTTTTGTAGATTCTTAAAAAGCTTAGATCAAATGCTTATATCAAACATTTTCATACACTAATTTGAAGCTATAATTTCCTTCTAATTTTGGTATGTATTGTTTTCATTTTTATTCATCTCAAAATATTTTCTGCATATACTCATAAATATCCCCTTTGTTTTAATTATGTCTTCATCATGAACTTTAATATCCTTTAGGGCAAGATGCTGATTACTACATTTTTGCAAAACTTTGCTAGTTATTATCATACATTTGTAGAAAATTTAGGCCATTTACATTTATTTTGATAACTGATATGTGTTGATTTATTTCTACCCTATTATTTAGGTTTTTCTATTTGTCTTACCTCTTTTTCTTTTGATCCTTCCTTGTATCGAATTAATTTTTTTCTCATTCCACTTTTTGTCTGTGATAGTTGGGAGTTATACTCTTTATTTCTATTATTTTAGTGACCAGCTAAAAATTGTAACGTGAACTCATCAAGGCCAAAATTTAATCAATATTTTTACTTATCTCTGGAGCAAGTTAGAATCTTAGAATACTTTACTTCTCATCATCCCCTCAAACAGAGATACTACTGCTATTATATGTTTTAGTTGTATCTTGTTTTGCTTTTTGATTCTCACAAATTGGACTTTCCTTTTATATTATACAATATTTAGATTTACCTTATGTTTACCATTGCCTTTGCTTCTCTTTCCCTTGTGCACGCAGATCTTATCAATTTTTACCTTCCTAAAGTACATATTTTACATGTTCCTTTTGGTGGTGCATCAAAGTGGAGGGACTTTTGGTGGTAAATTATTTCCGATGGCTTGGGAGAAAGTGGAAATCCTAAAAACATCTTTGTTTTACTGTTTTCTTAAAAGAAAACTTTACAAGGTGCTAGTCTCTGTACCTTGTAACATAGACTAACATACTAAGGTATGTTGACAATTATTTTCTGTTAGGTCCTTTGAAAATATCCTAGTGTCTTTGGCTTCCACTATTGCTATGGAGAAGGCAGCTATATGTCTAACTATTATACCTTCATACCTCTTCTGGCTGTTTTTGAGATCTTCCCTTTGTGCTTAGTGTTATGCTTCATTACAATGTATTTAAAGTGGATTTCTTTTTGGTTCTTTTAATGATGTGTTATCCTTAGTGAATCTGATGGATTTTGTCTTTATTCCTTCTGGAAATTTTGCAGCCATTTATTTCCCCTCCTTTATTTCCTCTATTATCTCCTTCAGAATTCTGATTAGGTGTGTTTTATACTATGTCGTTCTTTTGTTCTTTCTTTCTTTTTTTTTTTTTTTTTTTTTTTTTTGACAGAGTTTTACTGTTGTTGCCCAGGCTGGAGTATAATGGCACATCTTGGCTCACTGCAACCTCTACCTCCCAGGTTCAAGTGATCCTCCTGCCTCAGCCTCCCAAGTAGCTGGGATTACAGGCACCTGCCACCACACCCAGCTACTTTTTTTGTATTTTTAGTAGAGATGGGGTTTCACTATGTTGGCCAGGCTGGTCCAGAACTCTTGACCTCAGGTGATCCACCCCCCTTGGCCTCCCAAAGTCCTGGGATTACAGCCATGAGCCAGTGCTGCTGGCCTCATTCTATTTTTCTTCCTTCTAACCTGTCTTTCCCATTTTCACAGATTTCCCATTTTCAATTTCTTGACTTTCTATGATGCTTTCATTAAATTTTTTAGATTAATATTCTACTTCACTAATTCTAGTTTCACTTGTATCTAAAGTCATCTGAGTTTTAACTTCAATTAGCACATTTTTTGTTTATAAAAGTGCTTTCTAGCTCTTTTGAAATCACTCTGGTAATCTTTATAGTCTCATGCTCTTCATTCATAAATTAATTATTTTATGCCTTTAAACATATTAGTTTATATCCAGTATTTTTTATTTCTAAGATGAAAATACAGGACATAAACTAATATTTTTATGTATTTTTTATCTGAGGCATATGTGTGTCTGCTTCTGCAGTTTGGTGTCTCTACTGACTTTTGCTTAAGTTGTTTCTTATATTATTAAGATTTCTGGTCCATATATATTGTTACTATGATCCTGAGCTCATGTTTATTGGGACTTTATCTGTGAAAATTTTCTGGGTTGAGAATAAGTTCCTTCAGATGGGATTTCCATGCTTCTCTCAGCTGGGCTTACTTCTTGCTAAATTTCCAGCTTGTGGTTGTCCACAGTAAGCAGGTTGTGTGAACTTTTGGCCCCAAGTCTGAAAGGGGACTAGCTTATGATTATAAATTGAGTCTTTATGCAGGGATTTCCAGTCTGACTTCCTACATTCTCAGGTCCCATGTTTAGTCCCCTGTCCTCTATTTGACATTAAATTCAAAACTATAAGGGACCGAAAATCAGCAGTGGCCCCCAAGGCAGTTGGATTTGTTCTCCAGTTTTCTTCTTGGCCTCCGAAGTATTTCCTTACATTCTTGCCAGCTGAGCCATATATTTTTAAACATGTCTTTATACTTATTTCTAAGGTTTTTTTTTTTTCTTGAGATGGAGTCTTGCTCTGTCCCCCAGGCTGGAGTGCAGTGGCGCGAACTCGCCTCACTGCAAGCTCCGCCTCCCGGGTTCATGCCATTCTCCTGCCTCAGCCTCCTGAGTAGCTGGGACTACAGGTGCCCACCACGACGCCCGGCTAATTTTTTGTATTTTTTTTTTTTAATAGAGATAGGGTTTCACCATGTTAGACAGGATGGCCTCGATCTCCTGACCTCATGATCCGCCCACCTCGGCCTCCCAAAATGCTGGGATTACAGGCTTAAGCCACCACGCCCGGCCATTTCCAAGGTTTTTATTTGCTTCAGAGCACAAGAATTTTTGTGATATCTAGTCTACCAAATGGCAGGAAATAAAAGATTTCCTAAATCTATTTTTCCCACTAGAATGTTAAGTTGGCCATCCATAAAAAAGTTAGGACTTTTTTGCTCTTTTAAAAAAATTAAATTCAAAGATGAGTTTAATCGTCATCATTGCATTGTTAGTTTTTCTATATAAAGATGGTGTGCCTCTTCATTTAATAATGAATTTCATGAAGTCCATTTATACAAGTGGACTTACATGGGATGTCTTAGTCTATTAATGCTGCTATAACACAGTGCCATAGACATGATGGCTTATAAACGACACAAATTTATTATTCACAGTTCTGGAGACTGGAAGTCTGAGATCCAGGTGCCAGCATGGTCGGGTTCTGGTGAAGGCCCACTTCCTATTGTGGACTGTTGAGTTTTTGTCGTGTCCTCACATTGTAGAAAGTGAGCTAGCTAGCTCACTGGCTGCTGCTTATAAAGTCACTAATCCAATTTATGAGGGCTCCACCCATATGACCTAATTACCTCCCAGAACCCTACCTCCTAATAATATCACACTGAGATTAGGGCTTCACCATATGAATTTGGTACGAACATGAACTTCAGTCCATTGTACCATGTCTATTCTTGAAGATTCCTTTTTGCTCACATTGTTAGGCTTTTTCTAATATTGTCACAGTTCTTAATTAAGCCACGAATTAGAGTGACCTGTTTTCCCTGTTATTAAAAGTTATTTTCAAACATACGAAATAACTAATATTCAGATCATATGATGATATGAACTTTTAAACTATATTCCTAATGTTGGGTATTTAGCTTGATTCCTATTTTTTCACCATTATAAATAATTCTTAATATCTGTATGTGTAAAACTTTGACTATACCTATGTTTATGTTCTTAAGCTATATTCCTGGAAGAGGAATTGTTAGGTAAATGATATGAACATTTTTAAGGCTTTGGATTCTATGTTACTAATTGCCTTAAAAAGTATCGTGGTAATGTGCGCTGCCATTAGCAATGTAGGAGAGTTTCTGCCTCCCTCTAGTCTCTCTAGAATTGAGTGTATATATCTCTACACTTTACTAATTTGATAGGTGAAAAATACATTATTTTTGTCTAATATCAACTCACAAATAAAGCAGGACTTTTTCATGTATTGGCCATGTATATTTCCTACTTAAGAAATGGTCTTGGTGTTAGGGTTTTTTTTGGAGTTGTTAGTGTATTAACTCTTTTACATCATTAGGGACCACAGTGGTTAACTTGTACCATTTGAGTCGGTGTATAGGGACCCCTAAATCCTTTTGAACTTGTGCTTTACATTTTTATTATTCTAACTTTTATTTTGTTTTTAGAGAATTGCGGTAGTTGTGACGACTCAAAATAATGATGAATCTAGAGGGAATTGGCGTATTCATGAAGAGAACTGGGATGCAAAAATAACAGAGTTTAAAGTTTTATTAAATATAGAAGGCATATGAATTACTGTGCTTTATGATACAGTGAAGAGAAGGATAACTTTCTTTGCCCCAAGATGCACACAGACAGGAGAGAGAAAGAGAGGAGAGAAGGTCTACCAGCAATGACATTTGCAAAATGAGTCAATGTCAGGCTTATGGAATATCCAAAGCCTCTGTTGAGCCTACAGAGCAAGGTGGGGTCAGGGGGTTGATTTTCAATGAGTGGGATGGGTAAGTGCATCCCAGGGTGGAAGCAACCCACAGCAGACACAGAAATGCACAGTCTTGGAGAATGACAAACAGAACCCATTCTTGGATCACCGTGAACTTGATGGGTGGCAAATAGAATATGGTATTGGAAGTTTAGGACCCAGCATGTGAGGCTATCCACACCAAAGATTTCAGGCCTCACTCTGGGGCCTCTGAAGGGTTGCTAAGAGAGAAGTGACAATACCTGCATCTGGTTGGCATGAAATCTATGCTTATAGAGCTAATGCTGAAGTCTTATTCTGAAGACGCAGTCCTCCTTTTTAAGGATTACCTTATAAGAATACATCTTATGATCTCAAATCACAAACAAAAGGAATGCATGTATTTTCAGACAATGTTGACTAGGCTAAAATATCACCGATCATTTCAAGCTCAGCTCGATGCTTGCAAATGAGCTTTCTGCTTTTCTCCTGAGTATAGATCAAGTCAGCACACAAGGCATGGAGTCTAGGATTAGTAGAGAAAGGATTGAGAGAGGATTTTTCACATGATATAATTGGATGTGAATCCTTAATTACATTATAAAACTTAAAGCACAAAACTTGGAGTCTCTGCAGCTGAGTTGAATTAGTTTCTCAACCAAAAGAAATTAGAGTACAAGTCAAAAGACTAGCAAAGACCAGAATGCCAAGTATGAAACAGTGTATTTCACTTAGGCTCACCTGCGAAGAATGAAATGCTCTTGGTTTGCCTTTGGCAAGTCCTTTTCTGTTCCTGCCTGGTTCAGAATCTGCTGGCCACAGGCTATCAACCTGGTGAGCTGTTTGTCTTTTATAAAGATTCATTTGTTAACAATTTCATGGAGATATAATTCACACACTATAACTGTCATGCACTGTGTTATTTTAGCCAGCAATATATTCTAGAAGGCAATTTTCTTTAGAAATGCATTGAATATCTGGGTGTTGTGTATTATTCAGCAAGAGTACCTAATGTCCCAAATGCAGATAACTTAAAATTAAGGGTCCCCCAAGCCTAACTCCTTAACTCCTTGTTCCTTAACTCCTTTTCCAGCAGAGAAATTTTCCCAAAACTTGGATTCTTTTTTCCTGCAAGGAAATGCACACTCCTCTTCTAACCTCAGAGAAAGCCTGATCATCTTGTTTTCCCTAATGACACACCAGAGCTTGGTGTCTGGTCTGCATGGCCTGGGAAGCTGATCTGCTGCTTCCTTCCTGAAAATTGCCCTCATGTGGCTGAGCTGGTGGTCATGTCAGAAATGGAAAATGTGTAATTTTAATCCAGGGAAAAGTCATAAGGGCTACTACTAGCTAGTTAGGGAGTAAATGATCTCAGTGACAGTGCAATTGAGCTCTCAGCTTCTCCATTCCCACTCTTCTGCACACCTGGCTTTTGTCTAATTTCCTGCTCACCTGTGCTTCTGTGAAGGCAAGGTGCAGAGAGAGAAGGTGAAGTTGGAATTAGTCAAGTTTGCCATTTAGTTTATACAAGTTTCAGAGTGGAAAAGGGCAGGCCTTGAGGGTCATGTGAAATGGTTCTGATGGAATCTGTACATTTGCATTGTTGCTCATGGCAATTGCTCACTAGGCTATGCTGCACTCAACCCTGCATCCTGCCACCTGTTCCATTCAGCCAAGTAGATTCATAGTATAGGGGCAGAAAAGGAGTGATCCCTTTCCCCTCCCCCTCATAAGAGTCAGGACTGATACCCCTATAACAAAAGAAAGGTTATCAAGACAAAAGCATAGCACATTTATTTAATCCTAGTTTTACATGACACGGGAGTCTTGAAGATGAAGATCCAAAGCTTCATGGAAGCCATCTGATTTTATGCTTAGAATCAGCAAAGTAGAGACAAATGTAGAAATGTGATTGGACAAAAAAAGTATGAGCCAATGGTAATAGACTGGGGAAACCTAGTAAGGACTGTCTGTTCAGACTCGTCTTGGCTTCTCTTTTGTAGCA
This sequence comes from Homo sapiens, assembly GCF_000001405.40. Taxonomy (NCBI): domain Eukaryota; kingdom Metazoa; phylum Chordata; class Mammalia; order Primates; family Hominidae; genus Homo; species Homo sapiens. The sequence continues at coordinate 126,481,969 of NC_000010.11, read as the reverse complement.
TTTCTTCCTCCTAGGTATGGGGTAAGAACCCCTCTGGAATGAGGGTCTTAATTTCTTTATGGTCAGCTTTTACACAGAAAGGTGGGAAGAAGATTAGAGTCATCATTTTAGGCTTTATGGCTGGTCTTTGGGACAAGGCATTCTGGTTTGTGTGGCCCAACTTGGGGAGGAGGTTTTATGGCTGGTCTTTGGAACAAGGCATTCTAGTTTTTGTGACCTGCCCTGGAGGAGGATGAACGGGGAGAGATAGGAGGGAAGGAGAAAGTCAGAAACTTGGCTTCTTCATTTTAGGGTGGTGTTTTCTGAGCCCCAACGCTGGTACCTGCCAACATGGTGGCCCAGCTAGTGGGAGCCAGGCTTCCAACAACCTCCTGACACAGAGGGAATGGTGCAAGAAAAACAAAGGGCCAGAGAATGCAGAAATGCCTCTGCCATTTGGGATGTGGACTCTGTCTCAAACCAATTTTTCTTTTGGCTGAATGAAATCCGTGAGGAGTCATCAGTTAAATGATGTGAGTCACTTGACATGAGCCATTAGTTAAATGATGATATAAGTCACTTGACAAATGTTTATTGAGTGCCATGTGTCATCTAGGTGTTGGGCACTGCAGTGAGCAAAAGCAAGGTCCTTGCTGACATGGAGCTTGCTATTGCATAGATGCAAATGGACAACAGATAGACACTTCCAAGTGAGATATTTCAATGGTGATAAGAGCTTGTGTAGAGCACTGAAGTCAGATGATGTGATTGGGCTGGCTACTCATTGGCTCCTTTAGATGGGTGGCCAGGGAAGGCTTCTCTGATTGACATTTCAGCCAAGATCTGCAGATGATGGAAGGAGCCTGTCTTGTGACACTGGAGAGGACAAAGGAACAGCTGGCAAAAAGCCTCTGACATGGCACAAGAATGAAGCTGGCACATTCAAGGGATGAGACCAAGACCAGTGGGACTGCAGAGCAGAGGGGCAGAGAGGGGACACCTGGGCTCATGGAGGTGAGCAGAGGCCCGATCACACCAGGAGGAGTTTGCGATTTATTTTAGGTGGGAGGAAAAGCCATCAGAGAGATCTAAGCTGAGCATTACCATAACCTGACCTACATTCTCAAGATCTCGGGTGAAGCAGGAAAGTCAACAAAGCAAGAGAGTCCACCTAGTGAGTGGTACAGGTGGGGATGGAGAGAGTATAGTTGCAGGGATGTTTCAGTTATGCAGAATTAGTGCTTGCATATGGATTCCATGCAGAACATAGGGAAGCAGGGGTTGACTTAATGCCTAGATCTGGAGGTAAAGAATTCATTGAACTAAGGGATGTGATGGTTAAGGTTAGCACAGGTCCTAATCATTAACTGATCATTTTCAAATGCATGTGACAGTGGGCAGGCCGCTGTATGTTCACCAGTCCCTGGGGACAACCTTCATCTCCAGGCAGAGACTGATGTGCCTGAAAGCTCCCAAGCTCTGGGCCAAATGGTACATGGAGGTATAGCCGTGTTTAAACATGCCTGTAAATTCAAGCAATGGGAAAAGTGCCCTGAACCATGAAATGGTCCTACATGGAAAATTAGAATGTTAAAGCCAACAGAAGACTGAGCAAATTTTGCCAAATTAGAAATTACTATATTTACATGAGACAAAGCAGAACAGAGCTTTATTTTCAGTTGCTTTTTAGTGACATTTTGAGTTTGGCCCACAGTGTTACTTGCATTTTGAGTGGTACTAACATTTTATCACACTTTAAACGTTACTGTAAAAGTATGTTTGTGTTTTTAAGTGTGATTTTATTATATCCAAGAGGCACCTTTTTATCTTGGCCATACATAATCACAAGTGAATAATAAAAGTCTTTAGGAAAATAAATTTATCTTTTTAAAAATATTCTTCCCAGTAAAATTTTCTGGAATACAGATCTTTTGAACCAGAATGCAGTACTCCACTAGCCAATAAAAACCTTTCAGTATCCTGGTCATCAAAGAAAAGATGGGATATATTTTTCAAGGGATAAAAAGAGCATTACTTAAACTGTGTCCATGTAAGAAATTGAGCAAGATGTCATGTTATCCCACATCGAAACCAATTTAATGACAAGTAACCAGTCTGCTATTATAATCGAGAAGGAACTGGATGTCTTGGGCAGTGAATCTCTCTGGTTCCTTTTTGTTTATGTTCTTAAAATCCCAAATAGAAACAATACATATGTTTTCCTTCTCTGCATTTTATTTTTAGAAAATCTGGAAAATGAAATGCCTTCAGTTCAGCCACATGACTTCCATTAGCCTTAATGGGAGAAAGGCGTCTTCATGGAGGAAAAGAATAACCCCCATGTGTATAAATAACAGCAGGCCTGTAACCATGGGGAGGCCTTGCTGCCATGCCTGTTGTCAGCTGCGTCCTGGAGGGGGTGGGTCCTGCCCAACTCAGACTCCCATTCAGGATGAGTTGGGATTGAACAATCAGGGCCTCGCAGGAGCTCAGCGCCCAGGAGCACCTTCTCTGGCCCAGCTCCTCGCCCTCCGGATCTGGGATGGGCAGGCTCTGCATGACTTACCAGAAATCCCATGCCATTTGGACTGAGCCCCCTTCTTACTGGATTTTCTTCCCCAACTCCAAAGTGTATACCAGTGTGACCCTAGAGCTTGTCCCATTGACTGGTCTTTTCTGATAAATTTGTGCAATTGTAATTCATTTCAGTTCAACCAGCATGAACCTGAGCCCCAGCTCCATGGGAAGCCCATCAGGAGGACCGCCCACATTGGAATAACGCACAGCCCCTTCCCTCAGTGCTTGCAGACTTGTCATAGAAGGGTCCAGACATTCTTATTCACTGCTTGGCCTTGGACAATTATGTTCTTTTTCTCCTCACACCCTGCGGTACAGCGGGAGTTCAGCACAAATCTCACTATATGCTTCTCAGCCCCATTCCCCACCCTAGTGCAAATTTTGGTGTCCAGATGAATCTGACCAAGGTGTTTAAGGGCATCTTTGAAGGTGAGAAGAGAGAGTATGCTTGTTCCAGCAGGGAAGGGCACAGAGGGGCAGAGGCTGATGTCACCCCCGCTTCATTCCTGTTTTGCATTTAAAGTTCACTGAGCATCTCAGATCTCCTCCAGTTCCTGCAGGCAGCTCCATATCCTTCTCCCCTGTTCCCCAGGGGACACAACACAAGAAAGGAGTTGGCACATTGAAAGGACAAGACCAAGGCCAGGGGTGTTGGACAGCAGAACCTCCTCCCCCAGCACGCTTTGGTTTGTTCCAGTCAAAGGACAGCCCTTAGCTCACCCTCCGAGATGGTCACACCCCTAACTCGCATCAATCTTCATCTGGCCTTCATCCAGTGACTCTGGCAAAAAGGGCAGGAAACAGCCATCTTTGAGCACGGGGGTGAGAGGTGGGTCAAAGATTTAGCAAACGGGCTTCCTGCCTTTCTGTATCATCTTGTGTGTATATATTTTTTCTTAGACTTAAAATAAAGAACAAAGTCTATGTCACTTACAGATCCCCTGTTTAAAGTCGTGCCTTAGCTATGGGCCATCCTAGGGCTGAGTCAATTATAACAAAGGCTCATGTTTGTGCACTGCATTGTTCTTGTCGCATTTTCCAGTGGTCCCATTTCTCCCTCCTGGAGCAGGATGGCGATCAGCCTGTGATGTAGATGAGGAACTTGAGACCAGATGGATGGAGTGACCTGTGCATCGTCACCCACTTAAAGGGTGGCAGAACCAGGTGGGAATAGGTCCCAGTTATTTATTCAAGGATTCCAAGTTATTCCAAGGGCCTGTATTCCAAGTTACTTCCAATGCCTTCTGTCTTTCTCAAATGATGCCATGTCACAAACCAACCATAGGTCCCAGTTATTTATTCCAAGGATCCCAGGTTATTCCAAGGGCCTGTATTCCAAGTTAGTTCCAATGCCTTTCGTCTTTCTCAAACGATGCCATGTCACAAACCAACCACCCTGAGAGATTTTATTCATGCTCTCGCTGGGGGACTCTGCCAGGGGCGTGAGTCAGCAGAGCTGGGCTTGGTGGGATTCTGAGCAGCTGATGACCTATCTCTCCAACAGATTGATGGGAACTACACCATGATCAGATGTACCTGGGTGCTTTAAGAACTACAGCACAGGATTTTACAGATATGTTTATGCCATTTCTGGTGAATCAACAGATGCAGAGATTGTATGTATGGCAGAGCTGCTGAAAAGTGACTCAACTATATAAAAAACTCCTATTCCATGAGGAACTTTTTAAATCTACCACAAATGACCACTTTTAGAAACATTGCATGTTTAGGCTTAGGGAAATGGAGCAAAAACTGTACAAAGAGCTACTAGTACCCCTGGCCCTGCTTCCCTAATGCTAACATGTAAGATGTTAACAATGACCATTCTTTTGTTTTTTTCTTAAAGAAACAAGCAAATGCAACCTAAAGACCAGCTTCCTGAAAACTCACTTTTTAAGGGGATCTGTACTTGCTCTAAAAAAGATTTCTTTGAAAAGTGTCAAGGCAAAACACAAAGGAGTGTGGCAGGTACCACGTAGACCCAGAGGGTGTGAAACGTGGCAGGCCTATCTTCCTAAGAGAAGCTTTGGGAAAATTTGACTGGGGTGTTCTGAGGTTTAAAAGCCCAATGAAAAGAAATCAACTATCTTTTTTTTTTTTCATGTTCTTTAAAAATATTGAATATTCTGACCCAAAAATGGGGAGAAGGTCTGGGGAAAAATTGTGCACATCCCACAGTCATTCCACATAATTCATAGCCAGTGGTGTGAGCTTAAATAAAACAACACTCAGCTGTATTCACTGAGCACTTAAAAATGTCACAAGTTTGCCTTCTCCACATTGCTCCAAAAATCCAAAAAAAAAAAAAAAAAAAAAAAAAAAAAAAAAAAAAAAAAATTAGCCAGGCGTGATGTTGGGCACCTGTAGTCCCAGCTGCTGGGGAGGCTGAGGCAGGAGAATGGCGTGAACCCGGTAGGCGGAGCTTGCAGTGAGCCGAGATCATGCCACTGCACTCCAGCCTGGGCGACAGAGCGAGACTCCCCCTCAAAAAAAAAAAAAAAAAAAGGAAAATGGTGATACATTGATTTTCCAAAAGAAATCCCTCCCTTCTTAGGGTGTAAAGGAAGTGCTTTTCCTAGGTACAAATATTCACGGTAGCTTTCAAGAAGCAGTTAAGCATATTTCTATTTTCTATACCTAAGTGGTCTCAAGGGGCAAAGCCATAAACCAGATATGTTTTGTTTCTTATGAGTTACTCTCAGCGAAGAGAAATAACTCCGGAAGTCCGCGTTAAATGGGAGTGATTAGAAAGCGGAGCATTTGTCTGGTGCCGCAGCACCTGTTTATTGCATTGAGAAATGGTCGTCATTTGGGGAGGGACTCGGCAACAGAAGGATATTAAATGTCTAAGCCTCGCAGTCACAGGAGACGGAGGCAGAGAAAACCAGCTGGGGTCAGTGTCGCCTTCCTTGCATCCTGCCTGCGGCCTGGCCTGCACTGACGCGGGCTCCTTTGGTGGCTTGATTTATTCTTAGTGACTATTTTCATGTGGCATGTGCTTCTCTTCAGAGGCCCTAGGGACTGTCTCCAATTCTGATTGTCAAAAATAGTTCTTCAAAGGGCGCAGTATTCTTAGAAGGAGATGCACACAGGGCCACGTGTTTCCAGCTGAGAATTTGGGTTGATGTGATTGAGGTTTGCAAAAAGTGTCTGAGAAAACCAGAGAGATGATGTCAGCCGGGCTAGGAAGCGCTTCCAGCGGCCCCAGGAGCGCTGAGAAGTGGAACTCGGGGCCTTTTCCACGGGAATCCTGCAGCCTTGGAATTCACTTCCTTTCCTGACATGGAATCCTCTAAGATATTTATATCTTCCTAAAATGGGGTTTCTAGATCTTGTAATGGAAATGAGGGTCTGACGGGGCTGGAGGGAGGAACAGGACTGACCTGACCGGGAGAGGCAGGAAGTGGAGGTATTTTGTGCGAGGTAAGCCTGTCTGCTTCCTGGCCCCAGCCCACAAAGCACCAAAACCATGGATCCCTTAGTCCTGAAAATACGTTTGGACGTTGAATACGTATCAAAAAAACATATTAGAAAGGGGATTCTGTGATCAGAGCTCTCAACAGTAATATAAAACCTCTGATTTTGTAACTCCTCCTTAGGCCTACTGTTTGGTCATATATATTTCACATTTCAAATTGACTCTTCAATTTTGTTCATTTCCTTCACAACTCAGCATGAAATCAACCCATTTCTGGCTTAAGTCCCATGACCATGAATTAAGGTTAAAGATTTGCTTCTTCCAGCACCTAATGATCTCCATCTTCAACTTAATTAAGTTATTAAGTTTTGCCAAGCATACTCATATGCCCATTTGCTACTCATTTTTATAAAGAGGGGAAAATGTAGTATATGTTCAAATTATTGCCAGGAAACAGCTGTCCAAACAAGAATGACGGCCATGCTAATGATGAAGGCGGCGTCCTGAGCAGGAGGCTGTGGTGAGTCGATGTGCCAATATTCAAAATCGATGCATGGAAGTTGTTGTAGGGGGATATTCTAAAATGTAGGAAAGTCAAGATTAGGAACATCAAGATCTGCTTGTGTGTGGACCATCCTGGGGCTTAAGCCTAAGCATGAAAATAGTTGAGGGATGATTAAGGCCTTAATTTGGTATCCATGAGCCCTCACTCACTGATCTAGCTGGGGCCCTCCCTAGACTGCCTGCAAGTTTTAGTCTCATTCAAGATGTTTTGTGGCTTGCTGCCTTTTGGCTTTCAAAATAGTTCTCTCCACGTCCCTTTGACCAGGCTCATTAGCTCAAAGACTCTCCAGGGCTCTCTCAGCCAGCTCCCACATGTTGGATATATTTGTTTGGTGATTTGGACTGCTCAGCACAGGTGACATTCACTGCTCAGTGCTGGAGTCAGAATTGATTATCTGAAGGATCCCACCTGGTCTGCCCAAATGCAAATCAAAATGATGTCCATTCCTTCTATGGAAGGGCCATTATTCCCCACTGGCCTCACCCCTCGTCCTTAGATCTCTGCGGCTTGCCCTTGGCTTACTTGCTGACAGAGGACAAAGCAAATGAGCCGATGATGTTGGGGGAGGCCTGCAGGCCATCTTGTAAGCCCCATCAGAGTGGAATCCTCACAGGGGAATGGCTGAATTGCAAGTTACGTTCAGATGTGGCTTTGTCAGGCGTTGCCAAAGTTCCCTTGTTTTACAAGCCACATTGAAAATCTTTTTCTTTTAAAAGATAAGTTAAGTCCATTCACATTTATTGATATGACCGATGTTTGGTGTCAACATTATCATAATTTAATAATTATTTTTATTTTTCATACTTGCGATATTTCTTTCCAAGATATGTATTCTTTGCTATATATGCATTTACATCTGTTTATTTGTTTTGGTATTTAAGAAGGTTTGTGTTTTTGTTCTAGCAGATACATTTGTACTTACACTATTTTAAATTTCTGTAGTCCTTTTTCTGAGAGTAGTTGAAGGACAGGAAAGAAGAAAGCCAGGCTGACTGTAGGAGTCCTTAAATTGTTTGTTCTTATTCTTGTTCTCTTTCTGGGAACCTGATGGGATTGCACACCTGCCACCCTGACATTAATGGTTGATGTAATCCTGAGTGAGGTGACTCGTCTAGAGTGGAGACTTGATGGGCCAGCGCGATGATCCATTCCATCCACTCCTTTCAGCACCCGTGGTCATGGAGGCAGATGGAGCCTCCTTGACCTTCCTGAATGACCATGATGGGCAGAGACCCCCGGGCTTGCACAGGCCATGTAACAGGTCCTGCTCCTCAGATGTGGACATGCATGTGAACCACTTGGGAACTGGTTACAATGCAGATTCGGATTCAGTGGCTCTGAGGTGAGGTCTCAGATTCTGTGTGTCTAGCAAGTTCCTGGGCATGATCAATGCTACTGGTTGGTGTACCACATTTTTAGTAGCAAGTCACTGTGCCACCAAAATCTGCTTGCTTTTGTTCTTTGTTTCTTCACTGCAATGAAACCTAACCGTGTGGGTCTCAAAGTATGGTTCCTGGAGCAGTAGCATCAGCATCACTTGGGAACTCAGAAATGAACATTTCTGGGGCTCACTTCTGATATACTAAATTGGAAACCCCAGAGTGGGCCCAGCAATCTAAGTTTTAACAAACATGCCATGTGATTGTGCTCTATGCTACCACGCATCTGTCTACTCTTATACCTTGATAGATCAATTAGGACTTGTGTTTAACTCTGAGTAACTAGATACTCAAAAAGCAGTGGCTTAAAAATGTAAGAGCGTATCTATTGTAAAAAAAAAATAAAAATCCAGAGGTGGGCAGCCTGGGGGAGGGTATGGCTTTGGAACCTGACTCCTTCCTTTCTATTTCCTTTAGGTGTGGCTCTCATTATTATGTTCATAAAGTAGTTGCCAGGACTCCAGCCTTCACATCCACATCCACACTAAATACTGTGTGGACCATCTCCTCTCAAGACCTGTTCAGTTCTCACAAAGGACTTTTTCTACTTATATCTCACTGGCCAGAGCAGTGGCCTACGATGCCAAAATGTTTTTAGCTAGGACCATTGCCATCTTGAACAAAATGGGGGTTTTCTAAGTTAAAACAAAAAACCAAAAATGGATATTGGTTAGGCAACCAGCTGTGCCTGACAACAGAGGTGGTGGGGACTTGAGGGCTCAGTGATTCTGAGTAATAGGCATGAACAGAGTAGCATTCTGTGAGCTGGAAGAGTTAGTGGATGTAGTCAGAGAGTAGGAGCCTTTAATCTACAAACTCAGAGCTGAAGCAGCTGTGGTTGTAGGAATGTGGGGCTGGTGTGGAGATGATGGCCATTGGATGTAGGAGGCATGAGGGCAGGAATTTTGTTTTTTCACTGTTGCATCCCAAGTGCCCTATAACATTTCCTGGCACATAGTAGTTACTCAATAAATAGTTAAATTGAAGAGAAGTCAAAAAATTTATTTGAGGGAGCAGGAGAAACCCACAAAAAAACTTTGTTTCCTCCTTCCCTGGAATGCTAAAGGCTCAGTACCCTCAGATGAGGGTAGTAGGTTAAAAGTCTGACATGGAAGCCACCTCCCTTCTTCACTCATGCACATGCACACACGCAGACACACACACACACATGCATGCTTGCGTGCACGTACATGTCCAGTAATTCTGGGGTGACCATCTGGTCCTGAGCAGACATTTCACTCTGTGGGGACCTTGGTCAACATTCCTCTATGCTGTTCCCTTCAACGCCTGGAAGATTACCTTGATTTTTTTTTCTTCCAATTTTTAACATGCAGCATTGCCTGCTTGGTAATTGTCAGAGTACCCAGGAAAGCAAGAATGGGAGGAGACATGAAAGCCTGCTGAAACTGCTAGGCGCCAGGAAAGGAGAACCATCAACAGCAAGGAGCCCACCACCCAAGTCCACTCCCAAACAGGCATGTCTCGATGAACCTGTGCTGTTATGTGTCAGTGGGTATGAGTATGAGAGAGGGTGACCCACTTGAGTTACAAGCTGTATCCAAAGTGGAAATGAAAGAAATGAAGGAAAAAGCTCATATATTAATGTACTAGAAATATGTCGTAGCTCCCAGAGACAAATACCGTGAGCATTTTGGGGAGTGTCAGATTGTCAGTATTTTAATTTTTAATACTTTTCTATAGGTCAGGTTTTCTTTACAGTGATCATTTATTGCTTTTATACTTTAGAAAAAGATTTTTTAAATGGAAATGTCTTAATGAAAATAATTATTACTTCAAAGGGTCACTTTGGGAAACTTTAGCAGTAAGTTTTAAGAAAAGCTTAAAGTTATGTTTCTGTGTGCTTCCAGAATCTGAGCCATGCTTTGGGGATAAAGGACTGTAGGGTAACTGATATTCTGGGACTCTACTTCCTGAAAGGAAGGTAGAAAGATGTGATCTAATAATTAATTGAAACTTGTTTCTGTTGATCATGTTCGCAATGTAGTCGAAGTAATCTTGTTATTAGGAAATGGGCATGAGTGTGTGCACGTGTGTGTGTGTGTGTTTTATTTCTGCCTTCCAAATAGTTTTGTTACCTTTTAAGACTTCTGTTCATCAACCTGAAAATCTCTAGGTTTATGACATTATTGGAATAATCATAACTAGCTAATAACAGAATAATAATGAATAACTAGAACTGGCTAGTTATCCAGTCCTTTCTATATATTCTTTGTGTGGGTAGATATATATATTCCTACTTTGCAGCAACTACATGTGAGTCTTTACGTCAAATGAGAGTTGCCTGCACAATTGCCCACATGGTACCTTGAAACTTGACACTAGAACAATAACATTGAATATGCTGGGATTTTTTCCTTTTTCTCTGAATACACAGGGTGCTTCTGATCACTGAATTTGCATAATAGTATCCTAACACCCTATTGACATCTTAACTATGTTTCTCCCTTCCTGACCATCTGCCCAAGCTCCCAGAAGAAGGAAGGCTTTTCTCACATATCACTACCACAGTTTACAAGTCAGTCTGATTTCTTGGTCATCAGCCCCTCTGCCCCTGAGGTCTGCAGCTTTAGGGAGAAAAGGTTCTAATGGTTGACGTTTATAGCAGAAGAAATCTGCTTACTGTCTAGAAAGGCATTTGTAGGAAGTCTGGTTTTCTGGCGAGGAAAGGCCCCCTCCATGTCTGCTTCCTCCAGCCCCGCTGTTGCCTCTTCATCCCTGCGGGTTGATTTTCAGGTTGGCTGTCCTCCTTGGCATTCCCATTCCTTCTCTCTCCTTCCTTTTCCCAGTGGCGCCAGCTCCAGCTCTGCTTTTGCTGTGGATCATCTTTGTGGGTAACGCAGCTCACTGCTTCCATCCTCTCTGCCGGGAGCTGTTTATCCCATTTGCTATCCGCCTCCTCCTACCTTTTTTGACTCCCTTCCTGGGCTGCAATGCCACTACATAGAAATTGAACAGAAATGTGCTGAAACAATTATCAGTTGATTTTAAACAGAAGTCTGGATGCGGTGAAATACAGAGATACCAAATGGAGACCCAATCCCACGTGAGGAAATAGAGTTTTAACCTGCAGACAAAAGTTGAAGCCTTAACCAGAAAAAAAAGCAGAGAAAATATCTACCAGTCTTGTCCATCTAATAGGCTTGTTCTGTTCTGTTTTCTTTTCTTTTCTTCTCTCTCTTTCTTTTCTTTTTCTTCTTCCTTTCTGTATTTTTTTTTTTTTTGAGACAGAGTCTCGTTCTGTCACCCAGGCTGGAGTGAAGTGGTGCCATCATGGCTCACTGCAGCCTCGAACTACTGGGCTCAAGTGATCCTCCCATCTCAGCCTCTAGAGTAGCTTGGACCACAGGCACATACCACCATGCTTGGCTAGTTTGTTTGTTTGTTTGTTTGTTTTTTAGTTTTTAGTAGAGTTAGGGTCTTACTATATTGCCCAGGCTGGGCTTGAACTCCTGCACTCAAGCAATCCTCCAGCCTCAGCCTCCCAACATGCTGGGATTACATGTGTGAGACACCATGCTCAACCTCTTGTTTTTTAAAAGGCCACAAATTAACTTGACTTTCTTTTATTTCATCTTCCACATATTGTAATTGGAGGTGGTTTTGGGTTTTCTCTCTCCTTTGAAAGGAAAAGAATAAAGCAAACAACACTTGCTTGAAAAGCTGTGCGATTGGAGTACCCATTGTTACTGCCTCTTCCTTCCTCTTTCATGGCCTCCATGTCCATGGATTAGCATGCATCATGCAGAAGAATGCCTTCCCTCCTCCTCTGCAGCATGCAACATGCAGAAAAATGCCTTCTCTCCCTCTGCAGCATGCAACCTACAGAAGAATGCCTTTTCCTCCACTGCAGGACACAACATGCAGAAGAGTGCCTTCCCCCCTGCAGTATGCAACATGCAGAAGAACACCTTCCCTCCTTCTCTGCAGCATGCATCCTGCAGAAGAATGCCTTTCCCTCCACTGCAGGACACAACATGCAGAAGAATGCCTTCCCTGCCTCCGCAGCATGCAACGTATTTATTGCATGCAGAAGAACACCTTCCTTCCCCTCTGCAGCAGCCTCTCGCTTGCCAAAAGGAGACAGCAAAGGAGAGTCCTCAACTCACCTGCAGGCGCCCATGCAGAGTGGGTGTTCAACAGACACCCAAGCCTGCCAATCTCTCTTAACTGGTTTCCAGTTAGATGCTGTAGTTATAGAGCTTGCTGGAAGAGAACCCAGGTGAGAGGAAGAGGTGAGACACTACATATAAAATGCAGACCCGAGAGCTTTGCAAAGGTGTTGAGGGCAGAAGGCAGTCTGGGGCTGTTTAGGTTCATGGCAAAGAGCATTAGGGCTTTTAGGAGATGCTGAGGGCCACCCTGCAGCTGAGTTGAGAAATTGATGTTTATGTTGATGGCCCAGAGACAATGACACAAGCTTGGGTTACTGGAACTCTTAAGACACAGTTGGTTGTAAGATGGCCCAGATTCTGCAGGGAGAAAACGTCACCGCCCAGAACATCAGCATGTGGAGGAAATGTGTGGTTTACACTCAGGGAGGCCTGCTTTGTTCAGAGAGGTCTTTTTGGTTGAGTGGTTGGTTGAAGTCTGTTTTAAGAGGGCAGGAGGCTACACAGAGCTGTGACCCAAAACCTCAGAGACAATCTTTCCCTTCCTGAGTGAATGAATGTTCTAAAGAGCTAAGTTTCATCTTCAATACCAGAATGCCTTTAACACAATTTAAACTAATCTGGATATAAATGATTCTAATGTGAGTTCTGTATGTCATTTACCTACCTTGGCTATTAAAATTCCCTGGGCAGCTGTACCCTCCCGGCTCGTGTGTCTGCTTTTCATAGTTTTCTTACTCTTCCTTTGAGATGTGACTGACAGTCTTGCTGTTGTACTGGTTTCTCTCCTTAGCAACCACTCATGCTTTCTGATTTTCTACTGTGCCAAAATTGCCACAGTTATGAGACTGTGTGCATGTAGGGGGCCACTGGCTCAACAGGGGCTCATATAAGAACATCGAAGATTTGTACATTTGGAGAGATAATAAAGTATCTTTTTTCTATCAGATTGGCTTGTGGTGACATTTTCTGGCCAATGGAGGTAAAATGTCTTGAAAGAGACCCATCTTTTTCTCATATTGTCCTAAGGACCTGCATGGGCTGGTGGTGTCCCCACCTAGCCCAGATGCATGCCTCTTCTCGGCTGTTCTTGATGATGTGTCATTGAGGTCCTTGAAATTCCGCCACCCCCAGTCCCTGCCCTGCATGGGTTTCCACAGGGCTCACATTTCACTGCAGAATGTCCTGCTTCAACTTATCCCTAAGGCCTGCAGTTGAACTTGGTGAGGTCAGGAACAGAAAATCCAGACCAGCCCACTCCCCTGGTGCTACTCCTGCCTGCCAGCATGCCCGGACACATGCCAGCCCTGCCTGATGCCAACCGTGATCAGTCCCTGGTGTCCAGAACTCATTCATCCCTTGCTACTTTCTTCCCCAGAATCAGGTCCCATAAACTCACATGAAAGCTATGGCCCAGCCAACCTGCTGAAGCCTCCTCTGGAAGCTTTTATCTAACAGATACAATGATGTCCTTACCTTAAAATAGCTAGCTTTTGGCCAGGCGCGGCGGCTCACGCCTGTAATCCTAGCACTTTAGGAGGCCAAGGCAGGCAGATCACGGGGTCAAGAGATCAAGACCATCCTGGCCAACATGGTAAAACCTCGTCTCCACTAAAAATACAAAAATTAGCTGGGCGTGGTGGTGGGCATCTGTAATCCCAGCTACTCAGGAGGCTGAGGCAAGAGAATTGCTTGAACCCGGAAGGCGGAGGTTGCAGTGAGCCAAGATAGTGCCACTCCAACATGGTGACAGAACGAGACTCTGTCAAAAAAAAAAAAAAAGCTAGCTTTGTGCTTGCTAGTCAGAATTTTGATATAAAAACATATTGGTTAAGGGTACCTACATAGGTGGGAAAATTAAGAGACAAAAAGAATGTGGAGTAACCCACAGTTGAGGTGAGTGGTCCTGTCTCGTAGAATGTGGGTGGGTGCCATCCAAGAGTAGCTCAGATGTCTGAAGCCCAGGAAATATTCCAATTCTTAATCTAGGAGGTAACTTTGTGGGTGCTCTGTTTAATATCTTTACATTGTAAATATAATGGATTTTGCAATAACAGAAGGAATTTACAACTGTTGGGCAGAATATTTTGGTTGGTTTTTTTCACTTCCTGCTGCATAGCTTAATTCTGGGATAATCAAGTTTGTGAGATTATTGCGCTACGGCATGTCAACCAATGTGGGAAAAGGGGATATGGGGAATGTTTCTGTTTAAAGGACATTCATGATGGCCTAGCCCTCTCCATGTGTCAGACTCAGGACGGGGGCTTTAAGCGCCCGTCCAGTGAATGGAAATGCCCGGGATAAGTGGCTTCATTGGCAGGCTGCTCTCGAGATGGCCAGATCCTGCAGTGACTGTGGGTCCTCAGTGGGGTGATGCAGTTTAGCATGTTGGGCATGAACTGAGAACTCTCAGCCCACTCGGTCCCACTCGCACGTGGAGTGCATGGGAGGAGAAGAGCACACATGCCGCCTTGTCCTGCGAGGGCCCACCTGAGGGTGACTGCACAGCTGACGATTGTACGTTTCAGAATGCATGAAATGAGACCTGATCAATCAGTAGTCAGAAAAGTCCTTCTTTGGCTGCATATTTCTTTTCTCCAGTACACTAAGCACCTTCTATTTTCTCTGAGTTGCTTTAACTCTTCCAAGTCACAGCCTGAACATCTGACTTACACAAGCTCATTCACATAAAAATTTACAATAAACCAGAGATAGATAGATAGATGATAGATAGATTAAAATATTGGCCAGCTGATCTCTGTAAATCTATAAATAAATACATTAATTTAAAAAATCATACTCCAGGATGGATCCATATCACCTGGCAGATTGAGACTGCATCACTGATAACTAATTTGGTTTTTGATTCTGTCAGAGAGCTTTAATAAAAGAAAGTGATGTATGACTATTGTCAGACTTTTCCTGTCTGTAATATTTTGTACTTAAACAGAACCAATGTTTTGAAATAAAAGTTTGGAAACATATTTTCTGTACAATTTAGCAAAGCCAACTTTATAATAGGTAGTCAAACGTCTCCAAATGACAAAGGCTGATAACAGTTTCTTTCTTTTTGGTACTTTCTATGTATCCAACACTGGGGCCTGCAGGTACTTTGGACCTACATTTTGTTTATTTGTGCATAAGAACATGGAAAGCTGGGTTTCTTCCCCTCTTGGTGAATAAGAAAATTGATGGCTCTCAGGTGGCCTCACCTGTGCTGGATCCCATGTCCAGGAAGGTGCTTTGGGGGCCCTCTAGCCCCAGACTTTTTGCTCTTCCCTCTGTACTACACAGCCTGGCCCCACCCCACACAGCCTGCTTCCACTGGCTGGAGCAGGGGGCACTCCAGGACAGAGGGTGTGGAACAAATTGCAGACTTCTGAGAAATTGATGAGAGGGGTTGGTAGTCATGAGCTCAATTCCTTTTTATATGTAAGACATTTGAGAAAATACAGCAAGAATATTCTTTTGTGTGTGTGTGTGTGTGTGTTTGTGTGTGTGTGTGTGTTTTTAGTAGAGACGGGATTTCACCGTGTTAGCCAGGATGGTCTCGATCTCCTGACCTCGTGATCCACCCGCCTCGGCCTCCCAAGCAAGAATATTCTTATAACTTTTGTTATTCCAGGGATTCCCAATGTGTTTTTTTCTGTCCCAACACACAGGAAGGCTAGGACGCATTCCCACTGGCAGCAATGGTGGGGCCATTTCTCTTGGGTGGCATCAGCATGGGGGGTTGAAAACATGGTGCAGTCCCTCCCTTACTTAAAAAGAGTAGCTCTTTAAAAAACGTATAGGGCATTCCAAAATAAAAGAGGTTTAAAAAAATCAAGAGTACAAAATGGATGGTGAAAAGAAAGCCTGTCTTCCACTCCCAATTCCTAGTGTTACATTGCCCTCTCCTGAGACAACAGTCTCCCACATCTTCTCTGTCCTTTGAGAGATTTCTGAGTCTAAAAGCATTTACTGGGGAAGCACACTGTCCTGCATTTTGCTTTGCTCATTAGATAATGTATCTTACAGATTAACCCACATCCACACAAGAGCATCTGCCTCATTCTTTTTAACCATTGCAGAGCATGAATGTACCATAATTTATTTAATTAGTCCCCTATCAATGGACATAGGGTGGTTCCCAGGCTTTTGATAGTACAACATGGAAACAAGTGACATGTTGTACACGTCTTTAAACCCACTGCTTTATTAGAGCTATGCACGTTGACCCGATAAATTGTTTCCTATCTCTGTATTCGCCATAGTACGTAACTCAGCACCAATGCTTCTGCAATAGTAATCATAATGAACATTTATTCAAGCTGACTGTGCATCAGGTACTGTGCTAACCACTCTACATAAATTACTATTTCATGATAACATTACCTCAATTTTCATATTTGAGATTTATATAATAATATAGATATGTTGTTATATACAATATAATCATATAAATTATATAAAAGATATAATTTGTTATAGAAATAAACTGATTACAGAAACCTAAATAATATAATAATAAATAATTTAATATTAGTCCATTATATTATTGCCTTACCTCAATTTTATAGGTGAGGCTGGAAAGTTTAAATGTAGCAGAGGTGGGATTTGAACTCAAGTACTCTGGCCCCAGAATCAAGGTGCTAACTCACTCTATTGCTCACTGCAGATAATGTAATATGAGCTCCTAAGGACACCACCAAGCACAGTCTCTTTCAAGCCCAATCCAAGACAGCACTGTATACAGATGGCCCTCCTAACTGAACTTGCAGTGCTGTACTCCCCCCCAAGTCTGTCCCGAGAAAAGCACCATGTGCGGTAGAAGTCAGTACATTAGATTGGATTCATAAGAGATTTTGAGCACAACTCTCGTTTTATTTTTAGTACACACAAAAGTATTTTCTGGAAGCAGCAAGAGGCAACAAGGAGAAGTATGTATGACTGTGTCTGCTCCTCCAGTGGAACAGAAGCCCACTAGACATTTCCTTCCCATTGGGGATAGCTCTCCAAGCGATGACTGTCTGTCTAGAGACCTTTCTGAGCCCACAGAGAGACGACATCAAAGCTTCCTGAAACCCAGAATCCTTTTTCCTGGGTTTCTTTGCCCCTTACAAGATGTATGTGCATCTCTGCAGGAAGACAATGGTGTTCAGATAGAAAGCAAGTTCCCCAAAGGTAAGGAGCGAGGGTGGTGGGTGACATCATTTGGTCTTGACATTCGATAAAAATTTGTTGATTGCCTACCTGGACCTCGTGCATACTGTCACCGTTCACCTGATGAAACCTCCCCTTCTCCAACTGGGAGAGCAGAGAGGGGACAAATGGTTGCCAAGTAGGAAGCTCCCAAGCACCCAGGAGGCAGCCCTATGTGGGTCGGGGATTTTCAAGACCACTGTGGGCAAGGCCAGTACTCCCTTGAGGCTGAGAGAAGACCACACCCAGGTGCACAGCAGATTCTCAGGCTCAGCTAAGGAAGGTTGGAGATGCAGGTGTGTGTGGCTGCTCTGAAGGCAGCAGGTCCTCTGGGTTGACTGTGGCCCTGTGACTAACTAGCAGGGATATAATGACTAAGGCACGGGGCTTCCACAGGTCCCCAGCGCTTAACAAGCATGAGACACTGGAACTCACGTGCCCAAAAAGTAGGTCCCAAACTCAGCCTCCCACAGAGGAAGAAACCAAGAATTAGAACACAGTCATCATTTCTCTGGGGATCAAGTTGCTGACCACTACTAAATGGTGCAACAAAGAATGTTATAGAAAGGACACAAGAACACATTGGAAAAACGTCCTGTGGTGCCCGGTTATGTCAGCAGGAAAAATGTACATTTCCTATCATTCTAAAGATGTTCTCAAAGAACTATGGAAAAGGACAGAAAGAAAGATATCAGCTTGGGTTGTAAAATTTAAATTGGTTATGGCAATTATAAAAGTAACAAGTTAATCCCTAGCTTCTCATTCATTAATCGTTTAGAGAAGCATTTATTAAGCACCTACTGTATGCCAGATGCTGTGCTTTATATCCCCTGCCCTCTAGGCTCTCCGTTGGCACAGGAAACGGTCAGCAGCATAGCCGTGTCTGTGTGGTGGGCCATGGGGAAGCCGAGGACGGCCCCTGACACTCAGAGGAGGGACTGTGCAGAGGCATCTTTGCCAAGGAAGTGATTTGAGCAGGAACTTGAAAGTATATTTGACGTTTTCAAATCAGACCTGAGGGCAAAGAGCATTGCAGGCTAAGGGAAAGGCACACATGACGCAAGTGGCTGGGACAGGAGGAACATGGTTGATCTGGGGACCTGCAGAGGGTGGGGCCAGGGCGCAAGGGTTGTGGGGGTGGCAGTGGCTGGCGTGAGTCTGCAGGGGTCACGTGCATCAGGTTGGAAGGCCTTTCTAAACCCACTTAGGAAGTCTGGATTGAAGGCAGAGCCAAGCCTTTGAAGAGGAAGAGACATAATTAGATTTGCTCAAGAGGAAACTACTGCCTCGTGCGCAATGTGGAGGACAGATGGGAGAGGAGCACGGCTGGGGGCTGAGGCCCAGCCGGCAAGGAGAGCGTGGAGTCACTGTGAAGGAGGGGCTGCGGCTGCAGAGACGCTCAGGATCCAGGGATGGGTCTTTGAGCAGTGAAGAGGTGGGAGTGTTAGGGTTGGCCCTTGGGTTTCTGGTTCTGGTGCTGGGGAGAATGGTGGAGAAGGAGGCAGAGAAATTGTGGCTTCCTCCCCTGTGCACAGGGTGAACTAGAAAACATGCTCACAAGAAGACATGGAAACAGTGTGGCAGAAGGCAAGATTAACTCCACAGGACGGGGGTTGGGGCTAGTGTTAGGCCTGAAGGGGCACTGGGAGACGGGGGGTGGGTGGGGCAGAGTAGTCGCTCTTTTCCAGAAGGAACCAGAGCAAATGCTCAGAAAAATGAAAGAGCATGACTGGAAACCTTCTAAGTGGTGTGCTGTTGGTAGAGACTCCAAAGCGACAGCTGCAAGTGGGACGTCTACCATGAACAGCCATGAAAACTCCAGTTGGCTTGGGCTTGTAGGTAATAGGAACTGTGGGTGGATTTTGAGCAGAGGTTGGACAGCTGGCCCAGGAGAGGGAGGACCCAGGCATAAATGGTGAGTTGTAGTTGTTGTAGTCGTTGTAATCATGGAGATGCATCCCACGGACAGGTGAGCCTCCAGAAGGCCACCTCTCCACTCCCCAGAGAATGAGCTCCTTTTGGGCACCTGGTGCTGTGGAGAGATGCAGAGTGGGTATGATATGGTCCAGCCCTCGACGGAGTCATAGGCTTGTGGGGTGAAAGTATGATCTTCCAACCCCACCTGGTGATGGATGCTGCTGAATGAGTGATGTGTGTTCCCTGCAGTGACGTAGCAGAGGCAGGGATGGGTCGTGCCTTGGGAAGGGGAGGGAGACTTTTGGAAGGTTTGGACTCAGCCTGGAGGGTGGGAGTCCACTGGGCAGAGGAATCAAAGGGGCTTTATGGAGATAGGCAAGCATGTGGGTGAGGAGTGAGGGAGAGGCTGCCATGCATTTTCAGAACTGGGGTGGTTTCAGGGTGCTGTGTTGAGGGGAAGGTGCAGTGAGGCAAGTAGTGGGGCTCATATGGGAGGGGTGAGCTAAGGACAGAGTGAAGGACATTGTGTTGCTTGCTGAGTCCAGTAAGTGCCCAGTGAATACTCATTAATCCCCAATCCATCAGAAACTGTCTTGCCTGAGATGCTGTTGGATCCATTCATTTCCTGACCTTTTCCACAAGGGAAAGTCAAAATGGCCCCAGGAAGAGCCCCAAACCAGCCTTGAAAGCGAAGTCATCCCAATTACTTATGCAAAGCCAGTGGTCGTCTCCAGCAAGTGCAGGGGAGGGCTCTATAATTGAATACCAGCGCCCTGTCCTTATATCATCAGTGTAGTAAGTGCTGGGTAGATTAATACACTGTCCCAAAACAACCGAACTGTGATAATTGGACAGGACACACTTAATATGAAGCACTGAATAGAAAAGTTTCTTTTCATTTTGAGCAAAGCCATCCTAACCATCAGAAGCCTACGGAATACCTCCCTGGCATAATTAGCTGGTCCTGAAGTCTGGCTGAATGCAAACGCTCTTCCTTGTGACCAGGGCGGCCGGGGGCTCTGTGATGAGGCATGATCTTGTCAGCTTAACGAGGCCCATTAATAGTCCACTGGCGTTTCTATTTTCAAAATTGTCTTCTGTGTCTAATGGTATTGAGGAGCCACGTGAAAATCACTTGGTGCCCTCTAAATGGGATTCTAAATCTTCTCTCCTAGGAGATTACACATGCTGTGACTTGGTTGTAAAAATAAAGGAATGTAAGAAGAGTGAGGACCCCACCACACCTGAGCCCTCCCCAGCAGCACCCTCGCCAGCACCCCGCGATGGAGCAGGGAGCCCTGGCCTGTCCGAAGACTGTTCTGAGTCTCAGCAAACGCCTGCAAGATCTTTGACCTTGCAAGTAAGGCCTTCTGTGTGTCCTGGCTTGATTCCTGCCAAAGGGAGAGATTTCCTAGGGAGTCCGTGAGCACACAACCTCACTTGCACCTCTGAGGCTGGAAACCTGATTTCACTTTGTAGCAGCTGTGTGACTGGGCAGGTCCCCTAAGCTTTCTGGGCCACTCTGTCACTGTTTGAATAATGGAGATAATGACACTGACTCCTCCAGGTTAGAATGAAGATCAAATACTATCAGTAGTGACAGTGACAGCAGCAGTGATGGATGCTCCAGCATTCCACAGGTCACTTCCTAGGCATCAGTGCCTCCAATCCATGCAAGGCTCCCAGGAGGTAGGAGCATATAGGGGCTCCAGATCTCAGTGTCTTCAGATGAGGACACTGAGCCTTTGAGAGGTGAAGTTGGCCAAGGTCACATGGTCATGAATGGAGGGATAGGAAAGTTTTAGTTTGGCATCTTTTCCCAATTGTTTTATAAAATGTAGTATGCACACATTTTATAAAGTTTAAAAAAATACAGAGAAATAAAAATTAGGAAGGCAAACAACCTCAGAGGAATCCTCTGCTAACTGTATTGCACAGCTAGCCACACCTTCTTGGAAGGCACTTAATAAGGTTGCAAATCTCCCTGCAGTTGCAGTTGTGGAGATGGCTCCATTGGCTGGCTCCTGTACCCAGGGGGCCTCGGTGGGACCTGGGTGAGGCATTCATGGTGCCCCCAAAGTCTCTAAGGCCATTCTTGGTGGGGTGGACAGCCAAGGCAGCAGCTAAACCTGAGCCACCAGGCTGTTCCTAGGGGTTATCTCTTTAGGCATGGAACTCTCTTGAAGCTTCAGCACATCCAGTGACTTGTACCTTGTGGTTCTCTGTTCCTGGTGGCTGGCACCATGTGGGGAGCTGGCCAAGAAGACTTCTCCCCCAGTGTAGCTGCCAGGGACACATATGTGATACAGACTGAGCCCACACTTCTTCCGCCTGGGCACTCTGAGCTCCCAAGGAAGAGGAAGGGGGCAGAGGAAAGTTTCAGTCATGGCAGCATGCCCAGTGAGCCTTTGCTGAGCATATACATGCAGGACTCCTACTGTGTGAGTGATGCATTGTCAATGAGACATGGCCCATGACTTCCTGGAGCTCACAGCCTAGCACGGAGGTAAACATATGACTCACTGTTGCTCAAGCCCATCGGTGAAGCACCATGCTCTGGCTCAACAGGGCATTTCAACAGGGATTCCTGGGGTAGATGGAACTTGAGCCAATGGCTATGGGTGGTACTTCAGGCTGGGGACAACTTGAGCAGAGACACTCAAGGAATAGGAAGTTAAGACCATAAAAGGCAGTGCAGGAAAAGAATGGGGTTCCCGTGGATAGGGTGTTACCATGTGATCTACCAAACTACCATGAGCCTCAGTTTTTGCATCTGTCAAATGGAAAGAAATATTCCTGCCTTCCTGAACAGTTGTGGGACTCCACGAGGTGATGAATACACATCAAGCACCTAGCCCGGCATCTGGGATGGAGCAGAATGGCAGTTAGTCTTGTTCAGGAGACTTGTGTGGGTGGCTTAGTGCATGGAGGTGGGAGTGGAGACATAGGGACTTCTGACATGGTTTGTGGAGCTCACAGAACTTTCTGTATAGGCAAAGGTTTCCTCCCAGCTCTTTCTACCCAGGAGGAGGAGCTGTTTCCTTCAGCCGCAGTTGTGGTGCCTCCTGAAAGAGCACGTTTTTCACGCTGAGTGGATGATCTGTGTCTGTGCTTCTTGGGGCTTCCAAGTGCAACAGAAGCAAGTGACTCAGCACCTCCATGCCCTCCACTCCCATGTCTCTTTGGAATACAGAATGTAGGGCTTTTGGATCGTCTTTTGGGAACAAATGACTCAGCAGGGTAGAAAGATGAATGGGCAGACGTTGCCTCTGCACTCCCAGCTTTGATGCCAGTTGCCGGTCAATCCTGCTGCAGCAGGGGCCTCGGCGCTGGCCAGGCCTGACCCCCAGGACCTGTGTTGTCAACATGCCTGTTACCTTCTTTACACAAAGATGTGCAAGAAAAGCGTGACGTACTTTTGCACCGTGGCTTTTGGTCTCTGAGTGTTGTGCTTGCCATCGGCTTCTTGGCTGCATCAGACAGATGCGTTGCCTTTCTGTGTCACTGCTCTTAAAAATGACGTATTTTCTTTGCTTTGCATAGGAAGCACTGGAAGTTCGTAAGCCTCAGTTCATTTCTCGCTCACAAGAACGGCTGAAGAAGCTTGAACACATGGTCCAGCAGAGGAAAGCCCAGCGGAAGGAGGACCTGAGGCAGAAGCAGAGCCTCCTTCCCATCCGCACCAGCAAGAAGCAGTTCACGATTCCCCATCCTCTGAGTGGTAAGCTGCAGGTGGCTTGTGGAGACTGGAAAAGACCAGGGATGGGGGGTTCCTGGAGCTGGAGGCTTCACTCAGGGGTGATGGCTCCAAATGATGCCACTGACATACGCAGAACCTGTTATGGCTCCAAGTGGCTGACCCTCAGCATCATAAATCCTGTTCTTGGAGCCAGCCCATTTTGAGAGATCACATATGGGCATTGAGCTCAGCAGAAACAACTTGGGACACCAATTTACCATTACAGCTGGGACAGAAGCCACACCACTGTAGCAGCCAGGGTAGCAAGTTCAAATTCTTGGCTCCTAATAGATATTTGCAAGAGATCCCCTTTGCCCTTTATAGATTGCAAAACAGATCTCGGGGTGAGAGGTTGACTCCAGCTTGTCTATATCAACATTCCTCATCTTGAAACCCCTTTCCTGCTGTGAGCTCAGAGAATACATGGCTGGCTTCCCAGCACTGTGAGGCCAGTGTCACACTGATCCTGTGAGGGAGGGCACTTACTTACTCACTGGAGAGGGAGTTATCAAGACCCTTCTCTGGGTGCCATGCTGGGAGCAAGACTAACCTCAGTCCCTTCTTCATGGAGCTTATAAACAGACTATTAAACTAGCAAGAATAACAAAAAGAAATGAGGGTAAGGATGGGGGACATCAGAGCACATACTTAGTGCCTGCCAACCCAAATCTTAAAATCTAGAGGCCTGGAGAAACCCCAGTTTTATTCCTTTGGATAGAGGAATGAGAACTTTCTTCCTAGGAAAATGTTTTGGCCCCTAGGAGGTGAAATCATGAGTATAACTCAGAATAAAAGTCTTTTGGGGAAATAACCATGTTCAATAAAGTGCAGCTTAGCAAACATTACCAAGATCTTATTCTGGGTGCCTGGGGGACTGAGGAAAATGGTGTTGTAATAGAATTCCTGTGAATCTCCCCAGTCTATGGGCAGGCTAAGTCTCCTTCTCTCCACCAGAACTCTGCTGGTGGAGCTGTCTAAAGACCTCGGGGAAGGATGAATTTGAATGCATCCTTCCCTGTGGCTAAATATTTGACAAGACACCTGCTGCTCCCTCCTCATGACAAGTTCCAGTATACTAACGAAAGGGGATGTGCAAAGAGCTCCCCATGGGAAAATGTGTCTCTAACCAGTGCTATAAGTCCATTGGCAGATAAAGGTTCAATGGGGATATAGTTTCCAGGAAGCTTTTTCATCTCTGGCCTAATAAAGAGAAAACTGGGTTCAGGCACAGACTTCTCAAGTTGCTGTGAGGACCAAAGCCAGCACCAGGAGACCCCTGGGGCCTTCAGTGCCTCCACTGG
This sequence comes from Homo sapiens, assembly GCF_000001405.40. NCBI lineage: Eukaryota > Metazoa > Chordata > Mammalia > Primates > Hominidae > Homo > Homo sapiens. The sequence goes on along the minus strand of NC_000010.11, from coordinate 126,457,720 downwards.
CCCTGGGCAGTGTTGGGTGATGGTGCCCAGGCTGTGTGGGCCCCTCAGCCTCAATAGTTCTGAAGATGCTACTTGAGAGCATGGTTAGTTACCAAATTTGTGGTAGGCAATTATAGAATGATGCCACTTTAGAGCTCAAGACTCACATACACACACAAAATGGCACGGAGGGCTTCCTTTTCAGTCAGGTCCCTTCACTTTGGGAAGAAACAGAGACCCAGAGACCTTAGGGAACCTGTTCAGTGTGGTGCTGCACTGAGCTTCTCCTCTTCTGGGCCAGCACCTCCCGGCTGTGCCATTCTGCCAGCCACAAGTGGTCTGGAACACCATCATCCCAAGCGCCAGAGGCAATGTGGCCTTGGCCATCTGTACTGATTTCCTAGGGCTGCTGTGAGAAATCACCAAACACAGGGGCTTAAAAGAACAGGAACTGGCAGGGCCCAGTGGCTCACACCTGTAATCCCAGCACTTTGGGAGGCCAAGATGGGTGGATCTCTTGAGCCCAGGAGTTCAAGACCAGCCTGGGCAACATGGAGAAACCCTGTCTCTACAAAAAGTACAAAAATTGGCCAGGTGTGATGGTGCATGCCTGTAGTCTCAGCTACTTGGGAGGCTGAGGTGCAAGGATCACCTGAGCTTCGCTAGGTCATGGCTGCAGTGAGCCATGATCACACCACTTCACTCCAGTCTGGGCAACAGAGCAAGACCCTGTCTCAGAAAAAGCAAAATACAAAAGCAAAAACAAAAACAAAACAAGCCCAGAAACTTACTTTCTTGCAGTTCTAGAGGCCAGAAGTCAAAACCGAGGTTTCCACAGGGTTGGTTACTTTCTAGAGGCTCAGTGGTCAATCCCGTGTCCAGCCTCCCTCCCTGCTCCTGGCGGCTTCCTGCAATCCTTGATGTTCCTTGGTTTGTAGATGCGGCACTACAGTCTCTGCCTCTGTCTCCACATGGCCATCCTCCCTGCGTCTGTGTCTCTATGTTCAAATTTCCTTTTCTCATAAAGACAGCAGTCATTGGATTAGGGCTAACCTCACCAGTCTGACCTCATTTTAACTTGATTACCTCTGCAAAGACCCTATTTCCAAAGAAGTCACATTCAGAGTTATGGGGGATTAGGACTTAAACATATCTTTTTGTTGGGGCGACATCATTACACTCATTATATCATTCAACTGTGGTGTTTGCCCGAAACAAATATCCTTACAAGTTCACATTCTTTTAAATGGAAGTCTTAAAATTGTATGTAATAAAAGGTAACCAGGCTCAGTTCAGAATGTTAACTGAGTACCTTTTACTCCCCACATTCCAAGACAGTCCTGGCAAGCAGCATGCTCTCAAAGTGGGACTTGGCCAACGTGGGTTTTATGGCCACCCTGACCATCCCTGCCGTATTTATGTGTCGATGAGAGCTTTACTTTTGGGTTCGTTTGTGTTAGGTCAGTGAAATCAGACAGCCTCTGAAACCAGAGCCTCATACAAGCTCGGGCAAGTGAGAAGAAATGTTTAAGGCCCTATTAAACAAGTCTGCAGTACACATCTTGTCTTCAGCCTGTCTGCTGGCAAGATGATAAAAGCAAAATGCAGATGTTTTTCTTACTTGCTAAATTAGTTCATAAATCATATGCGTGAACGAGCTTTGGCTACAGTGTCAAGGCGTCTGTTAAAAAGAAGACTCCTATTTGCTTTTGGTGCTGGGGTAGCTGCCTCTGATCGGGGCTTGTCAAGCAATCTTGGCTCAGGAGCAGAACCTGAAAGGTTCAAGTGGGAGCCCCGGCAGCTGACAATGCCAGAGAAGCCAGTCCCTGGACTTGCAGGGGATGACTGTGTTGAGTCAGGGGACCCGCTGTACTTCATGGTAGCTAGTGAATTCTGAGCACCTTTGAGACCAGGGGAAGAGTGCTGCATGTGGGTGAGTGTTAATTAGGGTTAGGACTCCTTGTTTGGAGGCAGGAAAATTTTCATGAACAACTGGGAACTCTAGAGGGACCAGGAAGTAGCATCATCAAGGTCATAGCTACAGTCTGTACCTGTCTTGACTATCTCATCACCTGTGGTTTGAACTCTCAGAGCCAATAAATACAATGCGTAAGTCTCTCTCCTCACCCGGGTGCCACCTGAGCCACCTTCCCACGTCTCTAGCAGTGACAGAAGGAACTTCTTTGTCCATCTCTTCAGCGTACCTTGTTTGAGAACCCACACAGTGCTAGGCACAGTCCCTAGTCTGCCCACCTTGTGGGGAAGCAGGCGGGTGAAGAGGCAATGGTCATAGGATTCTCAGAGTGCCATGAAAGGAGTTTGCCAAGGTTGTTGTGGAAACTCATAGGTGGTAGCCTTGCTCCCACCCTGGGGAGGAACGTTCCCAACATGGGGGAGAACCATGCCAATAGGGCAGGGTGGGTGAGGAAGGGAACACGCAGTGAAGAAAGGAGGCTGGGGACATGCAGTTTAGCTATGATTGGATGGTAAAATGGGGATGGGCGGGGAGGCAAAGGGGCCAAAGAGGAGCCCAAGGAAAGATGAACTGTAGATGCTGCTAAGTGTAACCTTGTTCTGAGGTCAAAAGCAAGGCTGGGAGCTGGTAGTGTAGCTTCAGGTACAACATGATGAGGGTGGGGCCTGGGCAGGGCAGTGGTATAAGGAAGGTAGTGGATACCAGGGGTTCTCAGGTAGAGGGATCAGTGGGAGGTGGTGATTGTGAGATGTGGAAGAGGGAGGCTGACACCCAGGCATGCCAAGGGAAGGTGGCAGGAGAGCTGGCCTTTGATTTCAAGTCTCCGACATTAGGTACACTCCAACCCAAGGGCCTCTCTCCTTCCCAAGTCAGGGCTCTACCTGTGCAATTCACCAGAGTTGCCTGGGAGTGATAAGCAAGGCTTCCCCATCATCACTATGCAGCTCCTGGGGTCCCAAGTGGATTGGGTCATGTTCAAAGGCCGGCCATAACCTGGGAATTAGCGTGTTCCAGAATTTGTCATTGCTCTGCCTTACAGGATGAATCCAGAGCAGGATAGGCTAAAAATAAGTGTGAAGCATCAGGCACAGCCCCTGCAGGTCATAGTGGGGACAGTACCTGCAAGTATTAGGGGGTATAGTCCCCGCAGGTGGGAGGGGTACAGCCCCTGCAGGTAGGGGACACAGTCTCTGCAGGCAGTAGGGGTACAGCTCCTGTAGGTAGTAGGGGTAAACCATAGCTTATAGGCAGTACGGGGTCAGCCCCTGCAGGTCGTAGGGGCACAGCCTTTGCAGATTGTAGAAGGTACAGCCCTTGTAGGTAGTAAAGTTACAACCTCTGCAGGTCATAGGAATACAGCCCCTGCAAGTTGTAGAGGGTATAGCCCCTGCAGGCAATAGGGGGTTCAGCATTTGTAGGTCATAGGGGTACAGGCCCTGAAGGCAGTAGGGGTGCAACTCCTACAGGTCATAGGGGTACTGTCTTTGCAAGTCATAGGGATACATCTTCTGCAAGTCATATGGGTACAAGCCCTGCAGGTCATAGGGGTATATCCCCTGCAAGTAGTAGGGGGCAGAGCCACTGCAGGCAGTAAGGATACAGTCCCTGTGGTCATAGGGGATGCCACATCTGCAGATTGCAGGTGCTCAGTCAGTGGCAGTCTTCACCATGCCCCATTGACACAATTGTGCCTGTATCCTGTGCCCACTGCAGCTCCTCGAACCTGGCCCTGGTTATCTCCTTCTAGGCTGGGGGCCCAGCTTCAGAGCCTCCCTGGATTCCATCCCTCACCCCAAAATCCAGACGCCTCTCAGCCTGACTCTGCCCACTCTCAACCTTTCCAGTTGGTCTCATTTCCTGTCCTTCCTTCACTCCAAAAACACTCATGATCAGGGTTCCCAAACCACCTGAGAGAAGCCTGTCTGTTCCTCCTCTCTGTGCTATAAAATCCTGCCTAACCTTGCAAGCCCCTCTCAAGTCCAGCCTTTTTATTCATCTCTTACCCCCAGACCCTTTCCTGTGCTTCCTGTAATAACTGAGCTGGGCTCTGGTGGCTTTCATCTCTCAGCCGAGCACTTTGTTATGAATTACTGCTACTGCCTGTACTCACTGCAGTTAACTCAGCCTGACAGTGCTCAAACTCAGCCCACGTTGCCCCCTTCTGTTCTCAGCTCATTTCCCCCTCTGAGGACGCCTGTCCGGGTCCTCTTCCATGGCTCTCTCAGTTTGTCCCCTTAACCTTCGAATGTGTAGAAAACCCTTCAGGAACATCCCCTTCTTCTACAAAGCCGTCCTGATTCCCATCCTTCTTTCTCCCCTTCACTCCCTCTCCTCTCCTCTCACTCCCATTTGAACACTCTTTGCATCTTGGTATTCTTGCATCCCTCCAGATCACCTGCCTTCTTCCCTTCTTCACTTTGGCTTAAGGTTGTGTGGTTGTGTTGGAAAACCTTCTAGATTGTAAGAGCTGGTGGGCATACTCCACACCAAATCACTGCGAGAGGCCCTGCTGCATCTAGCACAGCAGACTGAATTCATCCAAATTGCATTATCCGCACTTCCCAAGGTGAGCCAAGTCAGAGCCATTCAAATCATGCACGAGTAGAGGAATGGAATTCTCTGGAAGGCACGGCAGAATTCCTTCTCCAACAAATCTTCTTTCCCTGATGATTCTTGGTTGGAGCAAGTATTAAAATTAATTTGGATTCCCAGAGCATCTAGCTGAAGATGCGACCCAGGAGACAGGAGACAGAGGTGGCAGTTATCTCAGTAATAAAGATTTGCTCACTGAGCACAGGCTGCACTATCCTTCCTGTTGACCGGTCTGATCTCAAGGCTCTCATTCTCCATATAGCCTTTAATAAATATTTGGGGCTAGTTCTCCTGATATTACTCACAAGAGAATTTTTAAATGTGCTTATCAGATAAAAATAAATTTTTACTTTATCAGTCTACAAAGAAAACAGGAAGCATGAATTACTGAAAAGGCTGTTTCCCCAATTCAAAGACATTCACTTGTACACTTTTATTATTGTCCTTCACAGACACTGTGAGGTTTTATGTTTTTATTAAGATACTTGGGAAGAAAAGACCAATTTATGTCTATTGATTAGAAGTGGATTTAAAGGACAATTGTACTTCCAATTAAAATAATGTAAGGTAAAAACACTGAGTTTCAGAATGATAAGGAAAATGACTTTATGAGGAGTTACATTTCCCAATTGCCTTGATTTTATTTTCCAAGTGATTTCCCTTTATACTGCACAAAGCAGCTGAGTAATAAACCTTGCAGTGACACCACAGATATAAATCTACTTGGCAACAAGCATAAAGTTTATTAATAATCTATAAATCGCCATATTTTATGGTTCTCTAAAAAATGCTGGGAAACCCTGGAATTGGAGCAAACGGTGAAGTTACACTATCAGACTTGTACTGGATGTAGCTGTTTTATGGTGAGGTTGTGATTCAAGTCATTGATAAAATTCCTTTAAATGAGCAGTTTAAACTTGTCATTAAAAAAACCATACGCCCACGTTTTGTTTCAACTTTAAGATTTAATTGACAAATAAAAGTCGTATATATTTGTGCTGAATGACATGATGTTTTGATATATGTACATATTGTGAAATTATTAAATGCAGGTAACATATCCATCACCTTGCATACTTTTGGTGAGAATATTTAAGATGTATTAATACTACTCCCAGTAATTTTCAAATATAAAAAAGCTTTATTATTAACTATAGTCACCATGCTCTACAGTAGGTATCCAGAATTTACTCATTCAGTTTAGCTAAAACTTTGTACCCTTTGACCAGCATCTCCTGGATTCTCCCCTGCTATCCCCTGGTAACCAACATTCTACTCTCTACTTCTATGAATTTGATATTTTTAGATTTCACATATAAGTAAGATCATACAGTATTTGTCTTTCTGTTCCTGGTTTATTTCACTTAGCATAATGTCTTCCAGGTTCATCTCTGGTGTTGCAGATGACAGGATTTCCCTCTTCTTTAAGACTGTATAGTATTCCGTTGCATGTGTATGTATGTGTGTGTATATATATATCAATAGACTATGAGAAATTGTGTGTATATATACACACATATGTGTATATATACATTATACATATATGTGATATATATGTACACACACATATGGATATATATATATCAATAGACCAATCAATAGGCATAAATTGATCTTTTCTTCCCAAGCATCTTATAAAAACACAACACCTCACAGTGTCTGTGAAGGACAATAATACACACACACATGCACACACACACATATACACACACTACATTTTCTCTATTCATTAATCTGTTGATAGACACTTAGGTTGATTTCATATCTTGGCTATTCTGAATAATACCGCAACGAACACAGGAGTGCTGATACCTCGTCAACATACTGATTTCTTTTCCTTTAGATAAATTCCCAACAGTAGGATTGGTCATTCTATTTTTGCATTTTTGAGGAATATCCATACTGTTTTCCATAATGGCCGTACTAATTTACATCCCCACAGCAGTGTGCAAGTGTTCTCTTTTCTCCACATTCTTGCCAACACTTGTTATAGTTTGTCTTTGATAATAGCCATACTAACCGGTGTGAGGTGCTAGCTCATTGCAGTTTTAATTTGCATTTCCCTGATGGTTTGTGATGTTGCGTGTTTTCTCATATACCTGTTGGCCAATTTTTTTTTTTTAGAAATCTCTACTCAGGTACTTTGCCCATTTTTTAATTAGGTTATTTGCTTTCTTGCTATTGGAAGTTGTCTGAGTTCCTTATATATTTTGGATATTAACCCCTTATTGGACATATGGTTTGCATATATTTTCTCCCATTCTACAGGTTGTCTCCTCATTCTGTTGATTGTTTCCTTTGCTGTGTAGAAGCTGTATAGCGTGATATAATTCCATTTGTTTGTTTTTGGTGTTGTTGCCTGTGCTTTTGAGGTCACATCCAAAAAATTATTGCCCAAACTAATGCCACAGAGCTTTTCCTCTGTTTTCTTCTAGTAGTTTTAGAGTTTCAGGAATTACATTTAACTCTTTAATTCATTTTCAGTTCATTTTTAAATATGGTGTAAATTAAAAGTCTAATTTCATTCTTCTGCATGTGGATATCCAATCTTCCCAACTCAATTTGTTGAAGAGATTTTCCTCTCCCCATTGTATATTCTCAGCTCCTTTGTCAAAGATTAGTTGAATGTAAATACATAGATGTATTTCTGGGCTTTCCAGTCTGTTCCATCAGTCTACTTGTTTTTATGCCAGCACCATGCTGTTTTGATTACTATGACTTCATAAGAGATTTTAAAATTAGATACCGTGATGTCTCCAGTTTTATTCTTTTTGCTCTCAATCGCTTGGGCTATTTGGAGTCGTCTGCAGATTCATATGAATTTTAAGATTGCATTTTCTATTTCTGTGAAAAATGTCATTGAAATTTTGATAGGTGTTGCATTAAATCTGTAGATCACATTGGGTAGTACAGATATTTTAACAATATTCTGCAAATCTGTGAGCATGGAATATCTTTTTACTCTTACTTTTTACTTCTTGTCTTTTAATTATGTCTTCAGTTTCTTTCATCAGTGTTCTATAGCTTTTAGTGTACATATATATTTCACTTCCTCAGTTAAATTTATTTCTATGTATTTTATTTTTGTGATGTCAGTGTAAATGGGATTGTTTTCTTGATTTCTTTTTCATATAGTTCATTGTGTGTGTACAGAAATGCTACTGATTTTTTTTTTTTTTTTTGAGATGGCGTCTCTGTCACCCAGGCTGGAGTGCAGTGGTGCAATCTCGGCTCACTGCAACCTCTGCCTCCCAGGTTCAAGCGATTCTTCTGCCTCAGCCTCCCAAGTAGCTGGAACTACAGGTACATGCCACCATGCCCGGCTAATTTTTGTGTCTTTAGTAGAGACAGGGTTTCACCATATTGGCCAGGCTCGTTTCAAACTCCTGACCTTGTGATCTGCCTGCCTCGGCCTCCCAAAGTGCTGGGATTACAGGCATGAGCCATCGCGCCTGGCCCCGCTACTGATTTTTGTATGTTGATTTTGTATCCTACTATTTTACTGAATTTGTTTATTATTTCTGTTTTGTGGTGGAGTTTTTAGGGGTTTCTACATATAAGATCATGTCATCTGCAGAGGTGAGTTCACTCTTTCTTTCCAACGTGAATGCTTTTATTTTTTTTCTTAAATAATTGCCATAGCTAGGACTTCCACTACTATGTTGGATAGAAGCAGCAATAATAGGTATCCTTGTTTTATTCCTGGTCTTAGAGGAAAAGCTTTCAACTTTTCATCATTGAGTATGATGTTAGCTGTGGGCTTATTATATATGGCCGTTAATGTGTTGAGGTATATTCCTTCTACACCTAATTTGTTGAGAAGTTTTACCATAAAAGGATGTTGAATTTTGTCAAATGTTTTCTCAGTGTCTTTTGAGATGATCATATGGCTCTTGTCCTTTATTCTGTTAATGTGGCAAAGCACATTTATTGATTTTTGATACGGAACCATCATTGCATCCCAGGCATAAATCCTACTTGATCATGGTGAATAAGTCTTTTAATTTGCTATTGAATTTTGTTTGCTAGTATTTTGTTGAGGATTTTTGCATCTATGTTCATCAGGGGTATTGGTCTGTAATTTCCTTTTTCTTAAAATGTTCTTATCTGACTTTGGTGTCAGAGTAATGATGGCCTCATAAAATGAATTTGGAAGTATTCCCTCCTCTTCAATTTTTTTGAAAGAGTTTGAGAAGGATGGTATTAATTCTTCCCTAAATATCTGGTAGAATTCAGCCATGAAGCCATCTGGTCCCAAGCTTTTCTTTTAAAAAGAAGATTTTACAATTTCTGATTCAATTTCCTTACTCACTGTGACTCTGTTAGGATTTTCTATTTCTCCACAATTCAGTCTTGGCAGGATGTATATTCTTAGGAATTTATTCACTTCTTCTAGTAGTATCCAATTTGTAGGTGTATAATTATTCTTAGTAGTCTCAGTCTCTTATAATTCTTTGTATTTCTGTGGTATCAGTTTTCATGTCTCCTCTTTCATTTTCATTTGATTTGTCTTCTCTCTTCAGTCTAGCTAGAGATTTGTCAATTTTGTTTATCTTTTCAAAAAAACAATTTTCAGTTGTGTTGATCTTTTCTATTACTTGTCTAGTCTCTCTTTCATTTATTTCTTCTCTGAACTTTGTTATTTCCTTCTTTCCACCAACTTTGGGCTTAGCTTGTTCTTGTTTTTCTAGTTCTAGTTCTTGATTAGTCCCTTGAGGTGTAGCAGTAGGTTGTTTGAGATCTTTCTTCTTTCTTAATGTAGGCATTTACTGCTATAAACTTCACGCTTAGAACTGTTTTTGCTGCATTCCATATGTTTTAGCATATTGTGTTTCCATTTTTGTTTATCTTGAGATATTTTTAAATTTCTTTTTTTGATTTCTTCCTTGACCCATTGGTTGTTCAGGAGCATGTTGTGTAATTTTCACATATCTATGAATTTTCAAAAATTCCTCCTGTTACTGTAGTTTCATACCATTGTGATGAGAAAAGATACTTGATATGTGGCCGGGTGCGGTGGCTCAGGCCTGTAATCCTAGCATTTTGGGAGGCCGAGGCAGGGGGATCATGAGGTCAAGAGATCGATACCATCCTGGCCAACATAGTGAAACCCCGTCTCTACTAAAAATACAAAAAAAAAAAAAAAAAAAAAAAAAAGAGCCAGGCATGGTGGCAGGCTCCTGTAGTCCCAGCTGCTTGGGAGGCTGAGGCAGGAGAGTCACTTGAACCCCGGAGGCGGAGGTTGCACTGAGCCAAGATTGCACCACTGCACTCCACTCCAACCCGGAAACAGAGCAAGACTCTGTCTCAAAACAAAAGCAGCAACAACAACAACAACGAAAAGATACTTGATATGATTTCTATCATCTAAATTTATTAAGACTTATTTTTTGGCCTAACATATGATCTATTCTGAAGAATGTTCTATGTACACTTGAGAAGAATATTTATTCTGCTGCTGTTAGATGGAATGCTCTGTGTATATCTGTGAAAGCCACTTGCTTGGATGTATCGTTTAAGTCCAATGTTTTCTTGTTGATTTCCTTCAAGATGATCTGTTCATTGCTGAAAGTGAGATACTGAAGCCTTCCACTACTATTGTATTGTTATCTCTCTCTCCCTTCAGATCTATTATTTGCTTTATATATTTAAGTGTTCTGATATTAGATGTATATATATATTTGTAATTGTTATATCCACTTGATGAATTGACCCCTTTATCATTATATTATGACTCTGTCTCTTTTTACAGTTTTGGACTTAAAGTCTATTTTGTCTGATATAGCTATAGCTACCTCTGCTCTCTTTAGGTTTTCTTTTATCGGGAATATCCTTTCTATCCCTTCACTTTTTGTCTATTTATGTCCTTAAAGCTAAAGTGAGTCTCCTGTAGGAAGCATATTATTATTAGGTCTTTTTTTTTTTTAACCCATTGAGCTACTCAGTATATATGCTTTTTTGATTGGAGAATTTAATCTATTTACAGTCAAGGTAATTATTAATAGGTAAGATATTACTGCTGCCATTTTGTTGTTTTCTGGTGTGTTTTTTAGATCCTTTGTTCATTTCTTCCTTTGTCGATGTCTTCCTTTATGATTTGATGGTTTGATGTAGTAGCATGCTTTGGTTTATTTCTCTTTTGTCTGCTGTGTATCCACTATAGGTTTTTACACTGTGGTTACTATTAGGCATACATAAAACATCTTGTAATTATAACAGGCTATTTTAAGCTGATAACAACTTAATTTTGATTTTACACAAAATTCTGTACTTTTACTTCCTCTCCTCACATTTTATGTTTTTGATTTTACAGTTTACATATTTTTATATATTTTTTTCTTAACAAATTATTGTAGCTGTAGGTGTTTTAAATAGTTTTGTCACTTAACCTTTCTACTAGAGATATAAGTGATTTTTATCTGACCATTACACTATTAGAGTATTCTGAATTTGACTGTGTACTTACTTTTACAAGTAAGTTTTATATTTTTGTATGTTTTGATGTTAGTAATTAGTATCCTTTTGCTTTAGTGTGAAAAACTTCTTCAGAATTTCTTGTAAAGCAGGTTAATGGTGGTGAACCCCTTAGCTTTTGTTTTTTTTGACAAAGCCTTTATCTCTCATTTCCAAAGGGCAGCTTTGTTAGGTAAGGAATTTTTGGTTGACAGATTTTTTTCCCCCCAGCACTTTGAATATATCATCCCACTCTTTTCAGGCCTGAAAACTTTCTGCTGAGAAATCAGCTGATAGCCTGATGGAGGTTTCCTTGAATATGAGGATCTTAATTTCTTTTGCTGCTTTTAAGATTCTCTCTTTGTCTTTGATTTGTGACAGTTTGATTATGATATGTCTTGGTGTAGTCTTCTTTGGGTTGAATATGATTAGAAACCTTTGAGTTCCTGTATCTGGACGTTTATATCTTCCCCAGATTTGGAAAGCTTTTTGGTACATTTTTAAATAAGCTTTCTGTCCCTTTCTCTTTTCCTTCTTAAACTTCTTTAAAAAAAAAGATTTTATTTTTCCACAGGTTATTGGAGTACAAGTGGTGTTTGCTTACATGAGTACATACTTTAGCGGTGATTTGTGAGATTTTGATGTACCCATCACTCGAGCAGTATATGCTGTACCCTATTTGTAGTCTTTCACCCCTTGACCCCCTCCCATTCTTCCCCCTGAGACCCCAAAGCCCATTGTTTAATTCTTATGGCTTTGCATCCTCATAGCTTAGCTCTCACATGGTTTTCCATTCCTAAGTTACTTCAGTTACAGTATTAGTCTCCAATTTCATCCAGGTCACTGCAAATGCTGTTAATTCATTCCTTTTTATGGCTGAGTAGTATTCCATTGTATATATATATATATATATATACACCACAGTTTCTTTATCTACTCATTAATTGATGGGCATTTGGGTTGGTTCCATGATTTTGCAATTGCAAATTGTGCTGCTATAAACATGCATGTGCAAGTATCTTTTTTGTATAATGACTTCTTTTCCTCTGGGTAAATACCCAGTGGTGGTATTGCTGAATCAAACGATAGTTCTACTTTCAGATCTTTAAGGAATCTCTACACTGTTTTTCATAGGGGCTGTACTGGTTTACATTCCTACCAGCAGTGTAGAAGTGTTCCTTGATCACTGCATCCACGCCAACATCTACTGTTTTTTGATTTTTTTATTATGGCCATTCTTGCAGAAGTAAGGTGGTATCACATTGTGGTTTTTATTTGCATTTCCCTGGTCATTAGTGATGTTGAGCATTTTTTCATATGTTTGTTGGCCATTTGTATATCTTCTTTTGAGAATTGTCTATCATGTCTTTAGCCCACTTTTTGATGGGATTGTTTGTTTTTTACTTGCTGATTTGAGTTCATTGTAGATTCTGGATATTTGTCCTTTGTCAGATGTATAGATTGTGAAGATTTTCTCCCACTCTGTGTTTTGTCTATTTACTCTGCTGACTGTTCCTTTTGTCATGCAAAAGCTCTTTAGTTTAATTAAGTCCCAACTATTTGTCTTTGTTTTTATTGTGTTTGCTTTTGGGTTCTTGGTCATGAAATCCTTGCCTAAGCCAATGTCTAGAAGGGTTTTTCCAGTGTTATCTTCTAGAATATTTACAGTTTCAGGTCTTAGATTTAAGTCCTTAATCCATCTTGAGTTGATTTTTGTCTAAGGTGAGAGATGAGGATCTAGTTTCATTCTACATGTTGCTAGCCAATTATCCCAGCACCATTTGTTGAAAAAGGCATCCTTTCCCCACTTTATGTTTTTGTTTGCTTTGTCAAAGATCAGTGGCTGTAAGTATTTGAGCTTATTTTTGGGTTCTCTATTCTGTTCCATTGTTCTATGTGCCTATTTTTATACCAGTACCATGCTGTTTTGGTGACTATGGCCTTATAGTATAGTTTGAAATCAGGTAGTGTGATGCCTCCAGATTTATTTGTTTTGCTTAGTCTTGGTTTGGCTATGTGGGCTCTTTTTTGATTTCACATGGATTTTAGAATTGTTTTTTCTAATTCTGTGAAGAATGATGGTGGTATTTTGATAGAGATTACATTGAATTTGTAGATTGCTTTTGGCAGTGTGGTCATTTTCACAATATTGATTTTACCCATCCATGAGCATGGGATGTATTTCCATTTGTTTGTGTCATCTATGATTTCTTTCAGCAGTGTTTGTAGTTTTCCTTGTAGAGGTCTTTCATCTCGTTTGTTAGGTATATTACTAAGTATTTTACTTCTTTTGCAGCTATTGTAAAAGGGGTTGAGCTCTTGATTTGATTCTCTGCTTGGTCGCTCTTGTTGTATAGGAGAGCTACTGATTTGTGTACATTAATCTTGTATCTGGAAACTTTGATGAATTCTTTTATCAATTTCAGGAGCTTTATGGAGGGATCTTTAGGGTTTTTGAGGTAAATGATCTTATCATCAGCAAACAGTGACAGTTTGACCTCCTGTTTACTGATTTGGATGTCCTTTATTTCTTTCTCTTGTCTGATTGCTCTGGCTAGGACTTCCAGTACTATGTTGAAGAGGAGTGGTGAGCGTGGGCATCCTTCTCTTTTCCATTTCTCAGAGGGAATGCTTTCAACTTTTCCCCATTCAGTATTTTGTTGGCTGTGGGTTTTCATATGTGGCTTTTATTACATTGAGTTATGTCCCTTGTATGCTGATTTTGCTGAGAGATTTAATCATAAAGTGATGCTGGATTTTGCCAAAAGCTTTTTCTGCTTCTATTGAGATGATCGTATGACATTTGTTTTTAATTCTGTTTAGGTGGTGTATTATATTTATTGACTTGTGTATGTTAAACCATCCCTGCATCCCTGTTGTGAAACCCACATGATCATAGTGGCTTATCTTTTTGATATGTTGTTGGATTTGGTTAGCTAGTATTTTGCTAATAATTTTAGCATCTGTATTCATCAGGGATATCAGTCTGTAGTTTTCTGTTTTGGTTATGTCCTTTCCTGGTTTTCGTATTAAGGTGATGCTGGCTTCATGAATTAGGGAGGGTTTCCTTTTTCTCCATCTTCTGGAATAGTGTCAATAGGATTGATATCAATTCTTCTTTGAATGGCTAGTAGAATTCTGCTCTAGAATTCATCTGTGAATCCGTCTGGTCCTGGGCTTTCTGTGTTGGTAATTTTTAAATTACCGTTTCAATCTTGCTGCTTGTTATTGGTCTGTTCAGGGTATCTAATTCTTCCTGATTTAAGCCAAGAGGGTTGTATTTTTCCAGGAATTTATCCATCTCTTCTGTGTTTTCTAGTTTATACACGTAAAGGTGTTCATTGTAGCCTTGAATGATCTTTTGTATTTCTGTGGTATCAGTTGTAATATCTCCCATTTCATTTCTTATTGAGGTTATTTGGATTTTCTCTCCTCTTTTCTTGATTAGTCTTGCTAATGGTCTATCAATTTTATTTATCTTTTAAAAAACCAGCTTTTTGTTTCTTTTATCTTTTGTATTTGTGTATGTGTGTGTTTCAATCTCATTTAGTTCTGCTTTGATCTTGATTATTTCCTTCTGCTGGGTTGGGGTTTGATTTGTTCTTGGTTCTCTAGTTCCTTGAGGTGTGTGACGACGTTAGAATGTCAGTTTGTGCTCTTTCAGTCTTTTTGATGTAGGCATTCAGGGCTATGAACTTTCCTCTTAGCACTGTCTTTGCTGTATCCCAGAGGTTTTGATAGGTTATGTCACTATTGTAATTTAGTTTGATGAATTTTTTAATTTCCATCTTGATTTCGTTTTTGAGCCAATGCTCATCCAGGAGCAGGTAATTTAATTTCCATGTATTTTCATGGTTTTAAAGGTTCCTTTCGGAGTTGATTTCAAGTTTTATTCCACTGTGGTCTGAGAGAGTCTTGATATAATTTCAATTGTCTTAAATTTATTGAGGTTTGTTTTGTAGCCTGTCATATGGTCTATCATGGAGAAAGTTCCATGTGCTGTTAAATAGAATGTGTATTCTGTGGTTGTTGGATGAAATGTTCTATATATATATATATATATATATATATATATATATATATATATACACACACACAATAATAGTAGGGAACTTCAATATTCCATTGACAGCACTAGACAGGTCATCAAGACAGAAAGTCAACAAAGAAACAATGGATTTAAACTATACCTTGGAACAAATGGACTTAACAGATATATATATATATATATATATATATATATGAAATATTGAAGTTCCCTACTATTATTGTGTTGCTGTCTGTCTCATTTCTTAGGTCTATTAGTAATTGTTTTGTAAATTTGGGAGCTCCAGTGTTAGATGTATATATGTATAGGATTGTGATATTTTCCTAAAATTGGATAAGGCCTTTTATCATCATGTAATGTCCCTCTTTGTCTTTTTTAACTGCTGTTGCTTTAAAGTTTGTTTTGTCTGATGTAAGAATAGCTACTCCTGCTTGCTTTTGGTGTCCATTTGCATGAAATGCCTTTTTCTACCTCTTTAGTTTAAGTTTATGTGAGTCCTTATGTCTTAGGTGAGTTTCTTGAAGGCAGCAGATGGTTGGCTGGTGAATTCTTATGCATTCTATAGTTCTATATCTTTTAAGTGGAGCATTTAGGCTATTTACATTTAATATTAGTATTGAGATGGGAGGTACCATTTTATTCATTGTGCTGTTTATTGCCTATGTACCTTGGTTTTTTGTTTTTTGTTTTTGCTTTTAAAATTGTATTTTTGTTGTATAGGTCCTGTGAGATTTATGCTTTAAAGAGGTTCTGTTTTGATGTGTTTCCAGGATTTGTTTCATGATTTAGAGCACTTTTAGAGTTCTTTTAGTGGTGGCTTGGTAGTGGCAAATTCTCTCATCATTTGTTTATCTGAAAAATACTGTATCTTTCCTTCATGTATAACACTTAGTTTCACTTGATACAAAATTCTTGGCTGATAATTGTTTTATTTGAGGAGGCTGAAGATAGGGCCCCAATCCCTTCTAGGCTGTAGGGTTTCTGCTGAGAAATCTGTTATTAATCTGATAAATTTTCCTTTATAACTTACCTGGTGCTTTTGTCTTGGAGCTCTTAAGATTCTTTCCTTCATCTTAACTTCAGGTAACCTGATGACAATGTGCCTAGGCGATGATCTTTTTGAGATGAATTTCCCAGGAGTTCTTTGTGCTTCTTGCACTTGGATGTCTAGGTCTCTAGCAAGGCCAGGGAAGTTTTCCTCGATTATTCCCCCAATATGTTTTCCAAACTTTTAGATTTCTCTTCTTCCTCAGAAATGCTGATTATTCTTAGTTTTAGTAATTTAACATAATCCCAGACTTCTTGGAGGCTTTGTTTATATTTTTTATTCTTATTTGTTTGTCTTTGTTGGGTTGGGTTAATTCAATGCCTTGTCTTTGAGCTCTGAATTTCTTTCTTCTACTTGTTCAATTCTATTGCTGAGACTTTCCAGAGCATTTTGCATTTCTATAAGTGTGTCCAAAGTTTCCTGAAGTGTTGATTGTTTTTTCTTTATGCTTTCTATTTCCTTGAATATTTCTCCCTTCACTTCTTGTATCATTTTTTGGGTTTCCTTGCACTGGGCTCCACCTTTCTCTGGTGCCTCCTTGATTAGCTTAATAACTAACCTCCTGAATTCTTTTTTCAGATAAATTAGGTATTTATTCTTGGTTTGGATCCATTGCTGGTAAGCCAGTGTGATTTTTGGGGGATGTTAAAGAGCCTAATATGTTTTGTCATATTACCAGAGTTCCTTTTCATGTGGGTAGGCTCTGTCAGAGGGAAGGTCTAGGGCTGAAGGCTGTTGTTCAGATTCTTCTGTCCCACAGGGTGTTCCCTTGATGTAGTACTCTCCCCCTTTTCCTATGAATGTGGCTTCCTGAGCGCTGAGCTGTAGTGATTGTTATCTCTCTTCTGGGTCCAGCCACCCAGCAAGTCTACCAGGCTCCAGGCTGGTACTGGGGGTTGTCTGCACAGAGTCCTGTGATGTTAACCGTCTGTGGGTCTCTCAGCCATGGATACCAGCACCTGCTTCAGTGAAGGTGGCAGGGGAGTGAAATGGACTCTGTGAGCGTTCTTAGCTTTGGTGGTTTAATACTCTATTTTTGTGCTTGTTGGCCTCCTGCTGGGAGGTGGCACTTTCTAGATAGCATCAGCTGTGGTAGTATGGAGAGGAACCGGCAGTAGGCAGGGCCCTAGAACTCCCAAGAATATATGCCCTTTGTGTTCGATACCAGGGTGGGTAGGGAAGGACCATCAGCTGGGGGCAGAGCTGGGCATGTCTGAGCTCAGGCTCTTCTTTGGAAGGTCTTGCTGCGGCTGCTGTGGCGGATAGGGGATGAGGTTCCCAGGTCAATGGAGTTACTTACCTAGGAGGATTATGGCTCCCTCTGCTGAGTCATGCAGGTTGTCAGGGAAGTGGGGACAGCCAGCAGTCACAGGCCTCACCCAGCTCCCACGCAATCCAAAGGGCTGGTTGCACTCCGTAATAGCACCAAGTCTGTTTCCAGGCAGTGGACAAGCAGGGCTAAGAACTTGCCCCAAGCTACCTGCCGCCCAGCTGTGAAAGAAAAGGGCTTTAGTTCTTCCCCTGCCTGTGGAGTCTGCATGCAAGATTCATGCCCTCCCCTGAATTCCTGCCAGGAGGCTTCTTAACTGGTTCAAATTGTTACAAAGTTCAGCTGGAGGTTTCCTTCTCCCTGTGGCATTTTCCCTGCACCTCTGGCTGCCCTCCCAAAGGATTCCTGTGATGCTTGGCAGGAATGGCCTGCTTGGGGACTCAGTGAGCTCCCAGGGCCTTTCCCGCTGCTACCTCTACCCCTGTATTTTGCTTGGCCCTTCTTAAACTTCTGTAATGCAAAAGTGAGCTCTTTTGATGCTGTTCTATAAATCCCATAAGCTTTCTTCATTCATTTTCATAATTTTTTTCTTTGACTAGATATTTTTAAATAACCTGCCTTTGAATTCACAGGCTCTTTCTTCTGCTTAATTTGTCTGTTAATGCCTTTTACTTCCTTTTAAATTTCATTTGTTATATCCTTCAGTTTCAGAATTTCTAATTGGTTCCTTTTAATTATTTCAATCTCTCTGTTAAACTTCTCATTTTATTCATATATTGTTTTCCTGATGTCATTTTTTTTCTGTGTTCTCTTATAGTTGGATCAGCTTCCTTAAAACAATTATTTTGAATTCTTTGTCAGATGATGCATAGAGTCCTATTTCTTTGGGGTCAGTTACTGGACAATTATCACATTATTTTGTTGGTATTATGCTTCCTTCTTGTTGTTTTTCTGTTTTGTTTTGCCTTGCAATGATGTCTGCACATTTGATGGAGCAGTCACCTCTTCCAGCTTTTAAGTACTGGTTTCATTGGGGGAAAAAAGTCATCCTTTTTGGGTGAGTGTGAGAACATTGGGTGGAGTGTGGCAGTTCTAGGTCTAGTGAGGGTGCAGAGGCATAGCTGTCAGCTGAGGTTGACAATTGCCAATATTGCAGACGTCCTCAGTGGCCAAGGCTGTGGATGTCTACGGCAGCAGCAAGGGTTCTTAGGGTCTTTGATGGCAAAGGCTGCTGGGATCCTCCTGATTGCTTTTTCTACCACCAGGAACGTTATGGCCAAGGGGGTTTCTCTTGAACTGGGTCTGGCTGATAGGCGCATTCATGGTGATGTTGACATTGGTGTACGATGTATGGTACCAATGGAGTGGCCATGAAACCAGGGTCTGGGGCATGGGTACATATGGAGGGAACACAACTCCAGGGTCTGGGGCATGGATACATATGGAGGGAACACAACTCCAGGGTCTGGGGCAGCAGTTGTATAGGTTCTCAGGCATCGGCACTCCCACTGCCATGTTGGTAATGGCACACACACACACTTTTAAGAGATGCCATGTGGCCTGATTGTGTATGCCAGATACACACACACACACACACACACACAACATACATACACACATGTATACATATACACACACATTAAATTCTATTAACAGGTACAAACAATTTTGAAAACTGAGAACTAGTTATAGCTGTTAATATCCTATAGTTGATCTCATTTTTCTTCTTGGTTTCCTCTAGCCAAATACTAACGACAATGCATTCCAGAGGAGAACCAGTTCCTTCAGATTCCTTTGAAAAATATGTTATTTGTCGTATACTGTATTCTTTTAGAAGTGTGTAATGCTCAGTGTATGTTAAAAGCACTGATAAGTCCTACAGAAAAAAAAAGCCACCTTAAATTTGTTTAATCCTGTTTTTCCTAAATTTCCTTTTGGACCTTGAAATGTTTTTATCTAATTCTTGATAGTCTGCTTTGGAAACATTACTTTAGGAATCTGCAATGCTTTGCCAATGAAACCCCAACTGGAGTTTCAATTTGCCATTTTCCATAGAAATCTGGCACTGTCAGAAAGTGGTCTTACCCTCATTACCTGCATCCTCTATGTTGAGCAATTCCAGGAAGGGATGGCTGAGGGTCCTGGGGTTCCTCTGGGCAGTAGGGTTGGGTGCAGGCTTCCATCTGTGGCTAGCTTTGCCTCACAGGAAGCTTGCCTAACAATGCACCTTGCCTGGAGCTGTCTCCGTGTGTGTACCCCGGCATCTGTAACAATGCCACTTGGTGCCCAGCACAAAGTCATCTGGAAAAAGTGGAGTCAGTCACATTCCCATTAGAAAGTCTTCACAGATGTCACAATGTGAAATAACCACAGAAAATAAGATCAAGGGGGAAGTCTCATCCATACCAATTATATGAGAGAATAGCTGGAAGAAGCAATAAACTGCCATAGAACTAACTGCATAACAAGGACACAGGCTGGCCTTCCACAGCATTGCCTTCACATGCAGCTGCTTCAGACTATAGCCTCAGGGACCCTGCAGCTGGGGGCCTGTTTGTTGCCATGGTATGGAGAGGTTCTGTAAACATTCAAAGTAGGGTTACCAGATTTATCTAATGAAAATATAGGATGCCCAGTTAAATTTGCATTTCACATAAATAATGAAGCTTTTTTAGTATAAATGTGTCCCAAATACCATATGTCCCATTACTTTATGTCCCATATTTATGCTACAAAATATTTGTTGTGGATCTGAAAGGCAAATTTAACTGAGTAGTCTTTATTTTATCTGGCAATACTTCCTCAAAGCCTCAAAACCCATGTAGGGATTTAACTCTTTTCCTTCTCACTCTTACTACATTCTATCAAGGTAACAGCGGTCCTCAAACCCAAGCAGGGGTCAGAATCACCCAGAAAGCTACTGAAGCCACTGACCACTGGCCTAGCCACAGAATTTCTGATTTCGATGACCTGGTATAGGAACTGAGTATTTGCATTTGTAACAAGTCTCCAGGTGATGTTGATGCAGCTGGTTCAGGGACTGGAAGGTAACTGGAAGCCACACAGATGTTGACATTTATGTGAAAATACAATCCCTCCTTTGAGAACCACAACCTTATATCTTTTGCAGAGAATAAAAATCCCACTGGTTCCATCAGTACTCAACTCTCAGGTCTCTTGTCTACTTACTTTGAGACTAGAGGTAATTTACCTACACACAAAACCCCTGTAAAGAGGAGAGAAGACTAGCTTGAGTAGGTTGCTGTAAGGATGAATTGAAACATGAATTTGGGGGATAGGTGCCCTGTGTAGAGAGGAACACTGGGGAAACAGTGGTCGTTGGCATTGCCATTAGCTTCTTCATGGTTAATAGAGCACCTTCATATGGACCATTCCCAACACAGTGGTTCATACCTGTAATACCAGCATTTTGGAAGGCTGAGGTGGGAGGACAGCTTGAGGCCAGGAATTTAAGACCATCTTGGGCAACAAAGTGAGACCACCCCCATCTCTACAAAAAACAAAACAAAAATAACAACAACAAAAACAACAAAAACCCTGCTATTCAGGGGAGGCCGAAGTGGGAGGATCACTTGAGCCTGAGAGGTCGAGGCTGCAGTAAGCCATGATTGTGCCACTGTACTCCACCCTGGGCAACAGAGTGAGACCCTGGCTCAAAAAAGAAAAGTTTTTAAAAAATGATTCTGCTCCCGCAATGGGTGCAGAGGAACCAAATCTTAGCACAAGTAGCTTGTCCCAAAGCACATAGCACCAAGCAAAGGCCTAAGGTGACTTGCCAGGTTTTTAGACTTATACGTAACAAGACTTTATCATTTTATGGAGGCTCAGGCAAGCCAAAGAAATCATCATATATACATCATAAAAGTATGATGTTTAATTTTCTAATGCTCATTTTTTTTTGTAAAAAGAAAGAAACTGAATTTCCTGTTGTGTTTAGTGAGGTCATTAAGAATTTGAATCATTAAATCCTAGAGACTGGGTATAGCTGCCCATCTTTCAGCTGATTTGCCTTCAAATTCAACAATGTGCTCATTGCAGAAAATAGTCTGTACCACTTTGTCAGCCACTGCTGAGCTCCCCTAGGAGGAAATGCATGTTTTGGGCAACTGACAGGAGTCCTCCGCTGGGATTCATATTGTAAGTTTCTGGTCTTGGGTAAGAGTCTGGTTAGTTTGAGAGTCTCTGATCCTGTCAACATTGGGGTACTGAATTTGCACAGGTAGAGCTGGTTGTTCCGTGGGTCTTTGGCACTACGGGCAACCTGAATTAGGAGGTGATGTGTGCCAGCCTTCCTTAGCAGTTCCTATAGGTTTTATGGGGAACCCTTTGTCTCTTACTGGATCTCTTGAGGAGTAACCAGCCAAGAAATAAAAATATTAAGCACTGGGTCTCTTTTGACCATAGGGATGGAGTGCAAGTGGGAAAAGGCAGGGATATTAGGGGCTGAGAAGAGACTTTCCTGTCTTCCAGGAGTTCATGTGCCACTTGGGGAGAGAGTTGGCCAGGCAGACAGCTGTAAACCACGTCTAGAATCATAAAGGAGAAGACCCCTAGGGAGTCAGGAAGTGAAGGGGACTGAGGACAGTGCTCTTGGATCCAAGAGATAGAGCAGCATGGGCTCAGGGAGTACATCAAGACTCCATTTCTCTCCAAAAATGTTTTTCATAGATATGGTTGACTTGGAGGTCTGGGATCCTCCAGCTGGGGAAGCAAAGCTCTGGTCCTGTGCCTCATCTGCCATATTGTATCAGGGGTCTCTCCTTGGAAGATCTGGGGAGGCTTGTGGCTGCCAGTGTTCATGGTGGGGCGTTCTCTTCACCACCTCCCCACCAAGGGTGCAGACCCTTTATGAAATCCATCCAGTAGCTCCAAAGCACCCTATCTTTCCATGGAAGCTGCAAGATGGTGACCTGACTCTGAGCTCAAGCTCAAGGGTAAGTCTCTGTGTGCAAGAGAATGATCTACCTTCCTTAACCAGGAAGCCCTATACACCTTGCTTCTCAAACTGAGTATGCAAAAGGAAACAGATTTTTCTGGAGACTCTCTGGCTTATTTTTTATTTAATTTTATATTCCTTCACCAGAAAGGTCTGAGAGCTTATTGTCTTTCCAGATTGTTACATCAGCAACTCTCTCATGTGTCTGGACAGTAATTGGCACATGGCATCACTTTCATATCAATACCAACAACTGTGTGGCTTCCACTTACCTGACAGGGTTCTGAAACAAGCTGCTATGTGCAACGGTCATTCAGCAGTGGGATTCCACAGATGGCTAGAAGTGATTTTAGAAACAGGATAATGTTTAGAAAATGAGAGTCCAGCATAAGATTTTATCATGAGAGCACTTCAGAGCCAAACCACCTATGAGTCGTTAACTCACCTTCATATGGTGTAACCTGTGCTGTTTAATTTCTGGAGGGCTAATTTGGTTCAAGATAGACCACTCTCCTATTGCCTACATCAAGAAAATTAGAGGGTCCACCATGGTGAGCTGAACAGAAATGTTCAAGTTTAAACCCTGAGAACCGTGATGGAATTACTCTAACGGCCGGCGGCAGAGACCTAGTGACTTTGGAATTGCATAATGCACAGCCTTGTGATCTTAGAATTCACACATGTTGGGGGTTCCCTTAAACACAACCCATTTCCATTCTTTGTGAAGGTCCAATCTTTAGTAGGAGATTCAGGAAGGTAGAGACTTGACGTCTATACTCCAGGCTGGCTTATTGACTCCCTGCTGAATTCTCTCCAACGGGTATCTCTTGGTTTTGGTGTTTCTAAGATAGGGGAAGCAAATGTCTAAAACATCCTTCAAAGTGCTCGGGGTGACTTCAGAAAATAGGCTTCTGGAAAGCATTGTCCTAATAAATCGTGTGAACTTGATTATCATTTAGATTACCTCTTCAGTAGGGAAAATGAAGTTTGCAATCAGAGCTGTAGATAAGGGCTCTGCATGGAGGAAAAACAGCCCAGCTCCAAAAACAACGAATCATGCTGGTGGCAGGGTGATCTTTGCTGCCTTCTGGTGACACTGTCAACTGTCTGAATATTGAGGCCACTTGTCCTTGTGTATGTGTGTGCACAGAGGTGATATGAGGATTACAATAAACACCCACATGTGTTTATAGAGATTAATGGGATGTCTGGGCTTTGACCTTACCTGAGTAGTTCTCAGAAGCACTGAAATCTTGGTACCTGGTTGTTTGCTGACTTTGACACAGGCAAGGGCTTGAGGAAGTCTGGCCTTACCAAGTTAAATTAGCAATAGACACTGTAGTTTGGATCCAATAATGAGGCAGATGCAAGACTTTTTGGGGAAAAAAGTATTTTCCAGAAATATAGAAATAGGCAATTTACCTTAGTAATTTTACTGGGGGAAAACACCACCTCTATTTGAATGATAATTCGAGGTAAACACAACTGTAGTCTCTTCCCTCCATATCAGGGAATTAGAACACATGAAACTTCAAGGAAAATCTGTAAGAGACCCATAAGCAAGCTGAAAATGGTTCTCACCTGCCACTTTAATTTTATACAGGCAGAATTTCCATTAAGAGTAATTTTATAGATAGGATTTCTCTGTTTTGTTTTGTTTTGTTTTCGTTTTGTTTTGTTTTGTTTTCAAACAAAGCTCATGCAGGTTGGTTTTGCATTCCATGAAGTGAAATCCCTGTGGGTCATGCTGTACATATCCTGAAGGCAATTGCGCCAGGCCGGGGAAGATGGTGGCGTGCAGGTAGTCATGAGAGTCTTCTACCCTGTACAGGAAGAAACTGAGTTGTGGGACCAGGAGAGATGAATCAAGGATGACTCATCTCTTGCTGCAGGCAGGTCTATGTGACCCTGGGCTGCCGTTTCACCCACCCCTACCAACCACAGGCTATTGGGGTATGTCTCTCTCTACTTCATGACCCAGCTCAGCTGTCTCCTGTTATGGAGTTTTCCCAGATGCCCTTCTTCCCTGGTGGACCTGACCACTCCCTCCTGATGTCTCCCCTCACCATGTGCAGACTTTGCTCTTGGCATCTAAAGGCCTTATTTACCTCATTCTCATCCTGGGCTCTGAGCTCTTAGTTTTATTTATCTTCATGTCCCTATCGCTTAGCACCAAGGAGATAAAAACTTTACAATTGTCAAATGAATGGGTTTGCTTAAACCCAAAGCCTGGGAGTCATCCTTGATTCATCTCTCCTGGCCCTTACAACTCAGTTTCTACCTGTACAGGGTAGAAGAGTCCCATGGCTACCTGCACGCTGCCATCTTTCCCCACCTGGCTGCAATTGCCTGACCTATCTCACTGCTGCCATTTTTGCATCTCCTCCACCCAGTTCATGTTCTGAAGAGCCACTGTGGTCATCTTTTAGCAATAAAAATCAGATCTCATGTTTAAAACTCCACATGGCTCTCCAACTCTCTTACTCTGAAGGCAACTCCTTAACAGGATTGCAAAGCTCCTTAAATAGGTTTGCAAAGGCCAACGTGGGTGGTTTCCTATTCTAGGGCATGTTGGAGTCATCTGGAGACTTTGGTTGAGATTCCAATGCCAACACACAGGAATCTTTGCCAAAATCCCCAGGCAGCTGTAAGGCATCACCTGGGTGGAGAACCAAAGTAATCTTCGCTCTCGCCTCTGCACCCTCCCTCCCCGCACAGCCACGATGACCCACTTTCAGTTCTTACTGCAGAAGCTCACTGTGCCCTTCTCCCAGATCCTCCCACAGTTGGCTCTTTGGTCATTCGGGTCTTGGTTTAAATATCTCCTCCCCTGCGGGGACTTCTTGCCTCTCCATTCCCCCTTTGACACATGGTGGCATTTCATTTTCACCAGAGCATTTGCCGGATACTTTAGCTGGTTTTTGACTTGTCCAGCTTCTCCCAAAATAAATGAAATCTCATGAAGGGACGGTCTTATCTGTTATTTTTGTTTCTGAGCATCCCCTACCAACATAACTGCTCGTTAAATGTAGAAGGAAGGAGAAAGGCATATCTAAGAAATGAATTTTGGATTGGTCTCATGGGAAATGGAGGAGTTCTTGGTCAGGGCTCCCAAAACACAATTTCTGCAACCACGAGCCACTTTCTCTCTCAAAGTGCCCAAAGCTGCTCCAGTGAGTTGTGTTCCTCTCACTCAAGTGAGGTTGGGAGCTGTTTGCAATGCACTTGCTCTATTTCAAACCACTTCCTCATGTCTCTTTCCTCCAGGCTAGGAAAGACCCTGCTATTTATCAGATGAGCTTGGGAACCATTAGGAAAACTCAAAGTCAGAAGCAATCAACCTGCAAATACTTCCCCGGGGGTATGGGTTGAGGTCACCAGCAGGGGAAGCCCCCTTGGACACAGTCCTGCTTGTTTTGCACCTAACATGGGCTGCTGGGCCCAGAATCAAAAGTTCTGTGTGGCACAGCAGGCTGAGCCGAGTTGAGGAAACACAAGAGTGGAGGTGTCAGAGAGCTCACATTTGCTGTTGTTTCCTCTTGGGAATCAAACCCAAGCTTAATTGTGGTATCAGGTGCTCTAAAGAAACAAACTGAAAAAAAAAGAAAGAAAAGAAAATCTAACTTCCCAGAGTAGACCACAAACAGTTGAACCAAGATGATCAAAATCTTACAAAGGGTATTGGTAATGTTTTTAATCTCCTCAGGACACCGTCTGTCTACCCTGGCCTCACCCTAATCTTGAGTAGCCCATGAGGATTGCTGAGCTGGACTTGAATCTAATTCTTTGTACAAGGTTTCTTTTCCCTAAGTGGAATAAGTGACTGTCAAGAGTCACATATTTGCTTGAGCAAGGGCCTGACTGATGGAAGCTGACATTTCCTTTTTTCTTGGAAATGCCATTGGGATGTTTCT
The DNA here is from genome assembly GCF_000001405.40 of Homo sapiens. NCBI lineage: Eukaryota > Metazoa > Chordata > Mammalia > Primates > Hominidae > Homo > Homo sapiens. The sequence goes on along the minus strand of NC_000010.11, from coordinate 126,431,484 downwards.
GTGGCCCTTGGCTCTGACCTGGTGCTGCCTGGAGCAGGGACCGCTGGATACTGGGAAGCATCTTGGCCCATTGCAGTCTCCATGGTGATGTTGTTTTCTCACTGCTCCTTCTTACAAATTGCTCTAGGGAAAGCTGGGAGATTTCCTTGTCCTTAGAGGCCTCATACCTAGTGTAGGGATTTTTCTATGAGAGGAGTGACCTTGCACCCTGGCACTTCTCTCCAGAAGACCATGATTCTGTTGCTAAAAAGAAGCATTCAAAGGCATTGTTCTCCATAAAGTAAGTTAAGTGCTAACACTGTACTTCACACCCTTATTTAATTTGTCAAGATTAACCTTGTTTTTGGTCAGTTGTCAATACAGCCACTTAGTTGGAAATATTCCAATTTCTTTTTCTTGTTTCTCCTTTCAATCTTGTCTTTGAAGTTAAGCGATGGTGCCATATTCTTTTTCATGTCTGAATAACCAGACAGGGGACAAGCTTAGCCACTCTGTTGTTTTCCATATTATAAGTCAGTAGCTGTGTTATGTTTCTCCAGAGAGGAAGAAATTTCTTAGGATCCTTGGCTCTATCCTACCTTCTTAGATATTCCTAGAAAATTCTGTCTATTCTCAAGCCTGAGAAATATTTGGTTGCTCCACTGGATTGATGAGCAAAGGGACAGGCCTGGGTTGGAGGAGATGAATAGAAACAGACCCAGGACTTCACTGGGGATCGCAGGAGCCCCACTCCAACTCTGATGCTTGGCAAGGAGCCAAGTTGCCTGTCTGCTTCTGCTGAATGAGCAGGTTACTGCCCAGGTGTTTTAGGAAGCACGGCAGTTGCTGAAACACACCCCCATGCAACAAGCACCCCAGGAGCATTTACATATGCCAGACCCTTTATTAATCTACATGGCCAAGTGTCTCATGGGAATTTGAGTTATTGGAACAGTCCCTTTTCAACTTTTGCAAGAGGATATACACTGTTTTTTTTAACACACACCACTTTTAAGTGTGCCATCTGTGAACATCATTATGAATATGTACTTAGAATGAAAAAGTCCCAGTCTCATAGTGATTTTTAGCTACTGTGTACTTAATCAAAGGATACTGAGCATACATGATTATTATGTTGTTGTTCATTACCTTTCCCCACATTAGGAAGGGGGCAAGGTGGTCTTTATCGTGCAGAGGCTGAGCAGCCCTATAGAGGGCTATAGACAAGAGTGAAACCTCCTTCTTGCAAAATGCTCTAGGGATAGGTGGGGGATTTCCTTGTCCTTAGAGGCCTCACAGACCTAGTGTAGGGATTTCTCTATGGGTGGAATGAGCTTGCACTCTGGCACTTTTCTCAGAAAACCATGACTCTGTTGCTAAAGGAAGCATTCAAAGGTGTTGCTCTCCATAAAGTAGGTTAGATGCTAACATTGTACTTCACGTCCTTATTTAACTATTGTCAAGACCAAACCCGTTGTTGGCCATTGTCAATACAACCACTTATGGTGTATCAGTCTCTACTGAGTTCTGCTTAGACTCAGGATATGGCTTAGAATAAGGATCAATTAACGGATTATGAACTAATCACAATGTTTCTCTAGAAATGTGTGAGATTCTATGCCTTCTGAACTTAATTCTCTTTCTATTTTTTCCAGATAACTTGTTCAAACCCAAAGAACGGTGCATTTCAGAGAAGGAGATGCATATGCGATCTAAGAGGTACTTGGTTATTGTATGGTGTGCAAAGAAGTTGGTGGGGGGAGTAGGGTGGTTTGATGGCTTCAGGTGCCCTCCAATGGGACCACTGCTTCTAGGTCCATGTTTAAGGTCTGAGGTCTTTTTGGCTGCAAATCTGAAAAAACGGCTAAAATAAGTACGGTAGTTGAAATGTGCTTTTGAATGTTAATGCTGCTCTTGGAAAAACCTTAGGAAAGTGGTAGGTCTTGGATTCTGAACCAATCCAGTAATTGGTCTCTAAGAGATTCCCAGACTCTGAGCTGGAACTCCTGCATATTAGTATTGTTGCTCTGGGCAGGAGCTATTTGTCACTGCACCTTTGAAGGTAACTTTATGAGGAGGAGAGAAACTATTTCTCCTAAGGGTCTGGACTGTGGCAGGGACTGAAGGAAAGGATCCAACCTTGGAGGCAGATGGCACCTGGGAGCCAGTGGAGCCTCAGTGGGGCCGTGAGCTAGGTTTCCTGGTACTCTGTCTCCAGCAGACCTGGCGGCCATGCTGCCAACACATCCTCCTTATTCTGCTTGGCTGGTGGCTGTTCAAGACTCCCACTAATTCTCACCAATCTGATGCACACAAAGGCTGCCATTCTTTCTGAGATCTGGCCTCTTAACCAAAATATAATAGCTCAGCAGCATTGGCCAAGTTCATGCAAGTAAAATGTCATTAGTTTATAATAAAGTGTCTAGCACAGGGAGGAATTATCATAATTAAATCAAATTGATAGCGCACTTAAAGAAACCATTGAAATAGGGAGAATACTTTTCTCCCCACTTCAGGCATACAATTTCTGCTTTTACTATGATTATATTGTTTCCATGGTGATTAGGTAACTTTGATCATTTATTGGAGGCCTCTTTGTAAATAAGGAAGCGAAAATGAGGAAAAGGGAGACCGTCCCATTAAAGACCTGATTCGTAGCATTCTAATTGGAGTTTTTAAAGGGCCACTGGGCTTTAAGACTTGCTATTTCAGAAGTGCAAAGTTGCATATACCTCATGCCAGAACCATTCCCTTTTCAATTTACTGAAAAATTTCAGCCAAATCCTCCCCTCCCAGTCCCCAAACCCAAAGCCACCATTACGGAGCCTTGCAAACTAAGCAATTAAAATAATAGATCTCAAAGCAGCGTGAGTAGTCAGAGAGTATTGCCCTATCATTTTACTGAAGAGGAAACTGAGGCTCAAAGAGGACGAGTGAGCTAGGTGATGTTGCACCTCAAGTAACTGGCTTCCCCCAGCTGGTCTCCTCTGGTGGATTTAGCAGCTGGGTTTGCACTCTGCTCTGTGGATTGTACTTTGGGTGGGCTCTGACTCTGGCTCACCCACAGAATCACCTGGAGCTTTCTTTTCTTTGTATTCTTTGCTATTAATTATATCGTTAAATTACATTTTTATGTTAAAAATGCAAACAATGGAGATAAAGCTAAAGTCTCTTCATGACCAGCAGTTCCCCTCCCTGTTCCCAGCCCACTTTCCCTACCCCAGTCCCAGCTCCCCAGACACCCACAGTGATATCTCCTGAGTATCCTGTCAGGCCTTTCTCTTTGCCTTAAAGTAGACTTTTATTTGTGCATATATAGCTATGTGATTTTTAACCATGAATGGTATCATACTACACACTATCTCTCGGTAGCTTGCTTTTCACTTTATGTCTGTGAGCCCCTTCTGTGACGAATAGATAGATTATTTTCTTTGTCGGTTTTGACTGTCTGCAGAGTGGTCCATCGTATAGATGGACCATGATTTATTTGGGATGTTCTTTTAAGAAAACACTGAATCAGAAGTAACAGAGGTGGGACCTAGGAGCCTTTATTTTATACTTCCCAGGTATATTAGTTACGGTTCCCCAGAGGGACAGAACTAATAGGATATATGTATATAAAAGGGAGTTTATTCGGGAGAATTGACTCACACAATCACAAGGCAAAGTCCCATGATACGCAAGCTGGGGAAGAGAGAAGCCAGTAGTGGCTCAGTCCAAGTCAAAAGCCTTAAAACCAGAGAAACCAACAGCATAGGCTTCAGTCTGTGGCTGAAGGCCTGAGAGCCCCCGGTGCAAGCCCAAGAGTCCAGAGGCCGAAGAATCTGGAGTCTGATGTCCAACGGCAGGAGGGGCGGGAGGAGGAGCATCTAGCATGGAAAAAGAAGGAAGCCAGAAGACACAGCAAGCAAGGTTATCCTGCCTTCTTCCTCCTGCTTTATTCCAGCCACGCTGGCAGCTGATTAGATGGTGCCCACCCACACTGAATGTAGGTCTTCCTCTTCCAGTGCACCAACTGAAATGCCAATCTCCTCTGGCAACACCCTCACAGACACACCCAGAAATAAGACTTTATCAGCCATCCAGGCATCCTTCAATTCAATCAAGTTGACACCTAATATTAACCACTCTGCCAGCTGATTGAGATGGTCAGTATCAGAAAGATCAGTCTATATGGATCTGAGGAAATTCCCACTGCAGAGCTTTGAGACATGCCTACTTTCTAACTGACTCCTTTATAGTTTTCTCTCCTAGTCCTTCCTAGAATCACTCCTGAATGTGGCAATTATGTGTTCTTTTCTTCATGCATTCATTCAACCCATCTTGATGCCTACAGAGTGCTAGGCACTGTACTAGGCACAAGCATTTCCCGGATCTCACAAGTAGCTTGATGCCATATTATGGTTGGGTGACAGTGTTGTCTAGAAAGAGTCAAACAGACCAAGGTTTGAATCCCAGCCTAGGGGCTTTATACAAGTCTCCTAATCTTACTGGGGCTTGGGTTTCTCATTTATATAACAGTGGGACACGATATGCCTCTTCCAACTGTGGTGAATATGAAATGAAATAATTCATGTCAAGTAATTCAAGCCTAGTGTCCAATACCTAAGATGTCTCCTGCGAAGATTGTCATCATGATTTTTTCTACATTGTCCTTATTATTTTAATGGTGGAACATCTTCACTATATCATATCTGGCTTTCAAACACGAGAGAGAGAAAGATGTTTTAGCTGAGTGCCACACGTACAGCAATCCAAATACTCAGGCTACAGTGACTCCACTGTGTCAGTGGATTATAATGAAATATTAACTGGCATCAGTCCATGAAGTTGCTGTTAGAAAGTAGGAAAGAAGTGTCCAGAGGAAGATCCCCTGGGCCCTTAATTCAAAGTGCAATAGGTTGAGAGGTAAAAACACACACACTTATATGTGTTTTATTACAGTATTATAAGTCCTGCTATTTCTATTTATATGCTGTTCCTTTTCTAAGTCACAGGAAGGCAAACATTGAGTGGTAAGAAGGTATTTGGAAACAAGTTTACAATCAGAATGCTAAAGCAGTAGGTTTAGAATCCTTCATTTTACGATTAAGTCATTAATTATCATAGAGAATGGAAGGACAAAAACAATGACTTCTAAATAAGCAACTGGCCTCTCCAGCTTTGCCCCTGGTGGGACTCTGCCTGTTGCATTGCCCCACGTAGCACTGGACAAGGTGCCATCCCCTGCTATGCAGCAGGTTCTGGGTATGGTCAGGAAAGCCCTTCGTCCTGGCATCCTACAGTTGTGAGCTAGCCCATAAGCAGCGATCTTCTCTTTGAAATGTAAGAGCCTGCCGTCAAGACAGGATGCAGCCCCACAGCGGGAGCACGCTGTCAAGCTACCATTCCAAATGTTTTCCGAATCTGTTTCAGAATCTATGATAACTTGCCGGAAGTTAAAAAGAAAAAAGAAGAACAAAGGAAAAGGGTGATCTTACAAAGTAACAGACTCCGTGCCGAAGTCTTCAAAAAGGTAATGGCCTCGTCACCAGCAGGTGTGATGTGTGTGGTGCACAGATGCCGAATCTCAACTTGACATCTTTGTTTCCCTTTTCCTCTAGCAATTACTGGACCAGCTCCTTCAAAGGAATGCGGTCTAACCACAGGCTGCCCTGCTGACCACACTACCTGGACCTGGGAGGACTTCGAATGCTGGATAAGCCATTAAACTTAGCATTATCTTCATCATGGGAAAACACTTATTTTACTTTCGATTTTTTTTTTCCATAAAGGAAAACATCACTTCCTGAATTACTGACCCAAGCCAAACAGAAACAATAACCCTCGAGAAAATAGGTCAACAATCTGTTGTGGGGAAACCACCTCCATGTAACCCACTGGATACAGTCCCCTTAATGTTTTTGCTTCTAAATTGTACCTTTTGCTTCTGATTTCTTCTCCCCTGCTGTTTCCTGCCCATCAGAGAGGCCTGATACAAGCAAGTTTGTTTACATCCCTGGGGAATCTTTTACATCAAACTTTTGGGATCCAAATCCATCTCCTTTTAAATTTCAATCTCAGCACCTGCCAGTTATGCAAATGCCAAAATGTGGGTCATCATATAGTATATTTGAAACCTTTCTGAACATGTACACCACCCAATGCTAGAGGCTGACTTGGAAACCGGTGGGTGCAATGCCCGAGGCTGTGGAACAATCAGCCCATCTCTTTGTGACCTGGAGCAGTCAGAGGGCCCTCAGTCACCCCGCCCCATTCCTCACCAGAGAAAAGAATCCATTTCTATGGAAGCTCTGACGTAACTTCAGTGTTTTCTACAATACTCCTCCTGCCCCGCCCCATTAAAACAGTTCTTTTGTTAAGAAATAGCCTAATGGTCCAACTTTGCTGTCTGTTCTTCCAAATGTTTATAATACACATTATTTATAAATATGTCTGTTTGGGAAGCTAAGAACAAGCTAGTTTTTACAACACAAATGGAAATAAATGCAATTATTATAAAAATTCAAGTATTTCTCTGTTATATATTCTGTTATGAAGTAGGTGGCCAGGATAGATAACATAAGGTATAAAATGCTGCCCAAGACCCAGCAGGCACCACTGACCTGCTCCGCATCCTCTTCTGCCTCTGACCATCATGGAAGTACTTGTGCTTCTAGATGCTCCAGTGGATAATGTTGCCTCCTAGAGAGCTGGTAAGAGAAAAGCTGGTAAAACCATTGAGAACAAGATTTAGGATCCTGCAGACTCTAAATCTTACTAGGATTCTCCCTGGGAATGAAACAAAAGGTTTAGGGATGAAGCAGGAGCTTGGTGATACCTCTGTCCCTTCCCTGAAGTTGTCACCCTTCCTTCCCTCCTCCCGCTGCTGTACATACTGTCCCCTCTTTCTGAAATGCCTTTCTTTTACATATCTGCTGCAAACTGTTTAAAACTCTACCCTGGGGTTCTCTCCTGACACGTGCCCTCTCTGCCTTGCCCTCCAGTATGAATTAGAGATCTCACATCAGCACACACGGCATCAGACCTGTGCCCTCCTGCCCACGCGAGGGTCTGGCAACACTGTCAAGCGTGGAAGCTGCCTGGTGTCCAGTATTGATTGCTGCTCCCTGGTCTGTGCCCTCAGGCAAGAGTGTCAGTCTGGGTCCAACTAGGAGAGAGAAACCACACAGTCATTTGAATGGAAATGTTTAATATGTTTAATCATTAACCTTAATAGCAGATTAGAGTAGCAAAAGGTTGGCTAGTAAGTTGTAAAGATAGCCCTGAAGAATATAGGTGGGTACAGCAGATGCAAGGAGTCCTAGGAAGAGTCTTCCTCCTAGCCCTGGGCTGAGAGGGAACCACAGTGTCTCGGCAGGTGGTGGAGAAGTTTCTGTGGTGGTGTGCCAATGGAACTTGTTGAGAATCTACAAGTCTTTCTGGAACTTGCCAGAGATCTGCCCTCTAGGATCCACAGAGAACTGTCTCCTTGGTGACACTGCTAAAATACCACCTCAGGGAGGGGGCTGGGGAAGCAGCTGGCCATGAGTGCTGCTGGTCACATGCTACCTGCAGGGCCTGGTGCTGGAGCTGGCTGAGCAAATGCACTGTCTCTGGGAAGCAGCACCCTTTTCTCCTGCAGTTTCTCTCTAGCTCTCTCTACTGACAAAGCCTAACATTGTATCAGCTGGCAAAGGGAAAATACTTAAAGGGCCTGGATCCATTTTAACAGAGCAGGCAAAAAGGGTGAATTTGGAGGTGAGAGAGAATATAATCAATATCTGGCACAGCGAGTTATTTAACCTTGCCTTTGTTTCCTTAACCACAAAATGCAGATAATTATAGTGCTCCCTTCATAGGGTTGTTAGTGGAATTGAATAAGCCAGTGAGTGTTGAATGCTTAGAATAATGACTAGCCTAAATTAAACACACCATGAGTGTTTCCTATTCTAAGCAGAGGTGGAAGTTAGGACTGTCTTGGGAAACCTAAGAGCACAGGGGCTGTGAGTTGGTCCTCCTGTAATCCCTCAGCTCTGTAGTGAGTGCTACACAAGACCATTGAACTCATGGGTGCTGGTACAGCAAAAATCAGCCAACATAAATAAGGTGCTTCATAAACTCCTTCCTTTTATGTGCTTCTCACGCTCAGAAACCATTTCAGCAGGGTGACAAGCTTACCTTCAGGTTAATTTCTGCTTTCTTGAACTCATTAGACCTCTTCCAGGATGTTACACTGAATTTCTGTTTACACTTTAAGTGATTTTTTAGAAAACATTTAAATCAAATCTATGATATTAGTTAAGGACAGTCTTTCCCAGATAAAGATCCTGCACATGGCTATGTATGGTGGCTTATGCCTGTAATCTCAGCACTTTGGGAGGCTGAGATGGAAGGATCACTTGAGCCCAGGAGTTCAAGACTGGCCTGGCAACATGATGAAACCCTGTCTCTACAAAAAATGCAAAAATTCATCAGGCTAATGTTTTAATTTTCTGTAATCAATCATTTAAACTCAGGGCCCAACCACTTCTAGACTGTTCTATGACATTTTTTAGATTTATGTTGGCTGATATTTAAAGAGAGAATGCTTAGATGGAGCCAACCTTCAAAAATGCCCACAAAGAGCCTCATACCCTTTGCAAATCCAATGCCCAGCCTTAAAAATCTAAAGAATAAATAAACATCAGCTTGAGAGGAAATGCCTCTGAGTCATGTATTTCTGAGAACAGGTCTTAACTAAGGTGGCTAGGATGGAGAATTAAGGTAGGAATATGTGATAGCTGGTGTGAGCTGGTCTTTCCTCTGGGCAGCAGGCTCAGGACAAGGCTGGAAACTAAGGTTTGGGTTTCTGTTTAACTAACTTTTTTTTCTTGGCCTGTTAATGTTGTAACCGTCCTTCAATGCTGAGAAAAGAATTCAGAGAGCCAGTATTTCTTTTCTGTTATGAAATATGTTAGCAGAAATATAATGTAATTATGTTATAATTCATATGAAAGTAAAGCCCTGAAGAATTGTAACTGCTGTCCCTTATATTTCTCTCAGGAATTGGTTACCCATTTTTTGAATTCTGTTATTAAAATCAGACTTCAGGGAATACTTTGAGGTTTTGGAAAATTCTAAATAGAATTTACCGTTGTAACTTCAATCATTAAATTCTGTTCTGGAATAGATTTATTTACATCTGAGTGTGTTTCGGTTCTGGTCTAAAACAATTCTTCAATGATACAGCTGGCAGCAAGGGGTAAAGATTGTTAGAGGATATTCATGAGCTTAGACCAAGCAACATCTGAAATAACTTGAGGTATCCAGGTGGCGACAGCACCGGGCCATCTCACTGCGGTCTCCATGACTTCATGTCGAAGGAGCAATTCCTATTTTGGTTGTTCTCTCTGCCGGCCGGTAATGAAATAATGGAAAAACAATTGCCTTGGTTTTGTTAGCCAGTGTCTATTGCCAACCAAACTTCCTGGAAGTTTGTGGGCTCCCTGAGTGAGTCAGCAAATGCTTGCTCCGATGTAACAGGGCTCTTTGAATGAACTATTTCTGAAACAGCCAATTGTGGGAGAGCAGTTGAGACTTTGATGTCTGAGGTTCTCCCATTTCAACACTTGGTATAAAAATTGCAGGCAAGGGGCCTGGTCTCTGACTGCATCAAATGACCAACGGTCTGAGTATGAGGCACATCAGGGGCAGAACCAGAGAAGAGAAAGTACGGTGATGTGGCTGCCCAACAGGAGGTATCTGACGGTGTGTGAGAGCTCTGGGTTCAGGAAATAACACACAAAAAAGATCCACTGTGGGTCTGTGTGAGTGTGTCTGCATGAGCATTAAAAGCAAAGGAAATAATCTGTTCAGTGATTACAATGAGCCCAGTAGCAGAGGGTTCTACGTTATAGAGTTCATTGAATTTGTGCTTTTATCAATACTTGATAATTACTCACGAATGTCTAGGTCTAATAGAAACCTTTTGGAAGTGGCTTCCACTGGCTGAAGCAGCCCGCACCCGGGACTGAATGGCTTTGGAAATCCCCCCAGCCTTCTCCTGAGTGTCCCCTGCTGATGGGACATTTCCCCACTCAGGCAGGAGAGCAGGCTGCCTGGGAGACCCTTGAGATTCCATCAGATCCCCCCTTTCTCCCCACAGTCGCTTCTTGTTTGGGAGTGGGGGACTCCTCTACTCACGCAGATGTTTCAGCCACATGGAATGGAGCCACGACTTTGGCATGTCACTTCCAAAATTCAAGGATTTTTTTCAAGTCGGGTCAATTGCCTCAGGCACAGTTTTGATCCTGAGACCCCAAGAGACGGTCTGAGGTAATTGCCTGGAGTGTGTGTTGGGCAGGGGGTTTGAAATCCTTCCACTTTTTTATCCTTCTCTGAGAAGGTTTCCGCATACACATTCTGGATGCTGCCGTGGCCTGCCAGAATGCAGCCAGAAACATGACGTCAACCTGTGGCCCTTTTCTCAGATCTTCGCGCATCAGGAACTTGAAGAGCGGGGAGGGAAGGAAGAGACTGGACTTGCCTTTAGAATCTTAAAAAATGCCGGGTTATTCTTATCAAAGCTTAAAAGGAAAGAAAAAGCAGCTTATGATCTGAATAGCTGCTGAGAAAAAAAAAATGAATTTCTTTAAATCATTTTTGTTAAATAGCACCAAGAGTGAATGGCATAGGAAAAAATGTCCTTTTGATGACTTTCTGAGCATTCTTCTTCTGTTTAAACATCTCTACTTTCCCGACATGCCTGAAATGGTACAACAGCTGTAACTGACATCAGGGAAAAGATATTACAACTGTCACCTGTGTTAACTCCATACGCTGGGTAATATCCTTTCATCAAAGCCAACGGGGCTGCCTGCTTTACCTGCCCAGTGATGTCAGTGAGAGGGAAATTATAAATCTTTTCACAGCTGCTGATTGATAAAGAAATAAACCCACACTTTTGTGTTATATCCACTATAGTTCCTCTTGGCTGATGTTATCACACAGGTACCAAAGAAATTAGTGATGACAGCCCACTTAACGGGTACACGTTGCCAAATATGTGCTTAACATTAAAAGCTACTGAGTGCATATACAGAAGTTTTGTGTTTGTTTTTGTTTAAAAATATACCCAAAGGCGAGTAAGGCCAGATTTAATTATTATATGCTGACATAATTAAAATACCCGGTCTTGCTGTCTCAGCTGAAATGTTTATTACATCAAAATGACAGAATAATTCAAAATATTTGTCTGTTATTTTTTTTTTTTTTTTGGTAGCATGTGACATTGTATTAACAAGGCTGAGCTTAGCTCTTTACAATGGAAAACAGATGTTTGTTCATGGATTAAACTGAGGTGTGTGGACACCAATATTTCTAGATGGCGGTATTGATTCAGGTGGATGATGATTGTTTCCATTGAAGCATTTCTTCCTGATTAGGGTGTTTCAACCCTAATTCTCAATTAGCAGTTTTTTAATATTCCCCCTCCTCCCACCCCCTCAACACAGGAAGTGTTTTCTGATCGGTTGGTGAACAACCTCTAAACAGGGACAAGAACCTGAGCAGAAAACTGCTGAACCCAGAGTGCATTCTGAACATTTCTCAAAATAATAGCTTACATTTGTTTTTTTCTGAGCGCTAACCAAGTGACACTCACTTGTCATCCATTTATGTGTTCCCGCTGGGTCACAGCAGCCTCAACTAATGCAAATCAATTGTTGCCTCTGTATATCCCATTCCCGACCTGGCCCTTTTAGGAGCTTCCACCTTACTGCTAACTGGGGACAGCAAGTTAGTATCTTGTCTCTTCTGAATCCTTTCGGAAGTGTTGTCACTGGGTAAAGCAGCCCGCACATGGGACTGAATCACTTTGGAACCCCCCCTCAGCCTTCTCTTGAATCATACAGTTCCATTTCATGTACAGGTCCCATCAGTTTGAAATGAAGCCCTGCCTAGGCTCACACTTGGCCTTTCTGAGTTCTGCCACCACCACCTCCTTCCCAAGCTTGCGGCTAGCTTCATAATGTGGCTTCCTGGGGAGAGGACCAGTGGGACAGAGTCTCAGCTCTGTGTCCAGGGTCCTTGGGTAGCAATGGAATTGCTATGCACTGAATGTTTGTGTTTATACGTTGAAGCTCTAATCCCCAGAGTGACTGTCTATATTTGGAGATGGGGCCTCTAATAAAGTAATTAAGGTTAAATGAAGTCATAGGGTGGGGCCCTGATCTGATGGAATTAGTGTCCTTATTAGAAAAGACTCCAGAGCCTTCTCTGTCTCTGCCTCTGCCTCTGTCTCTGTCTATGCCTCCGCCTCTGTCTCTGTCTCTGCCTCTGCCTCTCCCTGAGAACATACAAGGAAGAGCACACAGTGAGATGATAGCAGCCTACAAGCCAAGAGAAGAGACCTCAGAATGAAACCTACTCTTCCAGCACCTTGATCTTGGACATCTCAACCTCCAGAACTGTGAGAAATCCATTTCTGTTGTTTGAGCCACTCAGCTGTGGGTATTTCGTTATGGTACCTCAAGTCAACTAACATGGGACCCTTGCTGTCCTCAGTGGTGACAGGGTCCCTTGCCCATTCTACTGGCATCTGCTACTCAAGTCTACAGCAGGGAAACTCTCAGCTTGCTGACTGTGCTCCACCTTTGCACTCACAGGGACTATGTGTTCCCCTGAGGCCGGTTGTGGCTCCCATAGACCCAAGGCTCTGTGGTCTACTTTGCAGCCCTGGGCTGCAGGAGGACTCTACTGATGCTGGCACAATTCTGGGCAAGTTAGGCAACCAGTACCATCAACTACCTTCCCCATCTGCCCCTGTGGTCTACAGGAGCTTCCTGACACCTTCCTGCATGCGCCTTCCTGCATGGAAGGACATGGAAACCTGCTGGAGGACCAAGCTGGTGGAGGTGGATTTCTCCCCAAGTCATATCCTGAATTCTCTCTGCCCTGGGCATATTGGGCCTCTGGGACCTAGGCCTATAGGCGTAGCTCTTGAAATGCTCATGGAACTCCAGAAAATTACTCCCCACTCCCCCACAAGGCCTGGTTTTCAAGACAACTGTGTCATGAAAGATGTTAAGAGACTAGGTTTTAGGGCTTGATGGCCCCTTTTTTATTTTGTGAGATTTCTCCATTACTTTATTTTCTAAGGGAAAAAGTCCCCTGGCTAATGAACAGATGTTCCCTATGCATTTAAAACTCATGCCCAATCCACACTTATTATTCTCAGGAGGGCCCTGGGAGGTAGGCAGCAGGCAGGCTCTGGACTGACTTCCTTTTTATAGGGGCCAGAGGTGGGTGGGGGTTAGTAATCATTTTTTTTTTTTTTTTTTTTTTTTTGAGACGGAGTCTCGCTCTGTCGCCCAGGCTGGAGTGCAGTGGCGGGATCTCGGCTCACTGCAAGCTCCGCCTCCCGGGTTCACGCCATTCTCCTGCCTCAGCCTCCCGAGTAGCTGGGACTACAGGCGCCCGCCACTACGCCCGGCTAATTTTTTGTATTTTTAGTAGAGACGGGGTTTCACCGTTTTAGCCGGGATGGTCTCGATCTCCTGACCTCGTGATCCGCCCGCCTCGGCCTCCCAAAGTGCTGGGATTACAGGCGTGAGCCACCGCGCCCGGCCAGTAATCATTTTTAAAGTCAGGTGCAATTAGAATACGATGATATCAGAATCACTATTTAAAGTCCCTTAAGTGTCATCTTGATGACAGACTAACATATCTCTGTACAGGTCAGCTCACCCAGACAGCTTCCTCCAGCTCTGAAACAGATCGACTGAGCACCAGATGAAGTTGGCATGGATGGGAGATGTGATGTACAAGAGGTATTTCCTTTAAAATATTAGACTCTTACTCAGCATGAGGAGATGGTCATGCTTTGAGAAGCAAGGGAACCATACACAGATTTACATCTCTCATCTGGTTCTGCCTCCAGGGCAGAGGCTGGATTGGAATGATGAGCAGTCATTCAACTGCTGGTGAAATTGTCCTCTCTCTTCCTTCCCAAGCTCATCTCTGAATTAAGAGAAGCATGCACATATGAAGCACTGCCCCTGAATAGTTCCCATTGTACGTGATGAGATGGAGTAAGCCAGAGAACACGTGTAACTCATGCAGGGTATTTCATGTTGGTGGGTTGGGACTGAGCTTTGAACCACGTCTGTTTCCCTCCTGAACTCTGAGCTCTTATATTGACATCATGCTGCAGATGGTGTACATGTGTCTAAGAATGAAAGATACAGATTTTCAGGTTTCACTAAAATGTTAAGTAATTTTACTGGCCCCAAAGAGCCTTAAATTGTAGAATAGGATCCCTCAAAACTTTAGGAAAATAAAATTAGAAAATATTTGCCTTGGAAAGTTGCATCCTTAACAGAATAAGGAAAAATTACCTAGGATTATGATGTAGGTTTATTATGTGTGGGAATCATGGAGGATGTGATGTTTCCACTAGACTGAAAGCACCCTGGGGGCAGGGGCTATACCATGCTTCTCTTCCCTAGAAACTAGTATCTCTGGGTATCAGGACATTCTCCTCACTCCAGTATCACCAGCCATCAGGGCTTAGTTTTTCCCTTACATCACCAGCTGTTTCTCACCCTCTTCCCTCTGTGTCTCACTCCATCTAGAAAAGCAAAAATTACTTGAGTTATCTCCCCGAAGTCAAAAGTAATGGGACACGCAGACCCTCCTGAAATTCTGAGCAGAAATTGCTGCTACATTTGAATCAGATTCTAAGAGGTGAGAAAAGCTTCTTTTTTTTCTAACTTATATTTTAAGTTCAGGGGTACGTGCGCAGGGTGTGGAGGTTTGTTACGTAGGTAAACGTGTGCCATGGTGGTTTGCTGCACAGATCATCCCATCATCTAGGTATTAAGCCCGGCATCCATTAGCTATTCTTCCTGATCCTCTTCCTCCTCCCACCCCCAGTGTGTGTTGTTCCCCCCATGTGTCCACGTGTTCTCATCATTCAGCTCCCACTTATAAGTGAGAACATGTAATATTTGGTTTTCTGTCTCTGCGTTAAGTTTGCCGAGGATAATCGCTTCCAGCTCCATCCATATCCCTGCAAAGGACATGATCTCATTCCTTTTTATGGCTGCATAGTATTCCATGGTGTATATGTATCAAATTTTCTTTATCCAGTCTATCAGTGATGGGCATTTGGGTTGATTCCATGTCTTTGCTACTGTGAATAGTGCTGTAATGAACATATGTGTGCTTGTATCTTTATAATAGATGATTTCTATAATATAATATTTCTATATATATAGATTGATTTATATTCCTTTGCGTATATACTTAGTAATATAATAGAATGATTTATATTCCTTTGCGTATATACTTAGTAATATAATAGAATGATTTCTATTCCTTTGGGTATATACTTAGTAATGGGATTGCTGGGTCAAATGGCATTTCTGCCTCTAGGTCTCTGAGGAATCACCACACCGTCTTCCACAATGGTTGAACTAATTTACTCTCCCACCAACGGCATAAAAGCATTCCTTCTTCTCTATAATCTCACCGGCATCTGTTGTTTCTTGACTTTTTAGTAATAGCCATTCTGACTGGTGTGAGATGGTATCCCATTGTGGTTTTGATTTGCATTTCTCTAATGATCAGTGATATTGAGCTTTTTTTCATGTTTGTTGGCCACATGTATGTCTTCTTTTGAGAAGTGTCTGTTCACATCCTTTGCCCACTTTTTAATGGGGTTGTTTGTTTATTTCTTGTAAATTTGTTTAAGTGCCTTATAGACACTGGATGTTAGACCTTTATCAGATGGATAGGTTGCAAAAATGAGAAAGGCTTCTTATATACACCTGTGGATCAGTGCCAGTCACATGCCCCAGGCCGTGATTCTTCATCAGTGCTAATGCGTTCTTCTAGTGGACATCTCAGTGTTGACGTGTTCAGAGTTGTAAGGGACTTGAGTGGTGATTAAGCAAAGGAGGAGGTCCTGGCAGCAACAATCTGGGCCAGAAAGTGGAAACAGCCTCCTGAATTCTGAACTTTCCAGGTTACATCAATGGAAGTGCTTTACTCTTGACACACACACACACACACACACACACACACACACACACACACACACACACAAAACTCTACCAGGCAAGTTTTCGGCAAATGTATGTCACAACTGCACTGTGATACAAAGAAGCAAAATTCCAAGTTTATAACTTTCTCATCCTTCTATAGAATACATGCATTTCCCTAAACACATGTATTATTAATAGCCCATAAAATATTAACTCCATCTAAAAATGCATTATTAACAACATAATGAGGGCAATACACACATCGGTTTTCTCTAGACACTTTATTTAGAAACCCCAAGCTCTTTTGTTTTTGATATCGGTGAAAAGAGACAATTGTAGAAATGTTTATTTGTAATGATCAAGAAAGTTCATGATCTTGTAGTCAAGGAGTCAACACAGAATCAATAGTTTGGTCCAAAAAGTAAGATTTCAAAGCAAAGATTTTTCCCCAAAGTTGAGAAAACACAGAGGTACTGTGAAGCGGCACTCTTTAGAGATGCACTATGTGTTGTTTTGTTTGGTTTTGTTTGTGGGCACTTTCTAAAATGGGATTTAAAGTCCAGGGGCCATAATTAGGCCCACCACAAATGATGTTATTATTGTCTTTAATGTATGGCCTTAAATACATCATAAGAAGGTTCACAGTGACAGTTTACTCATTGCTGCGAGCTTGTGGACACCATTGTCTGCTTTAAAACAATGCTCTGGCTTTGCTCTTTGAAGACAAGACCTGAAAAATCAGCTGTATGTATTTTCGTAGATCATCAACATTAGAAGGTGCACATCATAATTCAAATCTCTGAAGAGGAAGAAGGAAGATATTGACTTCAGTCTTCATTTAGTCCTGTTATGGGACTTCCAGACACTGAAAAAACTCATCCCTACAGCCGGCTGGAGGATATTGTCCTGGAAGGGGCAGCTTTCACACATGGTTTGAATTCAATTAGCCAGCTCCTCTGAGAGCCACTAGAGTACCATTTAGGACATTGCTTCTTGAATTCTCATTTGCAGCCTTGCAAATAATTTTCAAAGGTCATTAGACCATAAGGAGTTTTCATTACCCTTCATTCATGTCAACAGCAAACACTTACTGATTGAGCGTCCACTTGGTGCCCTATGCTAGGTGCTTCCAGGTGCATCCAAAAAGGGATGCAGCACAAAAAATTAAAATGACTAGAAGCAGCAACACATGGAAGGTAAAAATCTTTCTAATAAGAGCAATGGAAGAAACATTTCTACAAATGTTAAGTTGTAAGTCAAATGTTTTTAAAAAGAAAGAAATGACAAATTTGATTAGACAAAAATGAGAAACTGCTTGCTGTGGTCTCAATGTGTCCCCCCAGATTCATATGTTAAACCTTAATTGCCAATGTGAGAGTATTACGAGGTAGGGACTTTAGGAGGTGATTAAGTCTCTGCCTTCATGAATGGGATTAGTGTCCTTACAAAAGAGGTGCAAGGAAGCTGCCCATCCATTCCACCACATAAGGATGCATCCAAAGGTGCCATCTGTGAAGCAGAGAATGCCCTCACTAGACATCAAACTAGACGTCAAACCTAAATTGGCCTTGATCTTGGGCTTCCCACCCTCCAGAACTGTGAGCAATAAATTTCTATTTTTTATAAATTATCCAGTCTAAGGTATCTTGTTATAGCAGCCCAAACATACTGAGGCACTCTTGAATGTCAAAAGACACTGTAAACAAAATTTAAAAGGCGAAAGGCAAAATGGGGCAAATATTTAAAACCATAAAGGGTAAGATCCTTTATGAAAGCATCATATAGCTCAATAAAGGAAAAACAGTCCAACAGAAACATGGTTCTAGAACATAAGCCCTTCACAGAAGAAATACAAATCACTGACAAACACACAAAATGCCAAGAATAGCTAATATTTAAAGAAATACAATAAAAATAATGAAACATTTAAGCCTGTCAAATTTTCCTCTTCTTTTTCGTTCTTTTATTCTTTTTTTTAAGATTCAAAGCCATTAGTGAAAGCACATGAAACACTGTGAAGTGGAGTTGGAGGTGTGGGTCATTGCCTGCCTGTTCATGCCCTGTTCTAGGTAATCTGTCCTCTTCCCAGCCTACCCACCCATTACTTCTCTGACCTACATTCACCATGGAGAGCAGCTCATCAGCAAGGGCCCGGAGTGTGGGGCCATACACTCTAGCAAAGCAAAGGCTCCCGGGAGCTGAGTGAAAGAACTCAGAGCCTTGCAGAGAAGCTACTCGCCCACTAACCAGAGGTTGGAGCAGAGGAGATGGCTGCAGAGACAACACACACAGACATAGCGCCTGGGCTTTGCAGGTGGGCAAGGCCAGGCTGTGCTTCCTCCAATTGGAGGCACTGAGCTCCCCCAACAAGCCTACAATGGACCCTGCATCTCACCTGAGCTGCTTTGAGCTGGGCTCTGTTTTAGCCACTGACAGAGCCGTGCTCCTGCATTGCTAGGGGTACAGCACATTGGTGGAACTTTTCCAGGGCACGTGGCAATTTGTATTAGCAGCTTTCAGTTGGGAGTTGTTTTTCAACTCAGCAATTCCCAGTAAGGGAATTTATCAAAGATATGACTAAAGATTTGTGTCCAGGGACACTTACTGAAATGTTATTTTTTATTAGTGAAAAATTGGAAACAACTTAAAAGCCCCACAGGAAGGAAATAGTTTCTCTCCATAAGATGGTATACAAAGGTCATGGTAACATACCCACGGTGTGGTCTTGCAAAGCCTGCTGCTGAAAAAGCGAAATAATATGAACCCTAAACTGGCAGAAGATGATGCTTTTATGCATAAAAAACACTGAAAGTGTGTCATCTAAAATCTATTAATCTTTTATTTTGAAATAATATCACTTGTATAGGTAAGTTGCAAAAACACTACAAGCAGTGCTCATGTGTCTTCACCTCAGCTCAACAATTGTTGACACTTCGCAACATTTGATTTATTGTTCTCTCTCCAACATACACATTCACTCACATATAATTCTTACTGCATGACTATAACAATTTTACACGATATATACATATATAATATGTATGTATATTAATTATATACCTTATATAGTTTTATATAATATTGTATATTATATATAGTTTATATATGTGTGAACATGTATGTTATTCAAAATGTAACTATGCATGTTATTTAAAATCACATGCATTACTTTTCTGAACCATTTGATGGTAAGTTGCTGAGATCATATGCTTTTACCCCTCAATAGTGACCTTCAAATGTTATTTATATTTTTTGCCTCTTTCGTTATTCTGTATTTCCCAAGTTTTCTATCTTTGTAATTAGATAAAAATAATAACATACGTTATCTCAAGAAGTAAATCACAACTGTTTACTTCTGAAATTCTTTAAGTAATTTAAAAATTACGGTCTAGACAATCATAAGTTGATATATTAGTTTGAAATAAACTTAGAAATACATATGTTAAGCTTTAAAGATGTACATTTCTTTTGAACAAATAATCCTTCTGGAACTCTAAGAAATTATTCTAAAATTGCAAAATGGCAAGATGAACAAAATGTATTTACAGTATTCATTTAAGAGAAAAAAATGTCAATAGTCCAGATGTCTAACAACAGAGAAATGGTTATGAAAACTAGCACATCCTTCTAAAGAAAAAGTGTACATCCATAAAAATGGCACCTGTGGCCAGGCACAGTGGCTCATGCCTATAATCCCAGCATTTTGGGAGGCCAAGGCGGGTGGATCGCTTGAGCCCAGGAGTTCAAGACAAGCCTGGCCAACATGGCAAAAACCCATCTGTACTAAAAATACAAAAATTAACCAGGTGTGGTGGCAGACACCTGTAATCCCAGCTACTCGAGAGGCTGAGGCATGAGAATCACTTGAATCCAGGAGGCAGAGATTGCAGTGAGTGGAGATGGTGCCACTGCACTCCAGTCTGGGGGTCAGAGTGAGTGAGACTCTGTCTAGAAAAAAAAAAAAGGCACTTGTGAAGAACTCATTGCCACCAGGAAATACATACCTACACTATGGACATGGGCAGCCCTCACTGAGGGTTTGGGTGGGAGGGTGTGTGCACCACAGTGATCCTAAAAGCCTCAAGTAGATCCCTTGAGAAAGCCTCCCGGAACATGAAGCCATCTGCTCTGTGAGCCAGACTCATCTTTCCTGTCATGAACATCTGGGTCCACAGAGAGCTCTGGGGTCCCAAGCATCACCTGTTAGGGCCCCCCTCTAATAGGGGCAGTGAGCACATTGGGACTCCTCAGGAGCCAAGCGAAGATCTTTCTTCCCCCCATTCCATGTCCAAGGCAGACCTCATGACCAATGGCAGTCTTCCTGACTACAACACCCAGGTAAAGCCTCAGAATCATTCTGGACACAGCATTCCTGGATGGAAGGAACCCATGAAATAAATGTATGTGCCACCTGGGCCAAGCCTGCAGGTAGAAGTGGAAGCTGGGGAAGTAGGGGCTCAGTGGAGGGCCTGCTGGCAGTGACTGAGAGCCATTAGCACCCTGATCATGGAGCCTCACCTCCAAAAAAGGCCAATTTTCAGGAACAATGGTTACTGACCTGGAAAAAGCATTTATTTTTAAAATGTGTGATTGGTCATGATTTCATTTTCATTTCACTGGAAGCTTACATAGATAGCCTCAATGATTGCCTCAGCTTTCTTCTCAAGGCTGCTTTCATGACCTGAAAGATGTAGCACCCTTTGGGCGTGGGGTAGTAACTCTCCCAGAGTCCTAAGCAAAGGCAGGCCTCACCTCTGTGTAGTGCAAGTTCAGATATTCATTAACATATCCTGACACAGCCGTGACTTTAAAAGGTAGGGTGCTGTTTTTTACCAAGATCAGGACAGAAGCTGGGCTATAGGCTGAGGCCCAGGACAGATGCTGGCATGCAGGCTCTAACTCCTGATCAGGCCAAAGGAACCAAGTTGATCTCTCCCACAGAGCAGAAGCAGACTTGGGGACATGGTTCTGGTCGAGGCCCATCCAAGACATGATGGAATTGGGCAAATCTAATATGATGCATCCGATCTTACAAAAAAAAATCATTTCTAAGGTGAATGCAACCATAATTGCTACTTGAAGATAAAATTATTTAAAATAGCAATATTCTCTATGCTGAATGCACAATTGCAGCATTAGAATCCTCAGGGGTGTCTCTCTCTGTAAGTTCCGATAGGAAAGATTTAGAAACCACAAGCCTCTCCAGGATTTGCAGGGCAGCCCTATATGTCAGGCTGCTAGACCCAAGGGGTGAGCCGGCAGAAGGCAAAAAGAGACACGATCCCCAGGAATAAACCTCCAACTGCAAGTTTTAACTTAAAATCCTATTTCATTTATACCAAATGAGATCTGCAAGGAAGTGACATTTTAAAGGTTCCAGTCTTGCAGGAATAACAAAGACAACCATTATGTTGGAAAGAGCAGCTGCTCTTTGATGTTTTAAAGGGCAGCGACAGAGTGCCCAGGTGGAATTAGGATTGGATTAAGAGGCGAGTTGAGGGAAGAGGCTGAAAGAAAGGGCTCTACAGTTTCAGATGCAGGTCTGCAGACAGCTTGGCACGTAGAAATAGACAACACACTCGGGCCCCAGAGAAAGGCAGGGCCACAGTCCACTTCCCTGCTTAGGAAGATGCAACGAGGGTTGGGGGACAGAAGGAGATGGATGAAGAGGGATTTGTTCAACTTGACTGATCCCCACTAGTTTGAAGACAAGAGTAGAAATTACTGAATTGTTCCAGGAGATAACATCTTTGAACTATTGTGAACAGAGAGAGACCCTGTTGATCTATCTTCTACTGGGGAAAGAGCAAAAAAAAGTGACTCGGAGGTTAACTTTCTTGGCAAAGCTGGGACCTCTAAGAGAGGTCCTAAGATCATTTGCCTGTCTTATCTGTGTCCCAGAAGACATGAATGAACTCCCCACCCAACCCCATCCACTGCCCATTTAAGCAACTCCTTGGAATTCAAGTTTTTAAAAGAAAATCCGGCTCGGAAAACACCCCGTGGGTTCATGGTTTCAGAATGTGTAAGGATGGCACATTGCACCTGACAATATCTGTCCGTATGCCACAACTTCCTTATAAGTTGGTAACAATTAAAAGTTCTTATTCTGTGTCAGTAAGTCCCAGTTCTACAGCAAAAGATTAGAAGGATTTCCATTTTCCCAAAAGGCTCCCAGGTAATGACTATTTTGATGCTATTGTCATTGGAATGTGATGTTTCTGGTGTTGAAGCCTTGTTCTAGGAAAATCTGGTTTGTGCAATTCTTTCCTGGAGTGGAGATTGCAGCTCTCTTTCAGAGGGAAGTCGTACGTCATTTGTCAAAAAGGAATCCCCTGAAGGAAACAGTGACCAAACCCAGATAAGAGGATGACCTTTGGGAGGGGGCTTACCAATCACGTCGGCATGGCGGTGGTGAAGGTCATCTGCGGTCTGACCCAGCTCCACACTTCTCCTTCTCCTCCTGGGCTCCTGCTCTTACCTAGGGGTGTGAACTGCCGCTGCAGGGACTGTGCTCTGGGCTTGTTCCTCTGTGTCTTGGTCCATACTATTCCTTCTACTGGGAAAGCCCTTCTAAGGGTCTTTGCCTGCTGAACAAGACCTCCTCTCCTCCAGGAAGGCGTTCCTGACCCCATCACCAAGTTTCCACACCCCCTGTGACTTCTACAGAAACACTACCAAGATCTGATTAAAAATATATTTTTAGAGACAGAAAAGGCAATATATTGACATGGGAAACTGCCAATATCTGTTCAGTATAAATTCCAAAAATCAGCTATCAAAAGTATGTACAGTGTGATTTCAAATGGGCTAAGGTAGCTAAATACATAAAAATACATCTGAACTAAAATGTGATTATCTAGGGATAATAAAAGTATGGATGGTTTTTGCTTTGTTCTTTGGAATTTTACATAGTTTCTAACAATTTTATGATGAAGGCCAGGCGTAGTGGCTCACGCCTGTAATCCCAGCACTTGGGGATACTGAGGAGGGCAGATTGCTTGAGCTCATAAGTTCAAGACCAGCCCGTGGAACATGGCAAAACCCTGTCTCTACAAAAAGTACAAAAATTAGCCAGGTGTGGTGGTGTGTGCCTATAGGCCCAGCTACTCGGGAGGTTGAGGTGGGAGGATGGCTTGAGCCTGGGAGGTGGAGGTTGCAGTGAGCTGAGATTGTACCACTGTACTCCAGTCTGGGCGACAAAGCCCCAGATCTTGTCCCCCCCCCCCCCAAAATTATAATGAACATTGCATTCTATTTTTATTGCTGCTATCACAAACAAAACAACAGGCATTTGTAATTTTATATTTCTGCAGGTCAGAAGTCTGATGTGCGTCTCACTGGAAAAAAAAATGCAGGTGTCAGCAGGGCAGGGCTATGCTCCTTTTTGAGGGCTCTGGGGATGCATCTGCTCTTGAGCTCATGCCAGTGGTTGGCAAAATTCAGTTCTTGAGTCATACATTCCCTTGAAGTTGCTGTTTCCTTGCTGGCTGTCAGCAGAGGGCCTTTCACAGCTTTTAGATGCCACTCAGATACCTGGGCTTATGCCCCCTTTCTCCCTTGCCAAAGCCAGCAATGGTGAGTCAAGTCCCTCTGAAACCTCAAATCTCTCCTGCCTCTTTGTCCCTCGAATCTCTTTGATGGAATCTTTTCCATCCTATTCTACTGGGTCATTGAGCCCACTGGATAATCCTAGGTAATCCTCTTATTTTAAGGTCAGCTGATATTAGCAACCCTAATTCTCTTTTGCCTTATAACTGACATATTCGCAGGTACACCATAAGATCCTAATGTCAAAACCCTACCTACCACAAACATTCATTTTTAAATAATAATTTTAAAAAGTCATTGAAAAAGAAGCCAATTTAAATAAAGTGAAGGAGTGTCCGCCATATTTTGGCCTTTAACAAAATAAACAGTAGTCCTCTACAAATAGCTCACCATTTCTGTGAATGTCATAATTTTCTAAGAAACCTCTGGCTTCTTGAACTCTCAAACACAATTCCAAATCCCTTGACAAAATTTTCTTCTATTTTTATTATTTAAAAATGAGCTTCATTTTTCTGATTTCAAATGGTGTGTTTGTTTTCTTGCATGGCCACGATGTCCCCATCCCTGTGTGCACAGGCCTTTTGCAGAATGGCTTTGGGGCATTTCCTTTAAGAGGCAGAGTCTCCCCTCCACCCTCTCAAGCCTGGCATGGCACACAGATCATTTTGGCCAATGGACAGGAGCCAACGTGATGCAGGCAGAGGTGTGAAAAGAGCATTCACCTTAGGACTTGCCCCTTCCTCCTGCTCTTTGGACCCCCAAGACCACCAAAAAAGAGGCTTGGGCTAGCCCCTGGGAGAATGAGAGATGACATATCATGAAGATACCAGTCCCAGCTCAGGTCCTTGGACCAACCAACCTGCCAAAGCTAGAAATGTGAGTGCTGCCACAACACGAGGGCATCCTGAGTCGGCCTAGCTGTAGGCTGACCTCAAGACCTACCACCTGGTCTAGACCGAAGGATCAGACCCAAGGTCCCTTAGAATTACGAGAAATAGCAAGTGTTTCTTGTTTCAAGCCATTAAATTTTAGAGTAATCTGTTATACAGCCAAGGCTAACAAATATATTTTAAGAAACACTCAAAAAAAATTTAATAAGAAAACAAAAGTCAGCCACAATTCCATCAACCCAAAATAACCAGTGTGAATATTTTGGTGTATTTTCTATGAATTTTTGTATTTAGTTACATAGCTAGAGAGAACGAGAGACACAATGATCAATAGAAGATGATAGAAACATACACAGAATTTCTATGACATTTTGTTGAATTCTTGCCTTTCCCACTTTCTAATAAGCATGATTTTATGTCATTAATTATTTCTAGAAGTTTGGCTTTCATTGACTTGGTAACATCTTTCAAACACTGTGATTTCCCTAATGGTCACTTTACTAAATAATGTCATCTGTATTAGCTCTGTACCTATAAATTCAAGCACTATAAATGTTCAGTCTAGTTGAGTTTAAATGAAACAAATTAGCAAATCTTTACTGGCCAACTTATGTCTGAACAACTGACTAGAGCTTGGGTTTGGTTGGTCCAATTTGGCCCTGGAAGCAGGAAGGAGTTCTTGCTACCCTGGGCTTCCTGTGAAATGCATGCTTTCCTTGGTTCCAGGACCCGGCCAGAGTGAACAGGAAGAGCAGCTGATCACCACCTCTGCTGCGTGGATCCCCATCTTGGGCAGTGATTCTTCTTCTGTGTACCTGTATCCACTTAACCCCCAGCCTTGCTCACCATGGGCCCCAGACCTAGGTGGGCAGACAGGTGGGGCAGCCCCTTGCAGTGACCTCATCCTAGGCTGATATCTAATAGGAAGGCCTGGGTTATCTGGAGAGAACAGGCCATTTCGACTGTAGCAGGCTACTTCATGTTTAGATTTGTTCACATCTGAGTCCCAGGAGGAGTGGGGACTGTGAGTGTGACCTGTCATGCCACCACTCGTGTCAATTCCAAACAGCATGGTTCAAAAGCCACACGCAAATCCACAGGGAGTCCAGCCCTTCCTTTTAAGGCTCTAAATCATAACACTCAGGAACCAGCACTCTATTTTTTGGAGTCCTCCATTTCTAATTCTCACCACCCCAACTGTCCTCTGCCCCCAAATAAGGCACCTGTTAACTCACCCCTATTCCCCAGCACCCCAGCTCCCTCCCCACTCCCAGCTTTTGCTGAAGTAACTGCAACATATTGTCATGGGCTTCCAGCTTCACCTCTCTCGTGCTGGCCTTTCTCCCGCCCTCCTCTGCCCATCCCTCCTCTTGCAGCACAAAACCCAGGAATGTGCCTGGAAGAAACAAACTATCCCCAGTAGGTTGGAGATACAAGGGCTCTTCATACAGAATTTTTTTTTCCCTTGGGGCAGGCAGGGAGGTAAGTATGAGAATGCTAACAATGCTCCCACAATAATTTTTTTTCAGCCCAAGCGGACAACTGCTATCTTCACAAAAATTCCAAGGAGACATGTGGAAACAAGGCAGTCTGATTGGGGTCACGTATCACAGTTTGACATCAGTGTCCAGCCCTGGCCATCTGGCCCTTCCAGGGTTTCCGGTGCACAGCTTTAGGAAGATGGGGCTGAGGGCTCTGTTAGCTGGGGGTCGGGGAAGGGGGAGGTTAAGGGCATTTGCACAAAAGCACACATGTGACTGTCCTAGAGGCAACCAGGAAGTAAATGACTGAGTCTTGTGCCTTCATGTGGGCACAGGACTGGTATAGAAAATGCAGGAAAGTGGTCGGGTGCCGTGGCTCACGTCTATAATCCCAGCACTTTGGGAGGCTGAGGCGAGCAGATCACTTGAGGCCAGGAGTTCGAAACAAGGCTAGCCAACATAGTGAAACATGTTTACTAAACATCTTTACTAAACATCTTTACTAAAAATGCAAAAATTAGCCAGGCGTGGTGGTGAGCACCTGTAATCCCAGCTAGTTGGGAGGCTGAGGCACAAGAATTGCTTGAACCTGGAAGGTGGAGGTTGCAGTGAGCTGAAATCATGACACTGCACTCCAGCCTGGGTGACAGGGCTAGACTATCTC
Organism: Homo sapiens; assembly: GCF_000001405.40. NCBI lineage: Eukaryota > Metazoa > Chordata > Mammalia > Primates > Hominidae > Homo > Homo sapiens. Next base: position 126,404,912 of record NC_000010.11, on the reverse strand, counting down.
TCAAAAAAAAAAAAAAAAAAAAAGGCCAGGCGTGGTGGCTCACGCCTGTAATCCCAACACTTTGGGAGGCCGAGGTGGGCGGATCACAAGGTCAGGAGATGGAGACCATCCCGGCTAACACTGTGAAACCCCGTCTCTACTAAAAATAGAAAAATTAGCCGGGCGTGGTGGTGGGCACCTGTAGTCCCAGCTACTCAGGAGGATGAGGCAGGAGAATGGTGTGAACCGGAGAGGCGGAGCTTGCAGTGAGCCAAGATTGTGCCACTGCAGTCTAGCCTGGGCAACAGAGGGAGACTCCATTACAAAAAAAAAAAAAAAAGGAAAGAGTCAGATAAAGGCAGCAAAATGCAGTCTCATTCTCACCCCCAGGCTGCTGGTGTGACTTGAAGAAACCCTGGTGAAACTAGACTTACATTTGTCCCAATTTCTTCCATCGCTTTCTCATAGCTCCACTTTTATAACACCCAATCTCTTATTCTTTCTTTTCATCCTGCAGCACCCTCTGCATATAGAAAAGCTCATAAGTCATTCACAACCAGAGTTGCAGATGTCAGTCCGCTGGTTGAAATCATTTTGCGGAAGTTCAATGAAAGCCAAATATTTGTCTGAAAGACGGGCTTTTCAGTTTAATTGCTGGTGGTTACAATTATCTCCACAGGCACTCAGGTTATTTTAACCTACCGGTGAATTCTCAATCCACCATTACACAAATGTCAACCGTTACTGTGGATGTGTCTATTAGAGAAATTTAAAGTAGCATCTCCGTGATCATGCGCCTCTCTGGCGTGCACTTGGACCTTGAGGTCGGTGCTAAGAGTTACTGGAGGCAGAGCGAGGGCCAGGGCCAGGCAGGCCCATTTGCATCCCATCAAGCCTCCACACAGAGAAGATTGCTGGTCTTGGCAAGTATTAAAAACACAGAGTTTGTAAATGCTGTTTTCTGTGATCACGGCAATATGGTGGCCGAGAGGGAGAGGTGGACTTTTCAAAGCAGATTTGTGCGATCTAAGCTAAGTGCCAATCACAGCGGCTTCCTCCTGGCTGCTGAGTCCTGCTCCTTTGCACCTCCAGGCCCCGTGCGAGTGAAGCCTTGGAGATGGAAAATATTTCCCAGTCCCAGAGAGTTCTCTGAATTTCAGGCAAAATAAATTATCCCTATGTGTTACAGCTATGGAAATAGGTTCACACGATCCAAAGAATTTAAGTGTTTAGTAATACCAGGTCCTACCTGGTAAGTAAGTAGGTTTTAAGCTTTTAAGAATATTGATTGATCAGTTAATTGCTCCAGTCATTCAAATATTGCTTAAGCCAGGCCCTGTGAATAAACACCGGAATCAAAAAAGTAAGACACTGCGTCTGGCCTGGGGGAATTTAGATCCTAATGAAGAGACACAAACAGGAAACAAATGATTCTGCTAGGGGTGATAAGAGCTGTAGCAGAGACATGGAGAAACTGCTGTGAGAGCCAGAGGAGGCAGAATTAATTCTGCAGAAGGACACAGGACATCTCCGAGGAGGTTTCCAAGACAGGGCGATTCCAGAATGGCTGAAATAGTGGCAACCCCAGTATCCCTGTGAATATGAAGAAACTGGGGCTTCCACATTGTTCCAGTGGGAGTGACAGTTGGTATAATTGTGTTGGAGACTCTTTGGCAGTCACTCACTGAAAGTAAATATATGCTGATCCCATGACCCAGCAATCCCGCTCCTGGGTTTACACCGAAGATAAATGTGTGCATATGTCTATAGAAGACATTTATCAGAATGTTCATTGCAGGTTTATTCATAATAGTTAAAAATCAGAAGCAACCCAAATCTCTATCAAATAGTAGGATAAATAAATAAATTCAGGTATATTCATACAATGGAATATGCAGCAATGAAAAAGAATAAACTACCGCCACATGCAATAACATGCATGAATCTCACAGACATAAAGATTAGTGAAGGAAGCCAGACACAAGGAACTACCCACTATGAGGTCAGCTTGTCTGTGATGATGGAAATTAGTGTAGTTGATAGCTATGGGGAGATGGTTTTGACAAGGGACACAAGGAGTGGAGGTGCTGGAGTGTTCTATATCTTGATCTGGGTTGCAGTACAAGCATTGCAAATATGAGCAAAACTCATGAAGCCATATACTTAATATGCATGTACCTTACTGTATGTATGTGATAATACAATTTTTAAGAGTCAAAAAGCAGCTAACAAATACACAAACAGAATGCCATTACTTAATACTCTAGGACACCTAAAGGATCTCCAACTTCGCAGGAATTATGAATAATCTTCTAGATAAAAACGTTTTATTCTTAAATGTCCTCGTGGGGAAGGGTAGAAAGAGCACAAACCTAGACAGAGACTGACATGGATTGACCCCACTCATGGCACTGTGACCCTGGGAAATGCCTCTGAGACTTCACTTCCTGAGTTTTTTAATTGGTGATAATAAGGCTTAAGCTATAAACACCTGGAATCATCTAATATAGCATCTCTGCACATAAAAATTGGATCAATAGTGGTCAAAGCAAATATGTCCGTGTTTTCTACAGTGACATTCACATTTTAGGCATGAGAACCTATTTCAAATTTTTTCCAATGAAACTTTAAAAAATTTATAATTATGAACATCATTTTTAAGCATATAGAAAAGCAGGGAGAACATTGAATATGACTCTAATAAACCATCAATCCAATTGAACAGTTGTTAACATTTTGTTATAATTGATATACTATTTTTCTGAATTGGTCTTTCTTAAAGAAACCATCTTATGGAAAGATTGAAAACATTAAAGAGAGAGAGTAGTATGGTCAACTCTCATGTGCCCGAATCCCAATAATTATGAAGCCATGTCTAATCTTATTTCAGTTATATCCCCACCTATTTCCCCATCTCCTACCCTAGAATTATTTAGAAACAAATCTCAAATATGACATCATTACATGCACAAATATTTAAGTGCGTATGGTTAGGTCTCTTTTAAAACATAACCACAAGATAACTATCATATCTTTAAAAAATTAACAATAGCTTCTTAATGGTAAATATCAAGTTGATATTCATATTTCTCCATTTCTCTTGTAAAACATGTTTACAGGTTGTTCAAATACTGCATGCTGCTGCTATTTTTCAAAATTCCTTTTGAATCCATAGATCCCCCTTCTGAGTTTTCTTGCAGTTCATTGTTAAACCAGGTTGCTTGTGCTGTACATCAATGCTTCACACACTTTAGCATAGAAAAGAACCCCCTGGTAAGTGTGTTAAAATGCAGGTTCCTGGGGCCCAACCCCAGAGAGTCTGATTCAGTAGGTCCAGGCCAGGGCCTGAGAATCTGCATTTTTAACAAGCTCCCAAATGATGCTGATGCTGGTCTATAGACCCAAGTGGAATAGCGCCACTCATTTCCCACAGTGCAGATTTAGCTAGTTGCACTCCCGGGGTGTCTTTGAACGTGCTTTTCTGCTCCTTACATATTTTTAAGTCACCTTGGCTAGATCCGTATGTAGGGTTGTATACTTTCATCACGAGGCTTCACCTCTGGCCAGTAAGTAGCCAGCAATGATCATCCCTAGATCTTTTATTTCAGCAGAGGTTACAGTATGGTAATTCCTAAATCTACCGTTCCTTCTTCACATATTACCTGGCTTAATTCAACAAAAAGAGACTTTCTCTCATCAACTATTTGAATACTCTCAGATAGAGTTGATACAGAAAAGTCAGGATAAATGTTTGAATCTTTCTTTTTATTAACCCATTTTCAAAATAATGGCTTGGTTCTCCAGCTTCCTGAGCAATCAAAGAGACATTTGGTTTGTTTGCCTGTTTTTTGACTTATCCTAATGAACTCATGAATACAAACATATTTGGCATGTTTCAATACATTAAGTTATTGTTTCTGTTCAAATTGTCCCATCTTTGACTAATGGGAACTTAGGTTAGCTCACGTGTCCTTTTGACATGACTCTAGTGATCTTTGACAGCTTCCTTTCTTTGGACATGACAAGATATTATAGCTCACCTTATATATTTCCTGCCCGAGACCCGGAATCAGTCATATTTCCAAGGAGCCCTGGTTGCATTTAAGGGGAAATGGCAGAGAGATCACAATCTAGGCACTAAAAGCACCATTATTAATGGGTTGGTCATTGTTTCCAGACCCTTTCAGTGCACAAAGCTAGAAAATAGGTTTTATTTTTCTAAAACAAAATATGTCCTGAGTTTATACGAATACTTTCAATTAGAGTTTAAGGGGTATTTTACTTGATCTCATCAACCTTAAAACCCAGAAGAATGACTCTAACCCTATAGCCAATAATAGGATTGTTAAAAACCATTGAAGTTGTTTTTTCTTTTTTATGTTCTTTTTGTTTTTAGGGCATGTCTCACTAAGGATGTACAATGAAATTAATGTTTTTAAGTCACATGAAATTGTCTCTTTCTTTGTGGACATGCCACAAATCAATAGTTATGTTTATTCCATTTTGGTTTTGATGTTTAGGAACTGATTTTTTTAATATTTCAATTTGTTTCATAATTATGTAAAAATATTTATGTGGTTTCAAAATCAAATCTACAAACCGAAGCATATTTTGAGGTATTTGACCTGTTCCTTTTTCTCTCTGTCATATCTCTTCATCCCCTTATATGAGATAATTTTTAAAAATATGTATGGTTTATCTTTTCATTTAAAATCAATGTATTAACAGTACATGTATAATGTTATACCCACACACATATATTTATATCACAACTTCCTGGATAAATGTTGTATTACATATACTTTTATTATATTACATATTATATTATATACACTTTTGCCCACTTAGCTTTTGAGACCATTTTATATTGTCAGCCATTTTTATACTGAATAGTAGTTCCATCCTTGGCATTCATTAAGAAAATATATAAGGACAGTGCATTTGGTCGCACTTTTAAATAAATTTGTTAGTCCTAATGCATAGATGTAGAATTGGAAAATGCTACTCCATGTGTCTATTCTGCCTGCAATAAATAATACTTGGTGCAAATCTTGATTTGAATTGCCTGGATAATCAGGAACCACAGGATAACTACTATTTTTCCCCCTTTTAAGTTTTGGAATAATTCTAGATTTACATAAAAGTTGCAAAGTCAGTACTGAGAGGTCCCCCGTATCCCTTCACCCAGGCTCCCCTATCGTCAACATCTAAAATAACAGAGTACATTTGTCAAAACTAAGAAACCAACATTAGTATATTGCTGTTAACTCCAGACTTTATTCAGATTTCACTGTTTTTTTCGCTAATGTTTTTTTCTGTTCCAGGAGTCAGTACAGGATACCACATCGTATTCAGTATCTTTCCATTTTTAATCGACCTAAAAATTGATCAATGCTAAGGAGAACTCCCATTCTGTGGGCAGTAAATGACAGAAACCAAGTGGTTAACTAGTGGTAGGATAATCACAGGATTTAAGTACACATTTGGGTAGAATTGACTTTTACAAGAGGCATTATGGTTTATGGAAAGAAAATGTAGATTCTAGAATTAGGCAGTCCTGTGTTTGAGTCCTAGTTTGCGACTTAGTAGTTTTAAGGTTTTGATTATTTGATATCACTGAGCCTTCATTTTTCATCTGTGAAACTGAAATATACTTCACAGGGCAATAGGGAAGTTTATAAATAACATATGTGAAGTGTTTGGCTGTAATTCGTGCTACTTCAATGATAATTGCCATTATCATAGCATCTTGTTGGGCAGCCTTATTACCCAAGCTTGGGAGCCGGATGTCGGGTCATTTGCTAACCAGAACACAACTCTCTCATTAAACAGATATGTAATTTTTATTCCTCCAGTTTACTATGGGGTTACAGCTCAGATATGCAACCTCTGATTAAAGTGACACTAAGCAGGAGGAGACGTTTAGAGGGCCATTTGCATCTAAATCTACCATGACTCATATAAAAATTGCCTGGTTTCTGTGTGTAAAATGAAGTTTTCCACCAACATGCATTGACATTACCCCGCAGGTATTTTACCAGAAAATAAGATCTAATAAATTATACGTATTATTGGTTTTGAACATATATATTTATATTTAGTTTTGAAGTACTGTTGACACTTCTTAAAGTACTTTCTGATGAGTTTAATTTTTTTTTTTTTTTTTTTTTTTTTGGTGACAGAAAACAAATGCTCCTTTCTGGAAAATTACTCCGGCCTTGATTTCTGCAAGTGTAAGTGTTCATGGGTGCCTATGTATGTGTTTTAGCCTCTTCTTCTTTTGCAGGGATACAAAAGACTTTTGTGTCACTTTCCGAAATAGAACTTGAAAGTAGGTCAGTAAGAGAGCTGTAAAATAGGTCAATTGCCATAAATCTAGGCAGAAGAAGGAAATAGCATTCAGCTCTAGAAAGATTTCATGTTTAGACCTCTGGTGCCAGTTCTGCTAAGGCTAATTTAAATGCTAGAGGACCATTTGGGGTACAAGGGTGACACCAGACACTCTACGGTACCATTGCTGCCTGCATCTTCTTTTTCCAGGGCAGAGATCACGGCTGCTGGTCATCAGGACCAAGTGGCAGATTTAAGCCTGATGTCATTAGGAAGCCCAGCATGGGGTTGAGGGCAACATTCTGCTTGGGGATGAATAAGCAGGATACTTTCTCCCCTCCCTGGGTAGGTGAATAAGCACTGGTGTTGAATAGCAAAACCACATTATTGGGTCATGCTTCTGGTATTTCAGTGCAGTGGAATTGGACATGGAATCCTATTCCGTAACCCCCCCACCCAGAGTGATGCTGCAGTTCCCGCTCTGCTGCTGGAAAAGTGCCTAAAAGGCTCAGGCTGCAGGAATGGCTTTTACCTGATTTAACAGTCTCCCCTTTAATGACAATGTTGTGTCCTCATCACTGGGGGCCACTTTTCCATGCACCAGACTGTCTATATCTTACCCCCAACAGAGACAGCATTTTCCTGATGGTGCAGGATTTTGATTTCTCAAGACTCAATTTTGTAAGAATTCTTGGCACTCTACCAGGTGGAAGGGGCTCTCTAATATATGAGATTGTAATTTTTGAAAAACCATCAAATCTGGTGTTGTGACCGAGGCTCTTCCATGTGACTTTCTGAGTTATTACCAACACACATTTCTGGTTTCAGATTATTCTGACTCAGGCTCATATTTATTTTTTCCATTGTTGGCAATATCTCCAACTAACCACAGTCCTTATGTATTGTCTGATTACCAGAACAAAACACAGTTTGAGGTTGTTTAGAGCCTTAAAAGAGTTTTATTTTGTTTCTATTAAATTTTAAAATAGTACCAGAAGTAACAGACTTAGTTAAAAATCAAAGATTTTCAAAAATAAAACATGTCCCAGTACAGATTGCTAGCTCTGTGAATATCAGTTCAAACTTGATTTGCAATGGTAATGAGCCTTAACTGGAATAATTAGGGAGGTTATTGGAAAAATAGTTTGTGAGAGAAATGAAATATTGTCCACTTATTGTCTTGAACCTCAGCAATAAATACACTTACATGGAATCCCTGTCCTTAAGCCTGGATTGGGAAACTATATAGAGAGAAAAATTCCTAAAGACCCAGATGGGAACGTGGTTGCACACACTGGTTCATTTATCCACTTAACCAGAAATTCCTGTGCCTTCTCTTTCCTAGGCACTGAGCTAGGCATGGACAATAAGAGTGAGCAAGACGGGGTTACCTCCAAGGGGATCCCTGTCTCGCAAGGCAGACAGGCTTGCCCAGCAATAATTATACCACCAAGCATTAAGCCTCATGCTATCAGCGGATACACAGAACTGTGGGAGCACAAAATGAAATGTTCACTTTGCCTGAAGAGGTAGAGAAGGCATCACAGAGGAAATGGTGCCATTCTGGACCTTGAAGGATAGATCCTCTACGGAGTGGAAGAGGAGGGCATTCAGACAGTGGGAGAAGCACATGGAAAACCATGACATGTTCAACATTTTGCAAAAGTCAAGTGGTGCCATGTGACTGGAGGATGGTGCTGTGTCAGGTGGCAGGAAAGAGAGGAGCCTGGGAGTGCTGACTGTGGTCTGTATTAGTCCGTGCTCATGCTGCTAATAAAGACATACCCAAGATTGGGTAATTTATAAAGGAAAGAGGTTTAATGGACTCACAGTTCCACATGGCTGGGGAGGCCTCACAGTCATGGTGGAAGGTATATGAGGAACAAAGGCATGTCTTACATGGCAGCAGGCAAGAGAGTGTGTGCAGGGGAACTGCCTTTTATAAAACCATCAGATCTCATGTGACTTATTCACTATCATGAGAACAGCATAGGAAAAACCCACCCCCATGATTCAATTACCTCCCACTGGGTCCCTCCCATGACATGTGGGGATTATGGGAGCTACAATTCAAGATGAGATTTGGGTGGGGACACAGCCAAACCATATCAGGACCAACCCCAAATTGCCTTGTATGTCTCATGAAGTAGATTCAATATATTTCTGAAGACAATGAGGACCCATGAAAGTTTTGTCAGATTTCCATTTTAAAAGTGCCTTTGCAGGAGCAGTGGCTAGAATAACAACAAAACAAGCCTCAGGACCCTACCCCTGTCTTTGAGGGGAGGCACCATGGTTATCTACCCTGGGGGATTGTATGGAGAGGGCAGAGCCAGGGGGATATTTCTGAGGTGGCATGCACAGGACTTGATGGGTGTGGTTCAGGGAGAGAGAAAGGAAGGGGCCAACGATGACTCGAGTTTTGGACCAGCACTGGCAGGGAGAAGATGAAATGGAAGATCTTTGGAGTCAGACAGACCCAGCCTCCAATCCCAGGTGGACCACTTTTGAGTTTTGTGTTCATGGGCAAGCCACTTCTCAAAGGCACCATTTCCTCTCAAAAGAGGAGGAGTAGTTAACTGTCTCAATGAGGGTTGATGAGATCTTGGAGGCCTTGGACAGAGTGGCTGCAGGACAGGCCCTGTTGTTATTATTTTAGGTAGGCTCAAAGCCATTCTCTGTATCATAAGACCAGGAGGTCTTTGAAGGCAGGATCTGTGTCTGTGTCCTTAACCTGTGGGGACGCTTCCTCAACTATTGGTTCTTTATTTTTCAGCTCAGCCTAGGACAAAGAAAGCTGGAACATTGTGAGTATGGCTTAGGGATATTAGGGAAAGGAATGCTGGAGTTTCTATCCAGGAAGGCGGTGGGATAATTCCTTCACTCAGGAGTGCTGGGGGACTTGCAGCAGTGGGGTGCTGCTGGCTCAGGATCTGATGGAGATGAAAATTTTAAATGCTTGGTAACTGCTAAACAATTAAAGCTGCATTAGAGTCCAGACCAGAGCTTAATGTAGGAGAAACAACAATTGATCCCAGGCCCTGGTACTTCTGAGTTGTCTCTTCTGCCTGAGCTCATCAAGGAGTTAATTCTAGGGAGAATGGAGCCCTGGACAAAAGTGCTCACCAGGATGCAGAACTGAGAGAAACTGAAGCAGCGGAGAAAATTGAGGTCTAAGAAGCAGACTGAAATAACCATGGTAAAGGAGGGGGACTGCACATACCACATGCAGGGCTTGGGAGCGGATGGGTGCAGGGTCAGCCACCCTGCTCTCAGAGCAGCTGGCCTCCCCAGACCCAGAATCGCTTCTTCATCCTCAGAGTAGAAACTAGGTCAGGCCTCCAAAAAGGAGTTAAAAGTCTCAGCTGCAGAGAGACCCCACTAGGCGCAATCAGCCAGTGCTCTGCTTCCCTTGGCTTCATGCAGACCCTTCTTGGAACTCTGTAGCCACATTTGGCCTCCACAGTTTAAGAGAAATCAAGAAACTGGAGAGGTGCCAAAGGACAGCAACAAACATGATTAGAAAGAGTGAGAATAGGACCCAGGGGGTACATTAAAGAAATTGGGGTTGATTTGCCTGAAACAGTAGAGACAAAATGGGAACTATATTCAAGTACATGAAGTGGGACCAGTGTCTAGTTATTTGCCAATTTTAAGGGCACAGAATAAGAGGCAAAGGGCCTAATTTGCCACAAGAGAGATCAGGTAAAGACGGAGTTTCAATAAGGCATGTAGGTCTTGGGATGGCTTTTCCTGCGTTATCGTAAAGTAGGTCTGGCCTCTCTCCCTAGGAAGAAACCTGCTGGAGATTGGATAGGGAGGCCAAGACTTGTCCCCAGAGCACCTTGGAGTCCTCCCCCAGCCTCCATCCACCCCAGCCCTCCTGGTTTCTGGGAGTCCATGCATCCTTGCAGGAACAGAAACCTGACACTTGAGTGGCCAGCCTGGGTGGTGGGGCCACTATGCTTCCTCTGGTGATTCTCTCTAAGAGAAAGAGCAAGCATGACCTTTCATCACATCTTCTCTTGGATGCATTCAAGATACAGCCACCAGCAGAGCCCCAGGTACTTTGGCAGGAGGTGAAAAATGTCTTACAACTTCCGGAAACGGCAGTCCAGATCAGATCACTGTGTGACTGGCTAACCGTGTAGTGGGGATACTCAGACAATCTTGTGAGTCTTCATGGCCTCAGCCAGTTTTGCTTTGGGAGCTGTGGCTTGGTATCTATCACCGCGAGCGAGCTCATTCAGCCAACCAACCTTCATGGAAGGAATCAAGTCAAGATGTACAACCAAGCACGTGTGCCTGCCCATCCCTCCTGCCCTGAAGACACGGCACAAAAGAAACATTTATCTACAGACAGGATAACTGTGCACTTTGTTTACAAATCAGGACTCTAGTGAGAGAGAAAGGGACTGCCGTTGATAAGTACAATAGGACAAGACTGGGACCCATGGCCACCCTATCTACACCCTGTTTTCAAAGCTGATAAACAAGAAGGGTGCCCTTCATATTGAAATTATCAAGACATTCCAAAAGCTAGAAAAATCCATAGAAATGGAATGTTCGCTTTATTACATGCATAACAATTATTGCTGTGTAAAAAATTATTCCCCAAAGTAATGGGTCAAAACAACAAATACTCATTATCTCAGGGGGTTTCTGTGTGTCAGGAATTTGGGAGCAGCTTAGCTGAATGGTTCTGCCCTGGGGTCTTCTCATAAGGCTGCTGTCATCTGAAAATGACGGGCTGAATGATCCACTTGCAACGTAGCTAACTCACATGGCTATTGGCAGGAAACCTCATTCCCCACCTCAGCTCTACTCCACTGGTCTGCTTGAGGCTCCTCACGACATGGCAGCTGGTTGCCTCCAGAGCGAGCAACCTGAGTCAAGGAGGAAGCTGAAATGCCTTTCATGATTTGGCCTCAGAACTTACACACTGCTCACTTAGGCTGCGTTTTGTTAGAATGAGTCACTAATTCACAATTGTAAAGATATGGAACCAATCTAAATGCCCATTAACCAATGAGTGCATAAAGAAAATGTGGTATATATGCACTATGGAATACTACTCAGCCATAAAAAAGAATAAAATCATGTATTTTGCAGCAACTTGGATGGAGCTGGAGGCCATTATTCTAAGTAACTCAAGACTGGAAAACCATATGCCATATGTTCTTACTTATAAGTAGGAGCTAAGCTATGAGTGTGCAAAGGCACACAGAGTGGTATAATGGTCTATGGAGACTCAGAAGGGGAAGGATGGGAGGGGCATCAGGGATAACATATACTACTTGGGTCCCAGGTGCACTAAAATCTCAGAATTCACCACCATATAATTCATCCATGTAACCAAAAACCACTTGTACCACAAAAGTTATTGAAATAAAAAAAAAAGAGTCACTAAGCCCAGCCCACATGAAAAGGGAAGATGATTAAGCCCTCTTTTTTTTTTTTTTTTTTTTGAGACGTAGTCTCGCTCTGTTGCCCAGACTGGAGCTGGAGTGCAGTGGCACGATCTCGGCTCACTGCAAGCTCCGCCTCCCGGGTTCACACCATTCTCCTACCTCAACCTCCCGAGTAGCTGGGACTACAGACGCCCGCCACCACCCCCGGCTAATTTTTTGTATTTTTAGTAGAGACGGGGTTTCACCGTGTTGGCCAGGATGGTCTCGATCTCCTAACCTCGCGATCCGCCCACCTCGACCTCCCAAAGTGCTGGGATTACAGGCGTGAGCCACCGCACCCGGCCAGCCCTATTTCTTAAATGAAGTATCCTCAAATGTTTGGTCATTCTTGTCATAGTTCATGTTTGTTTTTGAGATTCCCCTTTTCCTTTCGCTGTGTGCTGGCTTTGCACTCAGCCTGCCCCCGCTGATGGCGGGAGAGATAAGCACCTGGTCTAGGAGGCTGTCTCAGCAGCTGCTGCTGCTCCAGGAGGTGTCTGTTTCTCTTAGTACTGTCAGTCACTTGGGGTACGTAAAATGGAATCTGGGGGTGTGTAGGGAGGGGCATAATAAGTTTCCCATCACAGTACAGTCATGAGTCACCAAATGACATTTTGGTCAATCACGTGGTACGCACTTGAGCACTTGTAAGGATGCTCCCATAAAATTATAATGGAGCTTCTCTATCCGGGTGTACCATTTTTTAAAATCTTTTCCACTGTATTTTTACTGTACCTTTCTGCCTTTTTGCTGTACCATTCCCTACAGTATTCAGTGGAGTCATGTGCCATACAGGTTCGTAGCCTAGGAGCAACAGGTTATACCATAAAACCTAGATGTGTAGTAGGCGGTACCACCTAGATGTGTGAGTACACTCTGTGATGTTCACACAGCGACAAAACTGCCTAATGATGCATTTCTTAGAATGTATCTTTGTTAAGTGAAGTATGACTGTCACTTGGTTGGAGAAGTTGACTGGTCAGTGGGTAGGTGACATAGATGAATATAGATGGGGTGACCTTTCCTGTCTCTTGTGACACAGCGCATCCCCGAGTTCCTTGTCCCCAGCCCCAGGAGCATTCTTTCTTTGGCGTTTAGTGCTACTTAAGTGCTAATTCTGTGCAATAATGAAAGCATCAGAGACAAGAGGGTTTAATCTGCCCAGAAGAGGTTCACTGGGGGCAGGTTTCTGAGGAGGTGAAGGCATGGATTCTTGAAGTGAGAGATCTAGGAAAAGAAAAATGGACTACATGTTATTATAATACGCCGAGAGGAGCAGGAGTTTTCATCTCTCCAAGAGATAGAATAAAAATGATTTCCAAGAATCTTAATCTTGGGGTGATCACATTTGTTTACGTTTGGAGTAAGCCTTGGGAACTGTGCTTGGAGAGAGGAAAGCTGTTCTGCAAGCCTGTGTCTGAAGTTCTGTCAATAGGTCACTCTGCAAGGAGGCCGGCTCTTCACTTACTGCAGAAATTAGCAGTGGCTGCCTGTAAATTCCTGGCTTAGGAAAGTTTGTCTCCGTTTTTCATCTGCTTGTACTCAGAGCAGATTGAGCTTACATGAGCTTGGGTAAGAAATAAGTGCCCTGTTCGTTGTGAATGCCCAGGCTGTTAAACGAAAATAGCACACAGGAAACAGTATTGCAAAGGTCAATTCTTCCAGAAAGGAAGGGACAACCAGCCATCTATCTGAAATTTTCGTGTGTAGATCCTGGCCTCTGACCCCACACCATTACCTAACAATCCAGTATTGAATGTGATGTCGGCTTCCATTTCCTGTGAATGAGGAGGCAGAATTTCCATCCAAAGACAGACCATCTGCCAGACGCAGGATTTGCTCTTTGCCTTAGCTGGCTGTTATTGATGTCTATGAAGGCTTTGTGGAGACAGTGTCAGCCCAGGCCGCTTGCTTCACAGAGATGGTGAATTACAGGGTTGAAATCCAGAGCTTGCAGCCAGGATTTTATTTTTCTTCATTTTTCCTCTGCAATGGCTGTTTTCTTTCGTTCAGTCAGAAACAAATCAAGGACAGTCTTGGGGCACATTTAGTTCTTTGGAGGAAGCTTTGCAACATCCAGGTTTAAAAGAAATTGGACTTTTACAGTCAACATTAACAATTGAATATGAAAGAGCGAAAATAAATTGATCATTAAGAGAAAATGTATACAAGGCCCCCAGCCCAGTGCACAGCACATGTTAGGTCCATTGTGAATAAACCATTTAACCAGTCAGAAGGATCCGAGAGGCCAGTGGCTGGGCTCATCTGCAAGCAAATCTGGCCCTTTGAGCTGGAAGAAAACAATTTTTAATTCTCTTGCGTCGATGTGTCTGAAGTTCTATGGGCCACAAGTATCAGGATCACCTAAGTACTTGCTAAAACTTGTCCTTCCCAGACCTTTCTAATGAGAATCTCCAGTGCAAACGCCAGAGGAATTGAATTCTTAACAGACATCCCAGGGATCAGGTGGGTTGGGAGACATTGCATTATTTCACCTGGTGCTCACAACCACCTGGGAGGTTTGTATTTTACCTTCACTTAACAGCTGCTAAAACTGAAGGTTGGAACTCAGCCTTAAAGAAACAGGCTTTATCTTTAACAGATCTGAGGTTGGGCTCTGACCTACTTCACTGTGTGGTGGTGGGAAAGCTACATCTCTATGCTGCAGTTTCCTCATCTGTATATTCAGGACTTAAAAAATGAAATAATGCAGGTGAAAGACGTTAGCACAATACTCCGATTATACGAGGTATGTAATGAATTATGAAGTAGTAAATAGTCTGTTTTCGTGCTGCTGATAAAGACATACACAAGACTGGGTAAAATTATACAGGAAAAACGTTTAATGGACCTACATTTCCACATGGCTAGGGCAGAAGACATGAAGGGGCAAGTCATGTCTTACATGGATGGTAGCAGGCAGAAAGTGAGAGAGAGCTTGTGGAGGGGAACTCCTCTTTTTAAAACCATCAGATCTTTTGAGACTTATCCACTACCATGAGAACAGCACAGGAAAGACCTGCCCCCATGATTCAATTACCTCCCACCAGGTCCCTCCCACAACACATGGGAATTCAAGATGAGATTTGGGTGGGGACACAGCCAAACCATATCAGTAAACAAGCCTAATCATTATTAACTAGGTTAAGTAACTAGCTCACACTGTCCAATAATGATGATTTATCAGTTTGATCAGAAAGAAAAGTCTTTGAAGGCAAGAGGCTTTCTCGTTTAGTTTCCCAAGTTCTAACATAGGGTTGCTCATGTAGATTGACTGAATGAATGAACAAAAGAAGTACACTGCAACGCTGGTTGGTAGTACGGTTAGATATGACACAGGGCTTGAACCAGGCCTGGTTTCCAGATCTGGTACTGAGATATGGCAGCATTGGGAAGGGGGCTGGAGAGCCTGTGCTTCCCACTAAGGTTTTTTAAAAAGAAAGTCCTGCACCTTGTTAGGAGGATCGACCTGGGTTTTGGGAACACTGCAAAACCTGCCGTGGGAGGGAACTCCTGAGAAAACTCCTCTGCAGTGGGAAGAGATGGTATGGAAGGCAGCTTCCTCAAATGCTGGATAACCGCCTCCTAGGAGTGGGTGCTCCGTCAGGAATCGGTGCGAGGTCGCAGGACCAGGATGGAATTTCTGCAGGTGGTCCTAGGTCTGAGCAGCACAGTAGAATCACCTGAGGCTTTGAAAACTATTGAGCTCCACGCATTGTGGGAAACTGAGTTAACTGGTGTCTGGGGCTGGCAATGTCTTTAACTCTTACTATTCTAATAAGTCCCCAAGGTTGGGAATCATGGTAACCCGCAGGGTGGGCATCAGCCATCCTCCATAGCTCCAGCCATTTCTGTCTGTGCGGGCCCCCTCGCTGCTGCTTTTCATGGTCTCCCTGAGGGCCGAGCGAGGCTGAAGAGGTGGGGTCAGCCCGGAACAAGGATGAGAAGGCAAGGCGCACCATTCTTTCATTGGTGTTTCTCCAAACACCCTGGGCTCCCCTGGCCTCACAGCCTGGAGAGTCTCATTCTGAAAGCGTAGGAGGGCGCCCGGGAATCTTTTTAACAAGCCAACCCAGGTGCTTCTTACAATCAGGAAAGTTTGGGGAACGTCACTGTACACCCTTTTCTGGGTCCAGGTCATGGAATGGAAACGTGAGCCAATCTATCAACGTAAAACCTAACACTGTTGATCAAAAGTAACGCCCAGGTGTCTTGTGCCTGCGAGTCCAAGCTTGTTTCTCGGGCGAGAGATGCCCCTTTGGGCGCTTAGGGCCGGGCGGGGTCGCGCGCCGGGCTGTGGGCCGCGGTGGAGACCTGACCCGCACTCCGAGGGTTCCCAGAGAGCCGGGGAGCGAGTAGCAGAGTCATCGTTTCCAGCTTCAGCCTGAAAAGCTGGACCGTGCCGCCGCATGTGCGCTTGGCAGCCGGGCGCCCCGGGCCCTGCGGCCACATCATCCTGGGGCGGGGACGTGTGCGCTCCGGGCGCCCGGACGCCACTGAGCCACGTCTGAGCCGCCCACCCTCGGGGGTGAGCGAGCCGCGGCTCGGGGCGGGACCCTGGCGGGGGGACCCGAGCGGTCTCTAGGACCCGCGGGACGCCGCCAACTGGCGGGGGTGCGGGGGAGACAATAATTTGTTCCGCGGTAATAAGAACGGTGACTGCTGGCCGTGGATCCATTTCACAGGCCTGCCTTCTCTCACTAACGCTCTTCCTAGTCCCCGGGCCAACTCGGACAGTTTGCTCATTTATTGCAACGGTCAAGGCTGGCTTGTGCCAGAACGGCGCGCGCGCGCGCACGCACGCACACACACGGGGGGAAACTTTTTTAAAAATGAAAGGCTAGAAGAGCTCAGCGGCGGCGCGGGCGCTGCGCGAGGGCTCCGGAGCTGACTCGCCGAGGCAGGAAATCCCTCCGGTCGCGACGCCCGGCCCCGGCTCGGCGCCCGCGTGGGATGGTGCAGCGCTCGCCGCCGGGCCCGAGAGCTGCTGCACTGAAGGCCGGCGACGATGGCAGCGCGCCCGCTGCCCGTGTCCCCCGCCCGCGCCCTCCTGCTCGCCCTGGCCGGTGCTCTGCTCGCGCCCTGCGAGGCCCGAGGTAAGTCGCCGAACTAGGGCGGCTCGCTGCCCGCCCCGCCGAGGGCACCGCACGCTGCGCCTGGGCGCGCCGAGGTCCAGGGCTGCCCCGAGGGGCGACGCGCCCCGGCGCATCTCCGGAGCCCCGGGGCTTGCGCTTCCAGCGCGGCGAGACCGACCCCCCCCCCCCAGGTGCCAATTCCTTGGGGAAGGGCGACACTTGGCCCGCAGCCCCACAGGAGCCAGTACCTGCCCCGGAGGGCACAGCCTCGGGACCGCTCCCCCGTCCTCACCCTCTTGGGTGACATTTGCAGATGTCTCTGTATCTTGACATTTACACGTGTCACTCGGGACGATGCGTGTCGGGTCCTCTTGCTGGCCCTATCCCGCAGTGAATATCCCCACCCCAGGCTCCGGGCCAGCCCTTCACCAGGTTTCCTTTCCAGCCCCGCCTCCCCCGCTAACACACTTAGGGGGGCGCGCAGCGGCCCCGCAGGTGAGGCAGCCCCCTCCTCCGCAGGTGTGCCTGCTGCTCTCCACAGCAGGCTCTATTTTCATAAACTGACTCTCTTACCTACTTCTTTAGTTTCCTCTCTGCCCCTCTTCCTGGCTTCCAGGTCACTCCCTAGCTGTCAGTCGCAGGCAAACTTTAGCGGAATTCTCCCTCCTTCCTCCACTCAGTTTCTCCGCCGTAAATAATCGCCCCCATCAACTTGGTGCACAGCGAGAACTTACTTAGTTTAACGTACTTAGTTTTACAGACTTAGGTTTTCCCGAGTTGTAGCCCCTTAAAATCGGGCACCTGTGGCTCCCGTTTGCACAGTGAGGACTCACCCAGCAGGTGCCTTTTTAAAAATCCGGCAACTTCCCCGGGTCTCCGCCGCCGCCGCCTTCTTTCTGCCGCCCGGGGCGCTGTCGGTCCACCGATGAACGACTTCCCTTGGCCGCAAGCTCTCAAGTTCTGTGATTCTATATAACAGGCATTTATTTTTCAACAACTGGCCTAAATCACGAACCGTTACCACTTTATGATACGTTTTATTTTGCGATTGCCACTGCTGCCCTCCGCCCCCACCGCGTCTACTGTAATGTGGCTAAAACCCAGTTCTTGTTAAAAGCCACACTGCGAAGACCAATTCGGGGATAAATGATTAAATACAAAGATTGCACAAAGCAATGAGAAAGTCAAGAAAGAATCCTGCTGAGGGTTTAAAGAACTCTACGACCTGTAGTGAATTGTGCTTTGAAAGACTTTTAAACAAATTGGTCCTTTTGAATGTTTATTAAGAAAGAACTTTTTAAAAAACGGAAAGTGTCTCAAAGTGTGCCTGACATGGTCTTTAACTTGGCACGTGCTTTGTACACATAAAGAGAAGTCTACTGAGCAGGGACAAATTTTTTTTTTGGAAGAAAATGTTTATTAAATCCAGCTAATAATGGGAAATTATTTCTTGTGTGTGTGGGCGGGGGAGGACTTTTACTATTTTATGAGTTCAGCTTTGGTAGAGAGAGTGTTTCCTTAAGACAGATATGACCCAAAATAGAAAACCAGGGAGGCCTAAGCACTTTGAATGGGTTACCTATTGTGATATATTCCAGGATTCACTGCTTGTTTACCCTTAGATTCTCAGTATCAAGTCTTCAATCAATCAGTGCCCCAAATCATACCATTGAGGCCGTATAAAACGCCAAACATATAATGAAACATTTCTTTGCATTGGCAAGAGAAAAGGAGGAATTACTACCTGTTGAGTCTGAGCATATTCTGAGTTTCTCCCTAGCCTTGTCTGTACCCTGAGCCCTGGCACAGTTGCCTACTTGGTACTTTCTGGGGCAACTCGGCCTAACAAGTCCAAAACAGAACCCTAGATCCCAGACTCTCTAGTTGCAAATCATTCCCTCCCCAGCCTTCCTGAACCCAGTAACAACCTCCTCTGCCTTCTCCACATGCCTTGTGCTGACATGCAGGAAGTCATCCCTGTGTCCCTCTTTTTACTCCGTAAGCCACCAACCTCCTAAGTATATTCCCACCTACCCACTTCCTTACATCCCGAAGTGTGCCTTTCCCAGTCCAGGCCACATTATAGGAAAAATCTCTTCTGCAGAAGCCTCTTATCCCTCTTACCCAACGGGCCTACTGGCTTTTCACCTTATCCCTGCATGGTATATTTTCCTCCACAATAGAGCCAAAGTTATTATTTTCAAACATGAGTTAGAGCATTCAAGTTTCCTGTCTAAAACTCCCCAGTGGCTCTCTAGCACCCTTAGGAAAGAAAATCCAAACCTCAGCATGACCTAATTCCTGTTTTCCTTTCTGATCTCCTTTCTTACCATTCTCCCTTTGCTCACCCTACTCCAGACACACTGCCTTCTCTTCTTTTCAACTACCCAATATAGTAGTGCCATCATTAAAAAAAAATTCAATGTTTGCACTAAGAAGACTTTGCAAATACTTTTCACTGTTTTGCCGTGCAGTGTTTTATGGCATTTCATCCCTCTTGTAACTTTTTGCTTTTCCTAGAGTTAATGATTGCCTTGTCTTGATTTTTGTTTGCTTTATTTTCTGTGCACCAAGCTGTGATATTGTGATATAATAAGAAATATGTCTCTGCCCCTGGTTCCTGGCACAGAACTCCTAAAATCCTTGGAATCTCTGGGGTATTAAGAGTGTCTTTTGTATGCTAATGAGCTTGTTAAGGCATGATTAGAGTTGGGACTTTTAGTGCCACCTCCCTTGCAACCTCCAGGGAGGGGAGACGGATTGAAGGTTGACTTGATCGCCAATGGTGTAATTAATCATGGCTGTGTAATTAGGCCTCCATAAACCCCCCAAAGGACAAGGTTTGTAGAATTTCCAGATTGCTGAGCAAATCAAAGTTCCTGGAGGGTGGCGTATCTAGAGAGGACACAGAAGCTCTGTATCCCTTTCCACATTCTCTGCCCTTTGCATCTCTTCCAACTGTTTTTCATCTGTGTCCCTAATTACATCCTTCATTAATATAATAAACTGGTAAATATAAGCAAGTGTTTTCTGTGGTTCTGTGAGCTTACCTAGCAAATTAACTGAACCTGAGAAGGGGGTTGTGGACCCCCAACTTATAGCTAGTTGGTCAGAAGTATAGGTGTGACAACCTACTACTTGTGATTGGCATCTGACATTGGGGGGAAGTCTTGTGGGACTGAGCCCTTAACCTGTGTGATCTGATGCTTTCTCCAGGTAGATAGAGTCAGAATAGAGTTAAATTGTAGGACTCCCAGTTGATCTCTACTGAAGAACTGGTGGTTGGTGGGGAGAAACTCCCACACATTTGGGTGACCAGAGGTGAAACATTCGGTACTGAGAGTGAGAGTAGGGAGAATACTTGGTTTTTGGTTTTTCCCATCCCTTACGCAACCTCTATTTTACTTCCACACTTTCTGGAAGAACTATCAACCTCCTTTCAATATGATCCAACACATCAGGTAGTCTAGCCATGATTTTTTTTTTCCTGATGTCATCTTTCCTAGAGCCCCTCATCCTCCTGTTCCAATGTGACTCACGGGTTACTTTTTAGGCATACATTACAGCTGTTATCTCAGGACTACCCTTATTACCAAGACGCTAAGAATTCCTCTTGCATCCTTCCTGTGTTGAATCATCTGTATTCTGAGCACTGTAAATTTTTCTTAGTTCATTCCTCATTTCTGTGGAGCACGTTTTCCAGTAACTTCCTGAGGATGGGTGTTGGGAAGATACAACTTTTTTTGATAACTTGTGAATATGTCAGGGATGCTTTCAGCTGCAAATAACAAAAAAACATGACAGCAGCAATTTTTACAAGCTCGTATTCTTTACAAGCAGTTGCAAAGTAAGTATTTTGGTGGCTGGTGTAACTGGTGTGTCAGGTCACTGATGTGATCGGGGACCCAAGCACTTTCTTTTATTTCTATCTGCGATACGTAGATGTTGACTTTTGCCTTTATGCTTACTTCCTCATGGTCTCATGATAGCTGCTGTACCTCTTGGCATCATATCTGCATTCCAGGCAGTAATACAGCAGAAAGGACAAAAGGCAGAACCAGTCAAATCTATTTTCATCAGGAAAATAATATTTCCATAAGCGTTTGTAGTAGATTTTGTCTTAGATATCATTGGCTAGACTGTGACCCAGGGCCCCTGCTAGCTTGTACAGAATACTAGAAAAGTAAATATTTTTAACTATGTACATTGCTGCTTCAAACAAAACAGTTCTGTGAGTAAAAACAAAGGTTGGAATGTGTCTCTGGCATACCTTGTATAAAATATATAGATAAACACACATTCATTCATTCCACCCTTGATTGCTAGTTTGTTTAGGTATAAAATTCCAAGAAAGAAATCATATTTTCTCAGTATTTTATAAGGCATTTCTTCAATGTCTCTATGGCCATTACTGCTTGAGAAGTTGATGGTATTCTGCTTGTCAAACCTTTAAATGTAGTCTTTTTTTCTTTTTGGAAGTGATTATCTTTTTTCGTTGTCACTAGTATTTTTGCGTTTTATGATTATGTGCTTTAGCAATGCTCTTATCAGTAATTGTTAGGAACTCAGTGGGCCCCTTCAGTTTGAATATTCATGTTGTCAAGTTTTAGTATACTTTCTTATATTCGTTCTTCAATTATTTCTTCCTCACTGTTTTTACCACAGCTTTTCTGAAACTGCTATTAGCTGAATGTCCCAGCCTCCTGAAAACATCCTTTAATTTTCTTATCTATTTTTCATCCCTTTACATTTTTGTTCTACTTTCTGGGACAGTTATTTAATTTCATTTCCCAACCCTTCTATTTAAATTTTTTGGCTGGGCACGGTAGCTCATGTCTGTAATTCCAGCACTTTGAGAGGCTGAGGCAGGAGGATTGCTTGAGCCCAGGAGTTCAAGACCAGCCTGGGTAATATAGTGAGCCACACCCCCCAACCCCACCACATCTCAACAAAAAATTTTTAAAAAATTAACTGGGCAAGGTGTCACACACCTTTAGTTCCAGCTACTCAGGATGCTGAGGTGGGAGGATCACTTGAGTCCAGGAGGTCAAGGCTGCAGGGAACCATGATCATGCCGTGCTACTCCAGCCTCGGTGACAGAATGAGACCCTGTATCAAAATAAATAAATAATTTTAAATTTTATCCTACCACATTTAATTTCCAAGAGGTTTCTTGTGCAATGAATGTTCTTTTATTCTTATTATAGTGTCCTCTTCTTTTTTGTAATGGATGTAAAATTGCTATTAACTCTGAATGTGTTAGTCATTACTTGTTAAACATTTTTTGTTCACCTCTTTCTCATTGTTAGCTTTGAGATTCTCTTTCCCCCCCATTTGTTTAATATCTGTCTGACTTTCTTCAAATGTCTGATTTTTGGCTCTCTGTTGATATTTAATAACGGGGCATTAAAGAGCTGATTAGAAGTTCTGTGTACTTCCACAGATGGATTTACTGACTGATGAACATTCATTTTGCTGAGAGACGTCCACATATCACAGACTCTATTTTTCTTAGGCTGGTCAATTTCTCCAAGGAAGAATCCTTCAGCTTCCTGCCAAGGCGATTTCACTCTGGCAATTTAAGCCTGGCTCTAGGGCCTGTGAACTGAGCAGGGGAAAAGAAGATAGTGTTGCCGTTAAGTATGCTTGTATTGTTTAAACTTAATCCTTTTGTTTTCCGTTTAGCACTTTGCTAACCCACCTTCACGATTCCTGGGAGTCCTTATGTACAGAACTTCTCTACTTCAGTGTCTTCAGGAAATACACCTCCCATGTTGGTCGGAGTAGGACAGGCAACACCTAGCTGTGTTGGCTTTGCAGGGGATCTAGGGCTCTATCTTCTCCTTATACAGGTTTTCAGCCTCAGCCTGTATTGGCCTTGGCCCATACAGTGCCCCCTGTTCCAGTGCCCAGTGCCCCCTGTTCCCAAACCTTTCCAGGGTTCTGCTTATCCATCCCACCTTCTGATGGCTGCCCTCCTTTCCAGGTCATAAGTTCCCATTCTCTCTTCCCTGCTAAATAGGTAACAACTTGTCCATCCCCTTTCCATCTTCCAAAGCTTTGCTGCTTTGTGTTTTAATTATTATTATTGTTTTTTTTTTTTTGAGACAGGGTCTTGCATTGTCACCCAGGCTGATGTACAGTGGTGCAATCATAGCTCACTGCAGCCTTGACCCTCTGAGCTCAAGTGATCCTCCTACCTCAGCCTCCCTAGTAGCTGGGACTCCAGGCACACACTACCATGCCCAACTAATTTGTTCTTAATTTTTAAATTTTTGGTCAAGCATGGTGGCTCACACCTGTAATCCCAGCACTTTGGGAGGCCGAAGCAGATGGATCACTTGAGGTCAGGAGTTTGAGTCCAGCCTGGTCAACATGTTGAAATCCTATCTCTACTAAAAAAAAAGATACAAAAATTAGCCAGGGATGGTGTCAGGCACCTGTAATCCCAGCTACTCCAGAGGCTGAGGCAGGAGAATCGCTTGAACCTGGGAGGCAGAGCCTACAGTGAGCTGAGATCGTGCCACTGTACTCCAGCCTGGGTGACAGAGTGAGAGTCTGTCTCAAAAGTTTTTTTTTAAAAAATATAATTTTTAAATTTTTATACAGACAGAATCTCACTCTATTGCCTCAGGCTGGTCTTGAACTCCTGGGCTCAAGCATCCTCCTGCCGCAGCCCCCCAAAAGTGTTGGAATTACAGGCATTGAACCATGGTACGCAGCCTATTATTGTTATTACAATTATTCCCTTATGGCAGGGTTTCAGGAGGGCATACAGATAAACACCTGTGACTCCGCCATGTACATTTAGAATTTAGCCAAGGCTTTGATTACCATGCTCGACATATAGATGTATTTTCTTTCTCTCACTTGTCATTTGGCACTTTCTAACTCCTTCCTTGTGGAAACAAAAATTAAACTCATTTTTAAATGTTTCAAAACTTTCTTTTCAAAATCTATAAAAACTCAAAGTCAACATATACCTAATTAGATAAATGTTGCAGCTGTGGAAACTGTAACAAAATTTTTCTTAAGGAATGTAGCTACATCATTTAAAGAAGCTAAGCACATTCCTTCCTGGTGTAGATGATGCTGTAATGAACTCATCAGAGTTGCAGAAAAAAAATTTTGTATCAGAGTGTGTTTCAGAGGCCTCCTTAAGCTAAATGGTTTCTGCAGCGTCCATGATTTACAAAGACAGGTGTAGAATTTTCAGATGTTTCTTCTGTACCAAATGGCTAAGCCCTACAACCCTTTGGCTGTGTGCCCACAGGGAGCTATATGAAGCAGCTCTGGAGTATGTCCATGCTCTTTAATTGTCAGGTCTCTGGGCTGGAGAAGTGAAATTGGTATAATCTAGACAATGTTTTTGAGAGTAGTTGCTGTGCATTTTTCATAGTTGTTTCTTCATATGTTTGGTTAGTATTTTTTTAAACCTAAAATTGTCATACCAGCACATTGTTACTTAAAAAGGAGTTTGTCGAGTGCGTCAGTGCCAGGAGCGGTGCGCAGGTCTTTGCGTGCACTATCTCCTGCAATTCTGCTGAAAGAATCTTGTTGTTCCTGTTAGTACCCTCATTCTACAGAAAAGGAAATGATAGCCTCAGATAGTGAGATCAGCAGTGTCAGAGGCAAGGCAATCTAGTCTACCTCACGCTGGAGACTGGATCTTAACCTAGCTGTGGCAAACAGTTCATAACCTATCTTTGCCATAACTATAGCAGTGAGATTGTAATTAGCTTGGATCTCAGCAGAACGGTAATGCAGTTCAAATGAACATTATTTGCCAATTGAAATGTGCACATTGAATATTACACTTTCTCACAGGCTGCCATTTCAATCTTCATACTTTCTCCAGCCCATTTTTCACCCTGTTTCTTTTGTGCTTTGTTGAATGCCCAATATACCTTGCCTCCAGTTGATAGATGGGATGGAAAAGCCGAGTAATTCAGCATCATATTGATATTTTTTATCCTTTAAGCTTTTATGTCATTCCAAGGCTACATTAAGAGCTCAGCTTCTTGGCAACTATTTAAAAAATTGGACAGCTTCATTGGATAACGTTTTCTGTCTGTTTACCTACTCCTGGAAGCCTTGAACTGCTTAATCAGTTTAGATGATCCATTCTTAGAAATGTTGAAACACCTTGACATGTCTTCCCCTAGCAGGCATGGTGAGCACTGGTCTGCAATTTGGCCAAAAGATTCCTTGTATTATGTGTTGCTATGTTTGTAATTAAAGCCAGGATAGGATGGAGACATTGCTTTTGAGAGATATGCTCACTTGAATCTGAATGTGATCTGAGAATCTAGTCTTGCTTTAAAAAAAAAAATTGAAATACTGGGAGTACATGAAGGATTGCCTAGATATATGAGCAACTTTTTTTAATATACTTTAAGTTTTGGGGTACATGGCAGAACGTGCAGTTTTGTTACATAGGTATACAGGTGCCATGGTGGTTTGCTGCACCCATCAACCCGTCATCTACATTAGGTATTTCTCCTAATGTTATCCCTCCCCTAGCTCCCCATCCCCCTGACAGGCGCCCCAGTGTGTGATGTTCCCCTCCCTATGTCCATGTGTTCTCATTGTTCAACTCCCACTTATGGGTGAGAACATGCGGTGTTTGGTTTTCTGTTCTTCTGATAGTTTGCTGAAAATGATGGTTTCCAGCTTCATCCATGTCCCTGCAAAGGACATGAACTCATCCTTTTTCATGGCTGCATAGTATTCCGTGGTGTATAAGTGCCACATTTTCTTTATCCAGTCTGTTATTGATGGACATTTGGATTGGTTCCAAGTATTTGTTATTGTGAATAGTGCTGCAATAAACATATGTGTGCATGTGTCTTTATAGTGGAATGATTTATAATCCTTTGGGTATATACCCAGTAATGGGATTGCTGGGTCAAATGGTATTTCTAGTTCTAGATCCTTGAGAAATCACCACACTGTCTTCCACAATGGTTGAACTAATTTACACTCCCACCAACAGTGTAAAAGCCTTCCTATTTTGGTTTTGTTTTCATCCTGGGTTTTTTGTTGTTGTTGGTAGTGTTCTTCAGAGCCTGCATTAGGATTTAGGGTCTACATTATACCTCAAAATGCAGCTGTTGTCCGCCTATGGAAAGGTACATTCCTGAAATTAAGCATACTAAGTAAAACTTTTAAGCTAAAATCATTATTTCAGCCAATTTCAGTATAATTTGAGAATATCATATAAAAGATGATTGAAAAAGAAATCTGGCCCCATCATTCATTTCTAAAATATGACAATTTTAAAGTTGAAAAATGGACATAGAATAAGTTATACACCCATATTTTTGCCAGCCAGATTCTACTATATGTACTTCAGAACTTTCAACATTTAAAGATGTAAAATGTTAAAGATATATTTATAGCCATACCTTTTCTCCCCACCCATTCAGACTATTTTATCTCAGTCTTCCTTTTGCAGAGGCTATACTACTGTGAAGTTGGTTGGTTCGTGTGTGTGTACACACACACATACCCCTAATCAATATCTGATACTCTTCATGTATTTAACTGTTAAGTAAATGGTACCCTACTATATATGACAACCTTCTGCAACTTTTTAAAAAATCAATATATATTTTAGACTTATTCATATATGTGCTTGGTTCATTCCTTTTAATTGAATGACTAAATCATAATTTGTGTACTCCTCTGTTGATAATAAATATGTTTTCCCCAACTTTTTGATATTGCAATGGTGAGAGGATCCTTGCTATCTTAGGTATGGGTGTAAGCTCTAGGGAACCTATTACAAGTGAATTACTAAGCTGTAGAGTACACAAATTTTTTACTGTAACGTATTTTGTTAAGTTGCTTTCCAAATTGGTTGTACCAATTTATGTGCCTACTTATTGGAGAGCTCTGGTTACCTATGTGGTTGTTAATACTTGGTAATTTCAGGCTTTTTAAATGTTGCCAAGCTGGATGTTAAATATTTCATTGTTTTAATTGGCATTTTTCTCATTACTAAAGACTCTAAGATTCTTATGTGTTTATATGTTCTTCGTATTTCTTCTTTGAATTATTTATCTTTATTTACTCATGTTTCTTTTTAAGTTTAGTTTAAACAATCCTCCTCTCTTTCCTGAGCTCCGAAATAAATGTTGATAATTTCTTCTAAATTTAAAATTTTTGCTTTTCGCTTTTAGAATAACTGGAATTTAATTTTTATTTCTTGTATGAGATCCATGTCTGTTTCCCCCCATCTGGAAAACCAATTGCTCTAGTAACATTTGTTGAATCCTTTTCCACTTCTGATAACCAGCAAGCACACACAGATATGCTTCTGGGTTCTTTGTCCTACTGTTCTATTTACCTCCGTTCCAGCATCATATTGTTCTCAGTATCCCGTACTTCACAATAAGCCTTCAGTGTTTAGATTGGTTGGCGTGATGGTTAAGCTTGATTGGATTGAAGGATGCAAAGTATTGATCCTGGGTGTATCTGTGAGGGTGTTGCCAAAGGAGATTAACATTTGAGTCAGTGGGCCGGGAAAGGCAGACTCACCCTTAATCTGGATGGGCTTCATCTAATCAGCTACCAGCATGGCCAGAACATAAAGCAGGCAGAAAAAAAAAATGTGAAAAGACTAGACTGACTTAGCCTCCCAGCCTACATTTTTCTCCTGTGCTGGATGCTTCTTTCCCTTGAACATCGGACTCCGGGCTCTTCAGCTTTGGGACTCAGACGGGCTTCCTTGCTCCTCAGCTTGCAGACAGCCTATTGTGGGACTTTGTGATCATGTGAGTTAATACTCCTTAATAAACTCCCCTTTATATACCTCTCTATTAGTTCTGTCCCTCTAGAGAACCCTGACTAATAGAGTTGGTATGTGGTGGTGCAGAGGGCAGACACTGAAGCCAGCTTGCTGGAGTTTGCAGATCAGCTCTGCCACCTGGCTCCTGACATGTGATGTTGAGAAAGTAACTAACCATCCTGTGTGCCCAGACTTTCCTAGGTTTAGCACTGAAGATGACACATCACAGGAAACCTCTCAGTGCCAGGCAAATTGGGATCGTTGCTCACCCCAAACCTTGAACAAACTATGTAATCTTTTTCTTTCCCCATTTTCCCTTGATGAAATGGTGATAAAGATCATATCTACCTCCACAGGGCCGTAGTGCAGGTGAAATGAAAGAATACATATACAGTGCTTTGAACAGTGCTCAGACCATGCTAAGTATTCAATAAAGTATAAAGTTTAATGTCTCCTTTCCTTCTCCCCTCCTCTCCTTTTAAAGTTATCTTGACTAGCCCTGAAACTTTAGTGTTTCCATATGAACTTCAGAATCTTCTTGCTAAGTTCTGCAAAATACTGTATGGGGACTTGTAGGCTAATTTAGGGGAGAATTGACATCCTCATGACATCAAGGCTTCCCATCATGAATGTGGTGATTTCTCTATTTATTTGTTCCCTTTAATGCTATTCAATAAGTTTTCAATAATATTCTCTTCAATGTTCTTGTGCATCTTTGTAAGATATATTTCTAGATATCCTAAGTACCTAATAGATTTATTGTCACTTTAGATGGTATCACTATTTTTAAAAGATTTTAACTTTTTAATATGAAATTTTTAAACATACACAGAAGTAGACAGACTGCAATCAATACCTGTGTTTCTATCACTCAGTTTCAACAAGTGCCAGTTCATGGCTGTTCTTGTTTTATCTGTGGAGTCATTTCCTTATTGAAAGTTGTAATTGATGTTTTCTTTTCAGTGTATATGAATGTTACTTATTTTTGTAGGTTGACTTTGAATTCAGAAATCTTGCTCAATTTTTTTTTAATCCTGATGATTCAAATCATAGGTAGGTGTTTGCTCAATTTTTATTCTAATAGTTTGTCTGTAGATTGACGTCATAGAAATTCTAAGAGAATAATCACCTGAAAGGGTAAGTTTTGTTTTTTCCTATACATTCCTTATTCATTCTACTTCCTTTATTTTTCTTGTTTCATTGGGTAGCATATCCATTACAATGATAAACAAAAGGATTAGCCAGGCCCAGTGACTCATACCTGTAATCTCAGCACTTTGAGAGGCTGGGGGGTGGGGAGGGGGGATTACTTGAGCCCAGAAATTTGAGACCAGCCTGAGCAACATAAGGACACCCCATTTCTACAAAAAAAAAAAAGTCATATATGTGGCATGCACCTGTAGTCCCAGCTACGCAGGGAGGCTAAGGTGGGAGGATTGCTTGAGCCCAGGAGGTCGAGGCTGCTGTGATCTTGCACTGCACTCCAGCCTGGGAGACACAGTGAGACCCTGACCCTGTCTCAAAAAAGAAAGAAAAAAAAAAAAGAAGAAGAAGAAGTGATTGCTAGTCTCCTTGTTTTTTTTTTTTTTAACTTTAATGAAAATAACTAACTTTTGCTATCTTTACACCTTTCTTTTCTTTCTTCTATTGTTGTAGGATTATTTATACCTACTCTTTCCCAGTTCTGTTAATTTAGAGGTTACATATTCTGTTTCCACAGTTTTAGTAGTACCATTAAATTTTTAACATTTGCATTTCAGACACAGAGTCCAAAGGTAGTCAGTAACTTTGGCCTCCTCCCAAACAATTACAAGCTAACCATGGTTTAGTGCCCTTCATTGTGCCTCCTGTTTTTTTATTATTGTCTAGAATTTTAGTTCTGCCATTTTGAAACCCATCTCTCATCAAAAAAGATAGTGGGGAAATACTAGGCTTTGTTCTGTGCTGAGCAGTCCAGGCTTATGCTGATTTATCCAATGCAACTAGTTTCCTTTCTTTCCTTTCTTTTTCTTTCTTTCTTTCTTTTTTTTTTTTTAACCATGGCTTCTTGCAAACCACTTCCACTTCTGGATCCAGTCGCTTCTTATTGAAGTAGTCTTCATTGAAGGTCTCTGAGTAGCAAATTCCCTATATTTGTTTGCCTGGAAAATGTTTTTCTTTTTCATGAATGTTAGTCTAGGTATGTATGGATAACCAAACCAGAGGTTGGCGATTTTTTTCTTTTAGCAGATATTACCTGTTGTATCCTTGCGTCTCCTGTTGTTGTTAAGGAGTCTTTCATTTAATGACTGTGCCTTTGCACTAAACCTGCCTTTTTCTCTGGTTACTTTTAAGGTAGTTCTTTGGTGGTGGTGGTGGAGTGTGTGTGTTTGTGTATGTGTAGTTCTGTATTTTATTCGTGTGTTTTTATATGGTTTTATATTAAATTTGTGTATTTCTGGCCTTGTGGTGCTTCTTGAATCCAATCAATTATTTAAAAAAATGTAGCAAGCATCTCTTTAATTACTGCCTTGCCGTTTTTGCTTCATCACTTCCTTTGGAACTTTTGTTATATGTAGTTGGGCCTTATAATTCAGTCCTCCTGTTTTTAGCTTCTCTTCATCTCTTTATCACTCTTTGCTTTATATTCTGGGTGATGTCTACAAGTCTAAATTTCAGTTTACCAATTCTCTCTTGAGCTGTGTCTAAATGCTGTTTAAACTGTCTATTGACTTCACATTTTTCAATATCTTTACTTTTTCACGTATGGAAGCTTTGTTTTGCTCTTTTTCAAACTTGCCTGATCTTCTTAAAATGTAATATTTTAAAATTATCTTTTATTATCTTTTCTTTGTATTCTTACATGTCTTTAATAATTTGGGATTTATATATTGTTATCCATTTCAGGTTATTATTTAAAGTTCTTAGGATGCTGATTCTGTATTACTGTGGATTATCTCTTCCAATGCCTTGCAATTTTAAATTGTGAGTTCATTTTCAGCTTTTTTCCCTCCACTGCTACCCTCTCCATGGGAGTCCTATGTACCCTGGATTAGAAGAGTTCCTGTGGAGCAGAGTCTGTTTACTCATGACAGATGCCTCAGGGATTTCCCTTGTCTAAGCCCAGTTATTGTGGGAATTTTACACCACATGGCTATTCTAATTTTGGTCTCCATACCCATGTGGCAAAGGCTTGAAGTTTCTATTTCTCTTGCGAAACTCCCTAACCCTCACCAGATCTCTGGGGAGACATGTCACTTTGAAGTTTCCCTGTGGCATTTGGTAGAGGTTTTCTAGCCCTGGTGACTTGGGAAGGGCAGCCTGTCTGGGCTTGGTTTTATTCAAGGATCTAGCTAGAGTTCTCTGACTTGTGTGTTCAAGATCATACCTCCTGTTACTGAACTCATGGTTTCCAGGCTGAAGTCCTATGTCTGCCAGGCCTTTGGGATTCCATGACTTTGGCAGTGGGTGGATGCTCTGGCTAGGAATTCCTTAATTCCCTGATAATTTCCTTTCCCTTCTTTCTAGTTCAGTTATGTAGGTTGTCACATTTTATTTAACATTTTTCTGTGTTTGTAGTAGAAAGGCTTTCTAGCTGTGTCAACTCAGTCCACTGTGTTTTCAGAACTAGACATCTCTGATAATGATTCTTTGGGTCTTTTAGTCAACACATTTGTTGGCTGCCTATTGTAATCCCAGATTTGTGCCAGGAACTGGGGATACAGTGTTGAGAAGAACAGACACCCTCATTTCATGGCCTCTAGAGCGAGTGGATCATAAAAATGTACAGAAAATAAGTTGAACCCGCTTGGCAGCTTGATTCTCAACTTCCAGTACTCCAAACACTCAGTCAGAAAAGTCAGTCAGCTGCTTTCCTGCTGGCATGTTAGTCTTGGCCTTGGCAGCTGCAGGGGTGAGATGTGCTAATGATGGGGCCAAGCTGAGCTTTGGGGGTGAAGCCATCAGCTGTTCCCATCTCCCTCTGGCGGAGGCAAAATGAGAACAGCTGGGAAGCAAGGCCAACATCCACTCCCAGAAGCCGCTCCTCTGCCAGCAGAGGTGTCAACAGAATTCCAGTCATGTGAGCCTTCCAGGAGTGTATAGTGAATTCATTCCATACTTAAACATTCTAGTATACAAAGAAGATTGTACAATGGAGTAAGCCAACAATGGAGACACTCATTTGTATATTTTTGTAACCTTCAGAATGAATGCTATGATTCCATATAGATTGATTTCTCCACTAATTTATCTACAGGAAAATCAGACGCCTGATTTGCCACTAAAATTTGGACATGTCAGATTTAGTCTATTCAATTCACTAAGCTTTACTTCCAGTTTCTTAGTAGGGAGAGTCTGCTCCTTGGAGCATAATTTATTCAGCTGCAATAGATGGTACTCTTGAAACTTTTTTCTCACATACTTTAGTCTCTTTTCTGTTTCTTGTCTCTGCTCTCCTTTAAAAAGGTGATTATCATCCTTCTTTCTCCCTCAGTGCTGCTGAAGACTAAGCCATTGGTTATAGAGGCTCAGTGAGAAAGCAATTTCAAAAGAGGGAGGCAGAAAGGGCTGGGATAGGATATGGTCTGTAAAGCTAAATCAAGACAACTGTTTTCAAGCACAAAAGCTCCTAGTAGAAGCATCTGCTTCTCTTATGGACTTCAGTGACATAAAATAATGAGATTTCTTCAGCTTATCTCCCCTGATGTTACTTCCTTATGGATTTAGTGGGTCAAGAGTGCTGTGTGTTCTGGCGTTGTAGTTATAAAATTGACAGGTGGCTTGGATCATGGCCAGAATTCTGGACTTGGAGTGAGAAGTGGCTCTGAGTTCTGGCTTGGCCTCTTTATGGCTGTGTGACCTTGAGGAACCCACTAAATCTTTCTGAACTTAGTTTATTTGTCAACAATGAGCAAGGATGCAGCCTACCTCCCTGGGTTGTGGTGAATTCCAAATGAGGGAGAGGTTGGGGAATGTGTTTTGTAATTTAAGGTCTTCTCTTTTGATGGTACAGGGGGCACATGGTATCACTGTTCATATGTTCATTCAGTGCTGAGGTTTGTCCTCATGCCTTGAACGGCACAAGTTCTCAGCATCCATGAGCCACCGTCCCCTTCTGCTCATGGTAGATGGGTATCCAAGTTAATCCCAAAGCTTGACAGAGGGGGTGGCAGAGAATTGGGAGAGGAAGGCAGTTTCTATTCGTTTTTCTCCTACCTTAAATCTCATGTTTCCATCTTTGTTGTTTATCAGTCTACCATTAGGGGCATCTCTGTTAACCAGGACTATTTGAGATTGTGTTAATAATGTGAACTCTTTCAAATATCATTTACTTATAGCACACAAAATGGTCACCAGTTTCCTTCTTCTCTGCTATATGGGACTCACTGTGGGCTAGGCATAAGGGCTGTAGAGAATGAATGGTAGCAGATGCCCAGGCCAGGGGCATGAATTTTCCTAGCCTTCAGCTTCCACTGGCTTTTTGAGAAAGAGATGTGGGAGGGAGGATAAGCGTAGAATGGCAAGGCAAATAAAATTTAACATGCCTCTCAGGGTATTGGGTTGGCATGAATAAGAATTGCTGCAGAAATAGGAACCTCACATTTGTGGGTGAAGCAGACACATAAGCTCTTGACTTATATCTTAATTACCAGTTAGAGCAGGTGATTGCAGCAGTAAAGCCCGTTAAGCACTCTACATCCTTGTGGCTCTAAACAGTACACATTTAGAACATCCAGAATCTGACAGAAATGTTCCACTCTAAGACCAAATATTGGTGGTGTTTTCCCAATTTACAGCAAAACGTAAGTGAATGGAAAGATCTCTCCCACACTACTAAGATTGTTCATCTGAATCTTTCTGAAACTAAGTTGCAGCTACCATTATCTTCTGACTTGCACAGCAGCAAATGAATTTTCTAAAATGTTTACTCAGTTCAGTGCATGATCAGACAACACCCAAGGGCTCCTGGTGACAGGTTTATCTGTGTACCTGGAAAACAATCACATTTCTGAGTGGTAATTGCTCTTTCTTCATAGGATAGAATTGAGGAATTCCATAAAGGGATTTTGCCTGTGTGGTTTCTGTGCTAGCACTGGTTCAGTAGCTTCTCATACATTCTCACCATGCCCTGGGAGGCAGGCACTATGACCACTCTTTCTTCCAGATAGGAAAGCCAAGGCTAGGACATTCAGCTTGTGCAGTTATACAGCTACAAGGTGACGCAGCTGAGATTATGCACATGAATTACTGCACAAATAGGGAATATACTAGAAATGGGACTTACACGAATAACTAATAGTGATGACACCGGCATTTAACAAAACATTCAGCAGACTCTCGACTAATCCCTTTACATGAATTATGTGGTTAAAATATCCCTATGGCCCTTAGAGGTATGGGCCATTATTATTTCCATTTTACAGATGAAGAAACTAAGGCATAGAGAACTCATGATTTGCCTTAGCCCTTGCATCTTATAAGAGGCTGAGCCAGGATTGAACTAGGCAGTTGATTTTCAGGGCCCACATGCTAAACCACTGGGCTGCCAAGGGAGGACCTATGATGTCCAGGAACTCTTCCATACTCCAGACCCTTTGCAGCTATCTCAGCTTGTGTTTATCTTGGGACATTGGGATTTGAGGAGAGAACCTAGGAAGACACTGAGATAGAACAATACTTGAGTCTTTAGCTGTGTGAATCCCAGGAACTTGTCCTGTGGGCTCTGACCTGCAAGGACTGGCAGGAAAAACAGGACTGGAGACCCATTTGCAGGGCCTGGTATCTCTGACCTTTCATTTTCGCATCAAAGGAACATGTGGACTTACCAGCTAAAATTTATTCTTCCTGAAGGAGAAACTTACTGTTTAATAATTAAGTATACTATCTTCTGTTTCCTCTCACAAATAAAATGCAGGACTCAACCTAATAACTGCTACCTATGATGGCTGTAGAAAATACTTGTAAACATGATAAATGCACATGCATGAGTGCATTTGTTATTTATTGCTGTATGACAAATTGCCACAACTTAGTGGCTTACTATCACACCTGTGTACAATCTCACAGCTTTTGTGGGTTACGAATCTAGGCACAACTTATCTGGGTCCTCTAATTCAGCTTCTTTCACTGGTTTCAGTCAAGATGTTAGCCAGGACTGGATCTCATTCAAAGGCTCAACTGGGAAGGATCTGCTTTCAAGCTCACAGAAACATGGCAGAATTCAGTCCCTTGAGTTGTTGAACTGAAGGTTTCAGTTCCTAGCTGGTTCCCATTTTCCTAATCAGTATTCTCTCCAATATAGAAGCTTGCTTCATCAAGGCCTGCAGACTGAGAAGGCAATATAATCTGCAAATAAGACAGAATCACAAGTTGTATAATCCAATCATGGTCTGTGAATATTGCTATAGTCTACTGGTTAAAAACAAGTCACTAAGTCTCTTAACCTAGTGACTTGCTTAATTCTAACCCTACCAGGGTTACATATGAGAGTGAATACCAGGAGGCGGGGGCACTGGGAACCATCTCAACAGTCTAGCACAGTGAGTTAATTAGATAATCAGCATTGTAAATACCAGGAATGGCTTTGACAGGTGAAAGCGTCTGTTTTCAGAGGTGTCCACTCACTATGTACAAGTCCTGGAGCTGGCAGCAGCATCTGATTGGTAAGGTGGCTCTGTTTCTGCATTTTTGTTGCTTAGCTGTTTCATGTCCTTTTACTGCAGTGTCTTCATTGCCTTTGCCTGACAGTTCTTTTCCCACTCTCACTCCAACACTTGGCTGAACTCCTCCTTGGCTTAGACTTCACTTCCTCACAGGCAGCCGGTTCTTGGTCCTTCCCACCCAACCCCAGTCAAGGAAAGGTCCCCCTGCTAAATGTTCTCAAAATGCTATGTCTCTGTCAGAGCACTTATCACATTCTAATCAACGGTTTGTCTTCTAGGTTAGAATTTAAGCTCTGTGGTGACAGAGACCACATCCATCTTATTCTCTGTTGGGTCCCCCGTGCCTAGCACATCACAGCTGCTCAATAAATATTGGCATGATGAGTAAATAGTCCCACTTGGTGTGCTGCTTTTTCATTTCAACAAATGTGATTCACTAAAGCTCTACTCTTAAATTTTTTGTGTTTGTACAACCTTTCATGTAAATGAATTTTCACATTTGGAAAGTCTTTTTGAAAAAAAATACCATGTATCCAAATATTTGATATGGAAAAGGTAGTTAGTATATATTAGTGATACGAAAGGAACATCTTAAAGGAACATCTTTTGGAAATACTATGATGCTGTAATGGATGCTAATTTTCATATTGGGTAGAAAATGTGAGCTGATAGTCTAATAAAAATCGCAAGAGGTCTCTATTAATTTTAGCTTGTTCTTATCTCCCTGAGAAATGTACAGATGCGAGGATGGGCATGAAGAACTCTATGCATTTGCTTGGGTTTGGATATTCTATAGCTAGCATTTAGTGATCTGGTGATGATAAACTTAACTATATGTTTACTTTTTTTCCTTTTTATTTCCTCTACCCTCATTTTAAACTTTTGAAGTGATTTTAGCCTAAATGAGTAAAAATTCAATTGGGGAATGAAATGACTCCTTCTAAAACAGAGCTCACCTTCTGCAACTACAAAGGCAAAAAAAAACAACAACAACAACAAACTTACATCAGGCTGATTTGCAAATCACAAGTTTTACTTTGTTTTATGCTGCTTTCTTACATTGAACTTGGTTATTTTATTTACATCCACAATGGATAGTTTCAGTGGTTTGATGAAAATCATTTTTATGTACAAAAATTGGAAGACTTAACATGAAAGGTTATTATTGATAAACTCATAGTAATTTTAAAAGTACATTCCTTAAAGTTGTACCCTATTTGTTGTTACAATACATTTTTCTTTTGGTGGTTTGACTTCAGTCCTTTGTAAAAAAAAAAAAAAAAAAAACAAATCACACAATCTAAGCTGGGATCATAAAACAGTGAATTAAGTTATCAAAGGAATAATGAAATTTATGTTTCTGAAGAGTTTTAATATAAATAACAACTGGGTAGCCTGATTAGTTGTAGTCCTGGGAATATGAACTATGAGACCTACCTAGGTTTCACAAATTAGTATGCCCATTCATTTGTTGTTTATCCTATATTATATATACACATACACACATATATATACACACATGCATACATATACTTATATGCACACGTTTATATATATACACACATACACATGCACACATATACATTTATGTACATATAGAGACAGATCTGGGTTTATTACCTAATATTTTAAGGATTTTATGTCTGTTTTTATAAGAGATAGTGCTATTTTTCTTATTATATTATTGTCTAGTTTTGGTATCAGGGTTATACTGGCCTCATAAGTTAAGGTTTTCTCACTTTCTGTATTTTGTGAAAGAGTTCGTATAAGATTGTTATTATTTCTCTCTTAAATGTCTAATAGAATTATTCAGTGTAGCTATCTGGGCCTGGAGATTCAAAAAATACGTCCATGTCATCTGAGTTAACAAACATATTGGCATAACATGTTTCATAATATTTTCTTATCACTTAATGCCTGTATTATCTGTAATGACGTACCCCTCTTTAATTCCTAAAATTGGTAAATTATGATTTTTTTCTCATTTTTTTCATCCTGCTAGGAATTTAACAATTTTATCAATATTTGCAAACAACCAACTTTGGTTTCAAAGATTTTCTTTTGTTATTTATTTTATTGATTTTTGCTACTTATTGTTGCTTTTCTTCTAGTTTGTCTTTGATTTGCTCTTTAGCTGCTTTTGGTTGATCCTTACTTAGAATATTAACATAACATTCTCAATTTCTAGTACAGCCATTTGGAAATACAAATATCCCTGGTGCAGTACTCCTTTAGCTGAATATTACAAATTTGTATAGGTTATTTTTTCATTATCGTCAGTTTAAAATATTTTAAAAAATTCTTTCATAATTTTTTTCTATGACTCGTGGCTTATTTAGAAATATGTTTTTAAATTTCTGAATATTTGAGATGTTAAGATTTTTGTTATTAATTTCTAATTTTATTTTATTATAATCAGATTATGTCTTCTTTATTACTTTTATCTTTACATTTGTTAGAGAGTTGTTTTATACTCCAGCTTATAGTCTTTATTGATGGATATTCCATGAATGGTTGAAAGGAATGTAAAATCTGCTGTTGTTGGATAGGGTAATGTCCCGTAAATAGCATAGTTAGTTGATGGTGTTATCAAATCTCATATTAAGCTTACTAATATTTTTTGTTTGTTATTTCTATCAATTATTGGGAGAGGAGTAACACCTTTAACTGAAGTTGCCAATTTATCTATTTGTACTTTCAGTTCTGTCAGTCTTCTTGATGTATTTTGAAACTCTTTTTAGGTTTATACACATCTAGGATTGTTATGTCTTCTTGACGAATTGACCTGTTTATCATGATGAAATTTCCTCTTTATCTCTGGTAGTAATTTCTGTCCCACAGTCCACTTTGACTAACATTGATATGGCCACCTCAGCTTTCCTATGCTTAGTGTTTGCATATGTATGCGCAGAGCATTTTTTTCATTTTTTAAAATTTTCAGTATATCTATATTTATGCTCAAAGTGCATTCTTTTAAACAGTGTGTATTAGCTTTGCATTTTAATCTTTTCTGAGGGTCACTACCTTTTAATTGAAATATTTATTCCAATTACACTTAATTATTCTTATGGAGAATTACGTTCATTATCTTGCTGTCTTTTACTGTTTGCCCAGTATGTTTTTGCTTTTTTCCCTTCTTTTCCCATTTTCTTTTGTACTGAGTAGTTTTAATATTTCCCTTTTTTAGCTGTAGTTCTTCATTTTATTATTATATTTTAGTGTTTGCCATAGGAATTAGAATATGTATCTTTAACTTAGAGAGTTATAGAAAGGATCACGCATCCTGCTGTGACATCCTAAAAGGCTGCATGGAATTAATATGGAAGCAGTGTTTTCATACAGTAGTTTTATAGTTTTATTTTTTGTATTTAAATTATTCATTCATCTGTCATTTTTACACAAAAGGTGAGGATAGGAATCCATTCTCTTTTCAGATGACTACCCAGTTATGACCACTGACTGTTTTATTTCCATTGATTTGAAATACTACCTTGTTTATTAGATTTTTTTATACATATTTGTGTCAATTTTTCTCACTTTTATATACTTATATTGATCTGTCTATTCTTGTACTTGGACTGTATGCTTAATTATTGCTATTTGATAATTCTAACACCTGGTAGATCTAAACCTCGTATAATATTCTTTCAGAATTGTTCTGTACCTTCTTGATTACTTTCCATATAAATAAACTTTAGAATCTAAAAGAAATCCCAATAAATGTAAGCAGGATTGCACTTGAAAAGCAGGTGATTTAAGACAGGAGTAAGCACCTTTAAAATTTGTGCTATGTGTTGTAATTGGCTTTCCAATCGCTGTGCTCCTTGATATGGTTTGGCTGTGTCCCCACCCAAATCTCATCTTGAATTGTAGTTCCCATAATCCCTATGTGTTGTGGGAGGGATCTGGTGGGAGGTAATTGAATCATGGGGGCAGTTGCCCCGATGCTATTCTTGTGATAGTGAGTGAATTCTCATGAGATTTGATGGTTTTATAAGGGGCTTTTCCCCCTTTGCTCCACACTTCTCCTTCCTGCCTCCCTGTGAAGAAGGTGGCTTTCGTCACCTTTGCCCTTTGCTATGATCACAAGTTTCCTGAGGCCTTCCCAGCCACACGGAACTGTGAGTCAAACCTCTTTTCTTTATAAATTACCCAGTCTCGGGCATTTCTTCATAGCAGCCTGAGAAC
Organism: Homo sapiens; assembly: GCF_000001405.40. Lineage (NCBI taxonomy): Eukaryota > Metazoa > Chordata > Mammalia > Primates > Hominidae > Homo > Homo sapiens. Next base: position 126,365,455 of record NC_000010.11, on the reverse strand, counting down.
AGACTGATACACCCCTTTATGTTCTTCCTGGCCTGTTTCTCTGAAGCTTCTTCATTCCTAGCTAGTGGCATTATTGTTACCAATTATTATCATATTTACTTTGCCAATTTTCTAGGTTAAAATATTCTAATTTGCATTTTAAATTTATTGTTGGGGTCTTAGGAGTCTATTAAACAAACTTTCCTTCCCCTCTTAGGTTCAGAAGTAAACGATGGCACCGGAAGCAGAATGTTAGAGAACAAATGATCAGTTATTAATACACAGCTGATCATAGAATTTGGCTTTAGGTCTTTGGCTGTGTAGGCTTACTACTGTTTTACTTCCAAATTTGAGAGTCACCAATCATACTGGATAATATTAACAATGTAGTATCTTGCCCAACAGGGTCATATCCCTTAACATATGGCAAAGGGCAGACCAGAATGAGTGTGCTGTAGACACATCCAGGATGACAGGGAGATCCCAGAAGAAATGAGACACAAAATTAAGTTCCTCCTTTCAAACTCTTATATACATCACTATTCTTTACCTGGGGGAGTTAGGGGAAGGGAGGGAGGCCCGGAATATTAATCTAATGGAAATTCATGTACACTAAAACAAGGACAAAGGTGGGATGGTGAGGGAGGAGTTGAGGGAAGGAGGTTCTCTTTAAATTCTTAATAATGCAGTTTAATTTCCCCCCTTATTTTTATCAATAATTTTTGATTTTTTTAAATTGTTAGTTCATATCCTTTGGTCACTTTGTTATTGAAGATTTGTCTTCTTTTAATTGATTTGTTAAGAGCTGTTTATATATGAGCACTACCCTTTTGTGAGCCATAATTTGGAATGAACAGCATACCATTCATTTATTACAAAGCACTTTTTAGGTGTTATTTTTCTAGTTATTTTTCTTCCCTTGTCATTATAAATGGGATCCAATTTTCAATTTTATTTTAGTAATGATATATCTTGTATTAGTTTATATACACACATTCTGGGACTAGCCTGTTTATTAAAATGTCTTGCTGGTTTTAGTAGATATTCAGTTGACTTTCTTGGGTTTCCTAGGTAACTAATCATATCACTTATAAATAACTTTTCTTTTCTAACATTTATTTCCCTGAAATGTTATTGCTTTATTGCAGTGTCTCAAACATAAAGAATTGCTATAAAAATGTGTACAAACAGCAATAATTCCTCTTTTGTTTTGGGTTTTAATGGAAGGCTCCTGATATTTCACCATTGATTTTAATATTGACTGTTGATTTAAGATGTGAGTTTATGATTTTAAGAACCTATTTCTAGTTTTCAAATAGATTTTTTTAAAAAAAAAAGTATTGGATACTGAATTTTATTAACTTTTTTTAGACATGTACAGAGGTACCATATCTTGTCTCTCTCTTTTTAAATCTTGTGACCTGATAAAAATATTAATTGACTTATTGATATAAATATTCATTCATGGATTTCCCCTTATCAAAATATTCTTATATTTTTGGGACACATCCTGCTCTGTCAAGGTGTATCATATTTTTAATATGCTGCTGAATTTAATTCCCTAGTGTTCTAATTAAGATTGTTTGCATCTATATTAGGAAGGAAAGTGGTCTTAGTTCTCTGTTTATACAAACTCAGTGGCTTAAAACAATAAAACCCATCTTTCGCTCATGTGTCTGTGAGTCAGGGATTTAGGCTGGGCAGGTCTGGTCTCCGTTAGGCTTGCTGCCATGTTTATGGGCCTGCTGAGTATAATAGAGTGACCAGGCCCTTCTCCATGTCTCTCCCATCTCCGTAGCAGGCTAACCCAGCATGTTCTCATAGAGAAGGCAGAGGCATAAGAACAGACATGTCCTTAGACACAAGCCCATTTCAAGCATCTGCTTGGGACCCACCTGCTAACATTCCATTGACATGTCAGGGAAGCAAACTGGGGAAGGAGGTTCTACCTCTTCAGAGCAGGAGTGGAAAAGCCATATCCCACCCCCAGACAAGGGACTCCTTGGGGCTCAGATAGAGGGATGGTAAAGTATTAGAGCAATTTTAGCAATCAGCCATAATCCTAAAGTTTCTTTTATCCAGTCTTTTACTGTGTGTTTTTTGGGACAGTAAAAATTATATGAAAATAATCTGTCACATTGGGGCTTTAAAAAACTCTCTCTTAAAATTATCTGGCCCCAATATCTTTATGGAACATAAATCTTGTACAGATTTTTGAACTTCTTACAGACTTATTGGTTTTGCTATTTCTTATTGAACCAGTTGAGATAACTTATCTTTTCCTAGAAAATCATTTATTGTCCCCATGTTTTCAGATTCATTAGTATAAAGAACATGTAATACTTGATTACAATTTAATTTTTGTAGCAATAATTATACTCATTTCTTTTTTTAAAACTTATTTTTATTATGAGTTGACAAATTATATGGGGCCCAAATTGATGTTATGATTTATAAATACAACATGGAATAATTAAATCAAGTGACTTAACATATCCATCACCTCAAATATGTAGCTTTTTTGTGTTGGGAGCATTTGCAGTTTATTTCCTTCAAGAATTTGAAATGTACAACACACTGTTATTAGCTATATTCATGTCACTGTGCAATAGATCTCAAAAAACAAAAAACCTTATTCCTCCTGTTTAACAGAAACTTAGTACCCTTTAACCATCATCTCCTCATTTCCCCCATCCCCAGACTTTTGGTAACCACCATTCTACTCTTTGTATGAGCTCGATTGTTTTAGATTCCACATATAAATGAGAACACACAGTATTTGTCTGTCTGTGCCTGGCTTATTTCACTTAGTATGATCTCCAATTCCAAACATATTGCAAATTACAGATTTTTTTCTTTTTAAAGACTGAATAGTATTCCATTTGTATATATACTACATTTTCTTTATTCATCTGTTGACAGATGCTTGGGTTAATTCTATAACTTGACTATCGTGAATATTGCTGCAATGCACATGGGAGTTCAGACATCTCTTTGACATACTGATTTCAAATCTTTTGGGTAAATACCGAGAAGTGGGATTGCTGGGTCATATGGTAATATTGCAGGGTCATATGGTAATATTATTTTGAGGAACCTCTATAGAGTTTTTCATAATCATCATACTAATTTACATTTCCACCAATAGTGTACAAGTGTTTTCTTTTCTTCACATCCTCGCTAACATTCGTTATCTTTTGTCTTTTTGATAATGGCCATTCTGACAGGTGTGAGATAATATCTCATTGTGGTTTTATTGGCATTTCCCTAATGATTATTTATGTTGGACTTTTTTTCATATATCTGTTGGTCATTTGGAGTATGTCTTATTTTGAGAAATGTCTAGTCTGGTCCCTTGCCCATTTTAAAATCAGGCTAATAGTTTTCTTTCTACAGAATTGTTTGAATTCCTTATATATTTTGGATATTAACTCCTATTAGATGAATGGCTTGCAAATATTTTCTCCCAATGCTTACATTGTCTCTTCATTCTGTTAATTTTTTTCTTCATTGTGTGAAAGCTTTTTAGTTTGATGTAATTCCATTTGCTTATTTTTGCTTTTATTGCCTGAGCTTTTGGGACAAATCTAAAAAAAAATTGCCTATAGACCAACATCATGTAGATTTTCTTTGTTTCCTTCTAGCAATCTAGTTTCAGATTTTATATTTAAATCTTTAATCCAGTTTTAGTTGGCTTTTTTGTATATAGTGTGAGATAAGTGTCCAATTTCATTCTACTGCCTATGATTATCCAGTTTTTCCAACACCATTTATTGAAGAGACTGCACTTTTTCTATCATGTATCCTTGGCACCTTTGTCAAAAATCAATTGACCGTATATGTTTGGGTTCATTTCTGGGCTCTCTGTTCTATTCCATTGGTTGATGTGTCTATTTTTATGCTTAGTACCATGCTATTTTAGTTGCTATCACTTTGTAGTATAGTTTGAAATTAGGTACTGTGATGCCTTCAGCTTTGTTCTTTTTGCTCAGTACTGCTTTGGCTAGTCAGGGTTTTTTGTGATTCCATATAAATTTTAGGATTGTTTTTTCTATTTCTATAAAAAATCACATTGGACTTTTGATAGAGATTGCATTGAATCTGTAGATTGCTTTGGGTAGTATGGCCATGTTAACAATACTCATTCTTTCAATCCATGAACATGGACTATCTTTCATTTATTTATGTTTTCTTCAGTTTATTTAACATTTTATAATTTTCAATATACAAGTTCTTTAACTCCTTGCTTAAATTTATTTCTAATATTTTGTTTAATTTTTATAGCTATTTTAAATGGGATTTGATAAGGTTTGGCTGTGTCCCCACCAAAATCTCATCTTGACTTCCCACGTGTTGTGGGAGGAACCTGGTGGGAGGTAATTGAATCATGGGGGCAGATCTTTCTCATGCTGTTCTGGTGATAGTGAATAAGCCTCACGAGATCTGATGCTTTTAAAAATGGGAGTTTCCCTGCACAACCTCTCTCTTTGCTTGCTGCCATCTGTGTAAGACATGACTTGCTCTTCCTTGCCTTCCACCATGATTGTGAGGCTTCCCTAGCCATGTGGAACTGTAAGTCCAAATTAAACCTCTTTCTTTTGTAAATTGTCTAGTCTTGGGTATGTCTTTATCAGCAGCATGGAAACAAACTAATACAGTAAATTGGTACCAGTAGAGTGGGGCACTGCTGAAAAGATACCTGAAAATGTGGAAGCCACTTTGGAACTGGGCAACAGGCAAAGGTTGAAACAGTTTGGAGGGCTCAGAAGAAGACAGGAAAATGTGAGAAAGTTTGGAACTCCCTAGAGACTTGTTGAATTGCTTTGACCAAAATGCTGATAGTGATATGGACAATGAAATCCAGACTGAGGTGGTTTCAGATGGAGATGAGGAACTTTTTAGGAACTAGAGTAAAGGTGAATTTTGTTATGTTTTAGCAAAGACACTGGTAGCATTTTGCTTCTGCCCTAGAGATTTGTGGAACTTTGAACTTGAGAGAGATGATTTAGGGTATCTGGAGGAAGAAATTTCTAAGCAGCATAGCATTCAAGAGGTGACTTGGGTGCTGTTAAAAGCATTCAGTTTTAAAAGGGAAGTAGAGCATAAAAGTTTGGAAAATTTGCAGACTGACAATGCAATAGATAAGAAAATCCCATTTTCTGAGGAGAAATTCAAGCCAGCTGCATAAATTTGCATAAGTAATGAGGAGCCAAATGTTAATCCCAAGACAATGGGGAAAATGTCTCCAGGGCAAGTCAGAGGTCTACATGGCAGCCCCTCCCATCACAGGCCTGGAGACCTAGGGGGAAAAGAATGGTTTCGTGGGTCAGGCCCAGGGTCCCTGTGCTGTGTGCAGCCTAGGGACTTGGTACCCTGCATTCCAGCTGCTCTAGCCATGGCTAAAAGGTGCCAATGTGCAGCTTGGGCTGTTGTTTCAGAGGGTGAAGCCCCAAACCTTGGCATCTTCCATGTGGTGTTGAGCCTGTGGGTACACAGAAGTCAAGAATTGGGGTTTGGGAACCTCCAGCTAGATTTCAGAGGATGTATGGAAATGCCTGGATGCCCAGGCAGAAGTTTGCTGCAGGGGTGAGTCCTTCATGGAGAATCTCTGCTAGGGCAGTGCGAAAGGGAAATGTGGGGTTGCAGCCCCCACACAGAGTCCCTACTGGGGCACCACCTAGTAGAGCTGTGAGAAGAGGGCCGCCCCATCCTCCAGACCCCAGAATGGTAGATCCACTGACAGCTTGAACTGTGTGCCTGAAAAAGCTGCAGACACTCAACACCAGCCCGTGAAAGTAGCCAGGAGGGAGGCTGTACCCTGCAAAGTCACAGGGGTGGAGCTGCTCAAGACCATGGGAACCCAACTCTTGCATCAGAGTGATCTGGATGTGAGACATGGAGTCAGAGGAGATCATTTTGGAGCTTTAAGATTTGACTGCCCTGCTGGATTTTGAACTTGCGTGGGTCCTGTAGCCCCTTTGTTTTGGTCAATTTCTCCCATTTGGAATGGCTGTATTTACCCAATGCCTGTACCCTCATTGTATCTAGGAAGTAACTAACTTGCTTTTGATTTTACAGGCTCATAGGCAGAAGGGACTTGCCTTGTCTCGGATGAGACTTTGGACTGTTGCCTTTTGAGTTAATGCTGTAATGAGTTAAGACTTTGGGGGACTGTTGGGAAGGCATGATTGGTTTTGAAATGTGAGGACATGCGATTTCGGAGGAGCCAGGGGCAGAATGATAGGGTTTGGCTGTGTCCCCACCCAAATCTCATCTTGAATTCCCATGTGTTGTGGAAGGAACCTGGTGGGAGGTAATTGAATCATGGGTGCAGGTCATTCCCATGCTGTTCTGGTGATAGTGAATAAGTCTCGTGAGATATGATGGTTTAAAAACAGGAGTTTCCCTGCACAGGCTCTCTCTTTGCTTGCTGCCATCCATTTAAAACATGACTTGCTCCTCCTTGCCTTCCACCATAATTGTGAGGCTTCCCCAGCCATGTGGAACTGTAAGTACAATTAAACCGCTTTCTTTTGTAAATTGCCCAGTCTTGGGTGTCTTTATCAGCAGCATGAAAATGGACTAATACAGGATTCTTCTCTTGATTTCTTTTTTGAAGAGTCTCTTTTTAGTATATAGAAATGCTACTGATTTTTTTGTTTATTTTGTATCCTGCAATTTTACTGAATTTGTTTATTCTAAATTCTAGCAGTTTTTTTAGAGAATCTTTAGAATTTTTTAACATGAAGAAACACGTCATCAACAAACAGCAACAATTTTACTTCTTCCTTTCCTATTTGGGTGTCTTTTATCTCTTTCTCTTGCAAAATTGCTCTGGCGAGGACTTCCAACACTATGTTGAATAGAAATGGTGAGTGTAGGCATTCTTGTCTTGTTCCGGATCTTAGAGGAAGGGCTTTCAATTTTTTACCATTGAGTATGATGTTAGCTGTGGGCTTATTATATATGGCTTTATTGTGTTAAGGTACATTTCTTCTATGCCTAATTTGTTGAGAGTTTATCATAAAAGGATATTGAATTCTGTCAAATGCTTTCTCTTCATCTAATGAGATGATCACATGGTTTTTGTCCTATGTTCTCTTAATGTGATGTATCACATTTATTGATTTGTCTGTGTTGAAACATCCTTCCATCTCAGGGATAAATCCCACCTGATCATGATGAATGATCCTTTTAATGTGTTTTTGAATTTGGTGTGCTAGGTTTTTGATAAGGATTTTTGCATGTATGTTTAACAAGGATATTGGCCTGTAATTTTCTTTACTTTTTTTTTTTTTTTGAGACGGAGTCTCACGGTCACCCAGGCTGGAGTGCAGTGGCGCGATCTCGGCTCACTGCAGGTTCCACCCCCCGGGGTTCATGCCATTCTCCTGCCTCAGCCTCCTGAGTAGCTGGGACTACAGGCACCCGCCACCTCGCCCAATTTTCTTTACTTTTGAGGTGTTTGTCTGCCTTTGGCATCAGGGTAACGCATTTGGAAGTAATCTTTCCTCTTCAATTTTTGGAAAAGTTTGGATTCATATTTGTTTTTCTGTAAATGTTTGTAGAATTCAGCAGCAGTGAAGCTAATATAGCTTGGCTGTGTCCCTATCCAAATCTCATCATGAAATGTAGTTCCCATAATCTCCATGTGTCATGGGAGGGACCTGGTGGGAGGTAATTGAATCATGGGGGCAGTTAGTCCCATGCTGCTGTTCTTGTGATAGTGAGTGAGTTCTCACAGATCTGATGGGTCTTTTTATAAGGGTCTTTTCCCCGTTTTGCTCGGCACTTCTTCTTGCTGCTGCCATGTAAAGAAGGATTTGTTTGCTTCGCCTTCTGCTATGATCATAAGTTTCCTGAGGCCTCCCCTGCCATGCTGAACTGTGAGTCAATTCAACCTCTTTGCTTTATAAGTTACCCAGTCTTGGGTATGTCTTTATTAGCAGCATGAGAATGGACTAATACAGAAGCCATCAGGTTCTGTATTAGAAAAGCCATCAGGCTTTTCTTTGATGGGAGACTTTTTATTATGCATTCAATCTCTGCTTAGCTTTTGTTTGTCTAGGAAAGTTTTTATTTGTCCCTTATTTCTGAAATACAGCCTTGCTGGGTAAGGTATTCCTGGTAGACAGGAGTTTTTTTTTCCCCCTCCCTCAGCACTTTGAATATATCATCCCACTCTCTCCTGGCCTGCAAGTTTTCTGCTGAGTAATGCACTGATAGTCATATTGAGACTTCTTTGTATATAAAGTATTTTTTATCTTTTGCTGCTCTCACAATTTTTTGTCTTTAAGTTTTGACAGTTTGATTAATATGTGTTATGGTGGACTCCTCCTTGGGTTGAATTTGATTGGAAACTTCTGTGCTTTCAGGACCTGGATGTTGGCATCTTTCCCCAGGTTAGGGAAGTTTTCAGCCATTATTTCTTTAAATGTATTATGTGGCCCCTTTTTCTCTTTCTTCTTCTGAAATTTGTATTATGCAAAAGTTAGGTCATTTGATGGTATTCCATAATTCCCATTGGCTTCCTTCATTTTTCTGTTTGTTCCTCTGATTGGATAATTTTAAATTATCTGCTTCAATTCTTTTGCATCTTGCTCAAGCCTGCTGTTGAAGCTTTCTATTGCATTTTTAAAGTTTAGCCATTGTATTCTTTATCTCTAGTGTTTCTATTTGTTTTTTGATTGTTTCTGTTTCTTCATCAAACTTTTATTCATGTATTGTTTTCCAAATTTTATTTGATTTTTAATCTGTAGTATCATATAGTTTACAGAATTTCTTTAAGAGGATTATTCTGAATTCTTTATCACTTTATAGATATCCATTTCTGTAGGGTTCATTTTTGCAGTTTTGCTAGTTTCTTTTGGTGTTGTCATGATTTCTGAATCTTTGTAATGCTATGTTCTTGCACTGGTTTTTGCGCATTTGGGGAGACAGTCACCTCTTCTGGATGTTACAGGTGTTCTTTGGCAGAAATACACCTTTACTATTTAGTCTAGCCTGTGATTCCGGATGGGCCAATTGGTAATGACCCCAGGCAGGCAAAGCTTGCTTTCCATTCTCTAGATGGCTGGGATGCTGCCTTTGCTTTGAGTTCTGGTAGAGCTAAGCTAGCTGGGCTCAGGTGTCAGGTGAGAGCACTAGCTGAACTCTGTAATTAGGCAGAACTACTGGCTGGTCATTGCAATTTCCTCTGATTGGGCTGGGCTACAGGGTGTATTCCTTCACCAGGTGGTACTTTTATTTGAATTCTTCAGTTGTACAGAGTTGCAGGAGGTTCCCTGGGGTTAGGTGGAGTCATTGCTCAGGAAGGATGGGATTATCTGGTGCTTCAGTAGAAATGTATGCTTGAGGTTTGCGTCTTTGCCTAACCAGGGCCTTAGGGTAGGCTTTGAGGTTAAGCTGAGTGCTGTTTGAAGTTTTGGGTGTTGCAGAACTAGCTCTTGCTCTTTACCAAAATGTGTAGTCGTGGGGAGCTCTCTCCCCAGGTGGAGCCTTCAAGTAGAGCCTAAGGCTGGGCCTGGAAGATGGCTGTTGGGATTCAAGCCAGGCACAACTTTTCACCACTTGGGAGTGACCATCTTGGCTTTGCAGGTGTGCTATGCTGTTTGCTGGTACCTCTCACTGGGGGCTGCCACTGGAAGATACACAGAGATATCACCAGTATCTGCTGTGGGCCCTGTCTCCTTGCTTTGTTTCTAACTGACTCCAGCTGGTCTCGCCATGCCGCTACCTCGAGCATTCTTTATGAAGTGAGACTGAGGTGGGCTTCCTGGGAAGCATCTCAGAATGCTAGAGAAGCTAGATGTCTGCTTCTGGTTCTCCCTGCCCACTGCAGAAACCATGGGCCCTGAGGCATCCTCTCTGTGTGGCACCATGCTGAATGAAAGGATGGAGGGAGAAGCAGTGTGGTCAAAGTGAGACCATTTCTCCTACCCTTCCAATGCAGACTTCATTCATTTCTGTAGTCTAGGCAGGTCTCTCAGGCTTATTCCCAAGTTTTGGGGTTTTGACCCACATGTTCCTGTCTGTAGATAATTGCTAGTTGAAATTTCTGTGGGTGATAGTAAAGCCTGGGGCCACCTGTTCCACTATTTTTGCCCACTTCTCTTTATTTACAATTTATCTTTCCCCTTGTTTAGACCTGTCGGAGATTTAGATATGTATTTGGCCTGTCAGAAGAATTTAGTCTTGGATTTATTAATCAACACTATTCCTTTTATTCATAGCTTTTAATTTAGTCATTTCTGGTTTTATTTCTTAACTCCTTTGTCTTTTTATTGTTGTGATTTTTTGGCCGAATGTTTAGTTCATCTATGTTCATATTTCTTGATAATAAAAGCAGTTAAAACTATACATTTTTTGTTAGTCGAGTTTTGGTTTCATTCCATATATTTTGATGTATAAATTCACTCAACACAATTATAAAAATTTTTTACCTTTCAACATTTTTTTCCTGTGGGGAATTGCTATTTGACAATTGACATAAGAACTCTTGTGGGTCAGATTTTCTGTGAACTATGAATTCCAAGATCAATGCAAGTTTTAATATAAATATGTGAAAAGCTCCCATCTCCCTATTTTGCCTCCCCTCCAACATAAAATGAGTACAGATTTAGAATTTCATTGGTTAAATATATCTTTGAGTATTCATTAAAAAAAAAACAAACTTTAGCAGTGGTTACTCAAAATCTTGCCATAGTCAGTTCTGCAGTATCCACTAAAAGACTTAGATTTTTATCAAAATTTCTTTCCCCCTAAAGTCTATGTGGTGGAGCTTTCTTTTAGAATCATCAACCAGTTTGTTCTTGGCATTAAACATTATCTTTTCTCATTAAAGCTCTAATTTTTTTAAAAAAAGCTAATGATGAAAATTTTAGTTATAATTTAAATGAAATTTGCATGTACAATTGTCAGTAAGGACTATGAAACATAAACAATTACATAATTTTTGAGATGCAGCAGATCCTAGAAACTCACTCAGTCCTGTGGTTGCCAACCTTTCTCCATCTCCCGCAGACGTTCTACTGCATGCCAGATACCATGTGCAGTAACTTCTGAATCCTCTCATCCCCCTACTTCCAGAACACAGGACTATGAGTTACTTGAAAGCTGAGGCTTGGTAGAGGGCTGGAGCCAATTGCGTTAAACTAACTAACATTATTGCAAAATATATTCTAGGGCTTTTACTCTAATAAAAATGACTCCTGGAACTGCAGTACTATATTCTTGGAACCCCAAGAAACCAGGTGACAACCCATAAATTTACCATCACTTTTCAGATGAGGAAGGCAAATCTGGAAGGCCAAATTACTTGTCCAAAGATAGACACCAAACCAGTAAAGGAGCAGGATTTGATGGAGGGAGGATGAAGTATCAATGAAAAAATAAGTCTAAGTAAAGAAATGCAAATATCTTTTTCTTTAAAAAAAAAAAAAAGCTTGTTAACATTATAAAAAACATTTCAAATATGGCATCTCAAGTTTGAATTGGTTAACTTCCTTTAGGGATTTGGAATTTTCTGTCAACATGATTCCCCTGGCCAGGATTAAGACATGGTCTTGTAGACTTGTAAAAGGGTATTATCCCTGGAAAATATGCTGTTCAAAATAAGGGCAGCTGGAAGCCTACAGATGACTGTTTGTGCCAGAGCAGTCAATTGATTACCGCAGGGAGCTTTCCCTTCTTTTTAAGGACTCTGGAGAGTTCATTATGAAATCTTTTGAAAGATACATGAGCAGGACCAGGCTAGACCTGGATTCCATTAGCTTTGTCTATTCACAAATAGTGGTTAGTATTAGAAGAGTCATAAATCTCTTATTTATTTTGCTATCAGAGACCTTCATAAAACTCAGCTCTTTAATAAACAGGTTGAGATACTCAGCAAACTAAATGGAAAAAATGATAAACTAATGTAAACACAGCATTTGCCTTGTTTATCATTGAGTGCCTGTCTGTGCTTGTTGCTTTCTGAACCTTGAATGCTGTTACTGCAGACCCTCCCTTTGTGCCTAGTAGCCTGTGTCCCTTGGGAAACCTCCTTCACCACTGTCCTCTCACTTCAGCCTTGGCTCCTTTCTCCAGATTGTGGAAGACATTCTCCCTGGGAGCTCCACCATCTTAGTATGACACTGTTGCTTTCCCCACTTGTACCGTAACATCTTTCAGATCTAGGCATGTGACCTTTGATTCCAACCTCAAGGACTTGGCCTAGCACATAGCTGGTGCTAAATAAAAGCTCCTGGTTACACAATGATCCATCCATGAGGTTGTGAGCTCATTGATATCAGTGTTCAAGTCTCCACTCATAGGGTGTTACAGCCATTTAAGTATAGGGAGTGATGGCAATTCCTTTTGAATCTGTGGGCTGCATTTGGTATGCAGGAGATGCTCTGATGTTCCACGAATGGGAGGAAGGATGTTCTGGAGCAGTGGAGAGAAGCCTGCTTTGATCACAGTGAGGATGCACCCACAGCAAGAGCAGCCTTTGTGCTTTGACTTTAGCTGGTGGTCAGAGATGGTTGTTTCAAAGGCTAGGGTCTCTGAGACTGCTGGTCTACCAAATGGTCTGCACTGAAACCATTCCCTGGGAGCTTGTTTTGAATGTACATTCTTATATCCCACCTTGAATCTGGATCACATCACTGCCATGGTGGTGACACCCTATTGTTTATTCCTGTTGTTTATGGCAAGGTCCCCAGCCTCCAAGGCTCACTTCCCACCCAGCCCTTCCCCTGCTCAGCAGAATGGGGTGAATAAAACCTACTGTGACATCTTTGTGCACTGGCGTGAGGTGACAGATGCAGGAAACACTTTGTAAACTGTCAAGCGCCTGGCAACTGAAAGACATCCGACACAAGACAGCCATTAAGTAATTACATGCATAGCAACGCTGACCAGCTGTGGTCCAAGCAGTTCATATAGTACCAAGTTTCCTAACTTGGTGTCATTTGAGAACTTACTTTCATGACTTTTTAATAAATGTATATCACCTGTGCCATACACAGGTTTGCTTTTCTTAGTTTATCTTAATTTTTCTTAATTTATCTTAAACTTTAAGTCAGTATACACATTTTGCTTAAATTTGTTTAAGAAGGAAGTTGTACTTCAATATTCTAAATAGGCCAGTATCACTTGACATAAATACTATAAAGATAAATTGAAGGAAAACAAAACAATGTTATTAAAATGCAGCCAGACAATAGTGTCTGTTGGTGTCCCTGAGCCCAAGACCTGTTCTCTTTGTGAAAAAGGGCAGAGAGCCAGTGGCTGGGAGGTTTTAGGCATGGAATACCAAATGGACTTTTTCCTAATTAGAGGGCTTGACGGGAAACTGAAAAGTGAATAATTTGTTCCCCCCTTGACCTTATGTTAAGTGTCAGCACCGCCGAGGACACCTCCATCAAGCCAGCTGGGTGTGTCTGGCCCTTTGAGGGGTGCTGTTGAGTGCTGGGTTCTGAGGCTTGAGGCCGGAGGTCTTCAGTGAAGTCCCTGAACAACTCAGTGAGTCTTTGTCTAAAGCAGAGGGGACGAGGCCGGAGTCCTATAGTGACCCGAGAGTACTTTCTCAGTCCACTCTTCCTGTGTGTGTCCAAAGGCCAGATGAGGGCTGAGTGCTGGAGTGGGGGGATTATAAATAACCCCTGAAGCCAACTAGAGTCTTTGGGCACTCAGCACTTCTCACTGGGGGTGGGGGTGCAGGGAGAGCAATGCACAGTTGAAGGCATTGTCTTGATGAGGAGGTTTGAGATTTGTTCCTGGATCCTGGATCCAAACCCATCAACCAGGGGGTGTTTTCATGCAGGTCACTGGAGGGCTTCTGGACCTCCCCCTTCTCTATCACATCTATTCAGCATGTTGATGTAGCATGTGGGAGGTCCAAGGTGCAGTGCTGGGGGATCCGAGGAGAGGAAGCGGCAGTCTCTGTCGCAAGGAGTCAGCTCCCCTCCAGTGTGGCCAGGTAGTAAGCACATGCCATGCATGGGCTCTGTGTCAGGCAGGGAAATCCAGCACCAGAGGGCCAGAGCAGGAGGGACCATTTCTTGTAGGAGGCTTCAGACAGGGATCCATTGTAGTGCAAGCATGCAGGATGGTGACCACCAGTGAGGCCAAGAACTGGCCTATCCAGTGGGAACCCTCTTGATTTGGATAGGGCTGGCAGAGGACAGAGCTCCCAGAAGCCAGTCACAACCAGGACACATCTGGTGAGGTCCGGACAGCTGCAGGAAAGCCGAGACTAAAGGGGGAAGTTGGGACAGAAGGGAAGGGCAGGGTGGGGTGGGGGAGCAGGGCACATGTTGTCTGGTGCCAGCTTTGGGCTGAACAGGTGGGGTCTGGGCCTCCGGGCTGAGGGCACTGCCCGTGGACACCTCTGCCACAGCCTAGCTTCGCTTGAAATCCTGGCCATGGCCTGCTTTCCACACCCTGCTTCATTTCACTATGTGACCGATATGGGTACACTGTGGTGGGGGAACATGGCCCAGACTGATGGAAGACCAGCATGAGCAAAGGTGCCATGCAGGAGAGCCTGGACAGGGGAAGGGGCAGGGCTCCGGGGGTCGGCAGCAGTTCAGGTCACAGGATACTCTGGATCTGAGGTACCCATGGCAAGGCAGAGCCCTGGATGTGAGCCTGAGCTCTGCCCACTGCCAGAGGCGTGAATTCTGGCCAGGTGCCCGGCCTCCAAGGCTCACTTCCCACTCACCCTATCCCCTGCTCAGTAGAATGGGATGAATCAAACTTCCTGCAGCATTCCTGTGCACCGATGTGAGGTGACACATGTGGGAAGCACTTTGTAATCTGTCAAGTGCCTGGCAACTGGGAGACATCCGACACAAGACTGCCACTGACAACAGACACAGCTGCTCACACATGCAGGTCACTGCGGAAAATGCTCCAAGAGATGGACAGAGTCAGGCTCTGGAGCAGGAACTTCCTAGAATGATGGAGTTGACAGGGCCAGGTGAGTCTAGTTGTGGTGGCCATGCCCAGGCAGCTGTCTCTGTCCCGGGGCTGAATTCCTCTCCCCTCTTCCTCCCTTTCTCAAAGTCAGCCTTGTAGAGAACTTGCTTCACTCGGGCTTGGCCGACTCTGTGTGTGGGTGTGTATTTTCAAGAGGAGAGTTTCTCTCCATGTGGCTCTGATTTATGCTGATACTGTCAAGTTGAAAAACACAAATTGCTTGATTCCACAGAAAATCAATTTGACAATTTCTTTGCTCCCCACCCAGCCCTTGACATGAACAGTAATCTTTAGGGCACACTGGAAAAGTTAGGAATTACAATGTGTGCCAGTGTGTGGATGCTGCTTTGTTTTAGTTGTTTCAATTTTTTCCAGTTTCTTCTTGGGGACAGGGAGAGCATTGAAATATTTATAAGAATATCATTGGCCGGCCAGTGACAAGTACCCTCAACTCTCTCTTAGATGGAAGCTGTGTCCACGTGCAATCACAGAGTTGAAGGAAAGATGAAACAAAGGCTACTATGTGGCTTCTTGGCTCTAAAGACAAATATCTAGATTTCAATCATATGCATTTTCCATCTAGAAATCTGTCTTCTGGAGAAAACCCATACCTGAAGAGCAAGCCAGCATACCTGTGTGATTCTGCCCACGGAGAGTTCCATTATGTAATCTTTTTCTGCTTAGCAGAGATAAATGTAATAGTATTTGCATTGTTATAGATCTGATAGATCTGGTGTCGAAACAGTTTGCCTAGATGGAAGAGATATGCGGATTGTTGAGGCTGTAAGGGACGTTGAAAGTTCATCAAAATAGGAGTTGCTTCCTTTGATAATTTCATTCTCAATTGGACCTTTAGAGGGAAGTTTCCTCTTTGTATAAGGAATTATGCAAATGTTTATTTTATAGTGGATATATTTGGATTCCTGTCTCTTATTTTATAACAACTGCATACTAAAACAGGCACCTCTGGCACCAGCCCCCTCATAAACTTAGCTTTCTTTAACATGTTTTAAAAGCAAATAATTTTGGTATTGTGGTCTGCTGCATACATCATTTGTTGTTGAGCCAGGATATTATTTGAGAACTGCAAAGCTCTCTAGGTATTACCTCCCTATATAAACCATGTGTTAGAAAGATATAAATTCAGTTTTGAAATATTTGTTAGACTGCTTTTGGCTTTCAGTCCGTGCCAAACATGTGCTTTGGTGACAGATGGAGTCATGTGGGCCCCTGAATGAAACACTGCATTGTGTATAGACTTTGTCTTCCAGCAGTTGGGTTGCAGAAGCTGGGAGATAAAGAGGATCCAATTGCTATGAGGTGTGTTCTCCAGTGAGCATAGGATCCTTTTCCCCCTCAAATATGTCACTAGGTTATTTGGTCTCAAATTCTGTGCCATAGAAAATAGTGCTGTACACTCTGAATTTATCTAGAATAATTAAATGTAAAGCATTCTCATGTTAACTTCAAATTTTGAAACTAGAACATGTTTCCTAAGAATCTATTGAAACGTATTGGCTTTGCGGGCCTGTAAACCATTCAAGGAAGCATGGACCTAGGATTGCCAGATAAAACAGGACTCCCAGTTGAATCTGAATTTCAGATAAACAACGAATTTTTTCTTAGCGTAATTATATCCTCAGTATTGCATGGGACATATTTATCCTAAAGAATTATTCATTGTCTATCTGAAATTAGATTCAACTGGAAGTTCTATATTTTGATTTGCTAAATTTGATCATTCTACTTGGATCCCAATTTATGGTTCGCTCTCATAAACAGTGACTGTCAAAGAACATTCCTCAGTGATGAAGGCTCTGTGAGTTTGCAAGTCCACGTGGCACAGAGACAGAGGAAATCTCAGTTCAGTCATCCTGCAGAATAAAAAGAGTGTTCTGTTAGAACAAAGTGGACGTAGATCACATCTACTGCACTTCTGATTGGGCTCGGTTGAATACTTTTTTCTCCTCATATGCATCCGTTCTCTCTCATCTCCCCCTCTTGCATTTGTTCCCACATTGTATAGGCAGAGCACGGAGGTGAGGGCATAACTCGGAAAGGCATGCTTGGGCCCATTCTCTTTCCATATAAGAAGCTTCCTTTCCCTCCCCCATCCTCCCACGTGAATGCCCAGATCCTGCCCATTCAAAGCCTGATATCATTGGCATCCCTGTTGTGAAGACATCCTGGACCGCCTCAACTGAATCAGGTTTCTAGCCCAACTCCGATTGCTCTTAAAGGCACTATCCCTTTCCGTCTTCTTTACCAGACTCTGTGCTCCCAGTAGGCAGGATGCAGTCTAACTTAAGAAAACACCCAGGGAGGAGCCTCCAGGCTACTGACATTCAGAAGAGGTTTCTTTTTCTCTCTTCTCTCTGTCCGTAACTTCTAATTGAGCACTAAATGTACAGGTGCTAAGACAAAGGCTTTCCACAAATCCTCTCCTTTCTCAATTGCCCCAGGGGTTAAGCA
This sequence comes from Homo sapiens, assembly GCF_000001405.40. Classification (NCBI taxonomy): domain Eukaryota; kingdom Metazoa; phylum Chordata; class Mammalia; order Primates; family Hominidae; genus Homo; species Homo sapiens. The sequence continues at coordinate 126,348,040 of NC_000010.11, read as the reverse complement.
CCCTGTACTCCAAAGGTCCCACCTTTGGTGAAAAGCAGAGCTCACTGGAAGGTGTTGTTCTAGACTCCCATGGAAACCTGAAATGCTGTTGACTCTCAGCCTGTACCATTGGTACCCCATTTCTGAGCAGCAGCAGAGAATTCGTCACTGGATGTCTGACTCCCAGCCTCCACTCTCAGGGCAGGATTCAGGGTGACCCAGAAGTTTGTTTTAGAAATAAACCTGTTTAATATTCTTAACACATAAAGTTTCAAATAAATAAGAGAAAAACAGGCTAATTAAAAATTGGCAATAAATGTGAGCAAACAACCCCCAAATTAAGAAATAAAAATAACTGATGAAAATATGAAAAGGCTCAATTTCAGTGATAAGTAAATGCACATTGAAACAACAAAGAAATTTGTTTTCTTTATAAGTGGCCAAACATCATTTGTAGGGCTTTCTCTTTATAATGATTGGCTATTGACAAGGCAGGCCAACATTCAAATTCAGGAAATACAGAGAACGCCACAAAGATACTCCTCAAGAAGAGCAAATCCAAGACCCATAATTGTCAGATTCACCAAAGTTGAAATGAAGGAAAGAATGTTAAGGGCAGCCAGAGAGAAAGGTCGGGTTACCCACAAAGGGAAGCCCATCAGACTAACAGCTGATCTCTCAGCAGAAACTCTACAAGCCAGAAGGGAGTGGGGGCCGATATTCAACATTCTTAAAGAGAAGAATTTTCAACCCAGAATTTCATATCCAGCCAAACTAAGCTTCATAAGTGAAGGAGAAATAAAATCCTTTACAGACACGCAAATGCTGAGGGATTTTGTCACCACCAGCCTGCCCTAAAAGAGCTCCTGAAGGAAGCACTAAACATGGAAAGGAACAACCGGTATCAGCCACTGCAAAAACATGCCAAATTGTAAAGACCATTGAGGCTAGCAAGAAACTGCATCAACTAACGAGCAAAATAAGCAGCTATCATCATAATGACAGGATCAAATTCACACATAACAATATTAACCTTAAGTGTAAATGGGCTAACTGCTCCAATTAAAAGACACAAACTGGCAAATTGGATGAAGAGTCAAGACCCATCAGTGTGTTGTATTCAGGAGACCCATCTCATGTGCAGAGACACACATAGGCTCAAAATAAAGGGTTGGAGGAAGATCTACCAAGCAAATGGAAAACAAAGAAAGGCAGGGGTTGCAAACCTAGTCTCTGATAAAACAGACTTTAAACCAAGAAAGATCAAAAGAGACAAAGAAGGCCATTACATAATGGTAAAGGGATCAATTCAACAAGAAGAGCTAACTATCCTAAATATATATGCACCCAATACAGGAGCACCCAGATTCATAAAGCAAGTCCTTAGAGACCTACAAAGAGAATTAGACTTCCACACAATAATAATGGGAGACTTTAACACCCCACTGTCAACGTTAGACAGATCAACGAGACAGAAAGTTAAAAAGGATATCCAGGGATTGAACTCAGCTCTGCACCAAGTGGACCTAACAGACATCTACAGAACTCTCCACCCCAAACCAACAGAATATACATTCTTCTTGGCACCACATCGCACTTATTCCAAAATTGACCACATAGTTGGAAGTAAAGCACTCCTCAGCAAATGTAAAAGAACAGAAGTTATAACAAACTATCTCTCAGACCACAGTGCAATCAAACTAGAACTCAGGATTAAGAAACTCACTAAAAACCGCTCAGCTACATGGAAACTGAACAACCTGCTCCTGAATGGCTACTGGGTAAATAAGGAAATGAAGGCAGAAATAAAGATGTTCTTTGAAACCAACGAGAACAAAGACACAACATACCAGAATCTCTGGGACACATTCAAAGCAGTGTGTAGAGGGAAATTTATAGCACTAAATGCCCACAAGAGAAAGCAGGAAAGATCTAAAATTGACACCTTAACATCACATTTAAAAGAACTAGAGAAGCAAGAGCAAACAAATTCAAAAGCTAGCAGAAGGGGCAAGAAATAACTAAGATCAGAGCAGAACTGAAGGAGACAGAGACACAAAAAAACCTTCAAAAAATCAATGAATCCAGGAGCTGGCTTTTTGAAAGGATCAACAAAATTGATAGACCTCTAGCAAGACTAATAAGAAAAGAGAAAAGAATCAAATAGACGCAATAAAAAGTGATAAAGGGGATATCACCACCAATCCTACAGAAATACAAACTACCATCAGAGAATACTATAAACACCTCTACACAAATAAACTAGAAAATCTAGAAGAAATGGATAAATTCCTCAACACAAACACCCTCCCAAGACTAAACCAGGAAGAAGTTGAAACCCTGAATAGACCAATAACAGGCTCTGAAATTGAGGCAATAATTAATAGTCTACCAACCAAAAAAAGTCCAGGACCAGACGGATTCGCAGCCGAATTCTACCAGAGGTACAAGGAGGAGCTGGTACCATTCCTTCTGAAACTATTCCAACCAATAGAAAAAGAGGGAATCCTCCCTAACTCATTTTATGAGGCCAGCATCATCCTGATACCAAAGCCGGGCAGAGACACAACAAAAAAGGAGAATTTTAGACCAATATCCCTGATAAAATCAATGCAAAAATCCTCAATAAAATACTGGCAAACCGAATCCAGCAGCACATCAAAAAGTTTATCTACCATGATCAAGTGGGCTTCATCCCTGGGATGCAAGGCTGGTTCAACATACGCAAATCAATAAATGTAATCCAGCATATAAACAGAACCAAAGACAAAAACCACATGGTTATCTCAATAGATGCAGAAAAGGCCTTTGACAAAATTCAACAGCCCTTCATGCTAAAAACTCTCAATAAATTAGGTATTGATGGGATGTATCTCAAAATAATAAGAGCTATTTATGACAAACCCATAGCCAATATCATACTGAATGGGCAAAAACTGGAAGCATTCCCTTTCAAAACTGGCACAAGACAGGGATGCCCTCTCTCACCACTCCTATTCAACATAGTGTTGGAAGTTCTGGCCAGGGCAATCAGGCAGGAGAAAGAAATAAAGGGTATTCAGTTAGGAAAAGAGGGAGTCAAATTGTCCCTGTTTGCAGATGATATGATTGTATATTTAGAAAACCCCATCGTCTCAGCCCCAAATCTCCTTAAGCTGATAAGCAACTTCAGCAAAGTCTCAGGATACAAAATCAATGTGCAAAAATCACAAGCATTCTTATACACCAATAACAGACAAACAGAGAGCCAAATCATGAGTGAACTCCCATTCACAATTGCTTCAAAGAGAATAAAATACCTAGGAATCCAACTCACAAGGGATGTGAAGAACCTCTTCAAGGAGAACAACAAACCACTGCTCAATGAAATAAAAGAGGACACAAACAAATGGAAGAAGATTCCATGCTCATGGATAGGAAGAATCAATATCGTAAAAATGGCCATATTGCCCAAGGTAATTTATAGATTCAATGCCACCCCCATCAAACTACCAATGACTTTCTTCACAGAGTTGGAAAAAACTACTTTAAAGTTCATATGGAACCAAAAAAGAGCCCACATTTCCAAGTCAATCCTAAGCCAAAAGAACAAAACTGGAGGCATCAGACTACCTGACTTCAAACTATACTACAAGGCTATAGTAACCAAAACAGCATGGTACTGGTACCAAAACAGAGATAAAGACCAATGGAACAGAACAGAGCCCTCAGAAATAATACCACACATCTACAACCATCCGATCTTTGACAAACCTGACAAAAAACAAGAAATGGGGAAAGGATTCCCTATTTAATAAATGGTGCTGGGAAAACTGGCTAGCCATATGTAGAAAGCTGAAACTGGATCCCTTCCTTACACCTTATACAAAAATTAATTCAAGATGGATTAAAGACTTAAATGTTAGACCTAAAACCATAAAAACCCTAGAAGAAAACCTAGGCAATACCATTCAGGACATAGGCATGGGCAAGGACTTCATGTCTAAAACGCCAAAAGCAATGGCAACAAAAGCCAAAATTGACAAATGAGATCTAATTAAACTAAAGAGCTTCTGCACAGCAAAAGAAACTACCATCAGAGTGAACAGGCAATCTACATAATGGGAGAAAATTTTTGCAATCTACTCATCTGACAAAGGGCTAATATGCAGAATCTACAAAGAATTCAAATTTACAAGAAAAAAACAACCCCATCAAAAAGTGGGTGAAGGATATGAACAGACACTTCTCAAAAGAAGACATTTATGCAGCTAACAGACACATGAAAAAATGCTCCTCATCACTGGCCATCAGAGAAATGCAAATCAAAACCACAATGAGATACCATTTCACACCAGTTAGAATGGTGATCATTAAAAAGTCGGGAAACAACAGGTGCTGGAGAGGATCTGGAGAAATAGGAATACTTTTACACTATTGGTGGGACTGTAAACTAGTTCAACCATTGTGAAAGATGGTGTGGCGATTCCTCAGGGATCTAGAACTAGAAATACCATTTGACCCAGCCATCCCATTACTGGGTATATACCCAAAGGATTATAAATCATGCTGCTATAAAGATACATGCATATGTATGTTTATTGCGGCACTATTCCCAATAGCAAAGACATGGAACCAACCCAAATGTCCAACAATGATAGACTGGACTAAGAAAATGTGGCACATATACACCATGGAATACTATGCAGCCATAAAAAATGATGAGTTGATATCCTTTGTAGGGACATGGATGAAATTGGAAATCATCATTCTCAGTAAACTATTGCAAGGACAAAAAACCAAACACCGCATGTTCTCACTCATAGGTGGGAATTGAACAATGAGAACACTTGGACACAGGAAAGAGAACATCACACACCAGGGCCTGTCGTGGGATGGGGGGAGGGGGGAGGGATAGCATTAGGAGGTATACCCAATGTAAATGACTGACGAGTTAATGGGTGCAGCACACCAACATGGCACATGTATACATATGTAACAAACCCTAGAACTTAAAGTATAATAATAAAAAAAGAAAAAAATATAATGATTGGCTATTGAGTTGTCAACTTGCCAGTGCCTGGTCGTTGCTGAATGAAGGGAAACCAGTCACATTTCAGGACCAGCAGAGAGGAGGAGGGAACCCTGCCCATGCCCCACCCCTCCACCCTCCCTCCAGCCCTCATCAGCGGATTCACCTTGTTGATTTATGGTGCTACACTGTGTGATCAGACGCCGAAAGGAGAAAAACTGCTCCCTTGGATGACATATTAAGTGCTCATCTTGCAGAGAAATGAAAATCCATTTAGAACAATTAATGCATCATTAGTGTGGATTTTAAACCAAGGCAGTGTTCTCAGCCTACAAATGTTCTTGCTCTGATAAAAGACCTGCCAGCCGATACTGGATTGGACCAGTTCTCTTGTCTGTGGGAATAGATCAGAATCAAGATGGGTATTGTTGAGAGGAAATTATTTAGAAGTTCCTAAAATGAACAGTTTTCTTTACTCTTTTGGCTTCTCTATGTAAGATGAAGCAAGGATTTAAACAGTTAAGCACAGTGTTTAGTTTCAAACACTAAGAACAAAAAAAATTCTCATTAGAATTATTTAAAATGTTCCTGGGTCAATCTATATGCCTAATAAATATCTGTCAAATTGAATAGAATGAAAAGTTCTTCAGGACGCTAATTCTAAGTTGTAATAGTTTTGTTTATCCTGTTTGACTATTTAAATTATGATTGCCCATTTGGGTCCTCCAAATTCAATGGCCAAAGTCAATGGCTAGAAAATCAAAGGTTGTAAAAATCATGTCAGCACCTACCTCTAGATAGCCACACTTTCTCCTTGGCCACTGGAACTTAGGCAGGTGTCCCCTAACTTTGTGATTCCAATCATTGCAGTGCTTGAAGTCCCACCTTATTCCCCATCTCACCCTATTCCCCACCTGCATCCTGCCCAAGCCACAGTCATCCCTGCAAGTGGGGAAAAAGGGAAATGAACATTCCTGCTGTCGGGCATGGGGCATAGGATGTGCCCCTTCTTGTTGTCTTTTGGAATTCAGATTCTATTTTCCCATGAAAACGCATGAGGTTTCAGATCTAGAAACTATTACCCACATTAGAAGTCAAAGTGCATTTTTCTCATAGAGAAAATGAAATGTTCTAAATGGTGATATGAAAGTCAACTCTATGAGTTAAAAGGCATTTAAGAGTTAACCTTCAAAAACTAACCGAGTCTATAAAAAATACATTTCAAATTCAAATCATCACCCTGTGCCCACTGCCTTCTGGTGTGTAGCCACGTACATGCTGGGGCTTAGCTTCCCCTCAGCTAATGAAGCAGGCATGGATCCTTAAACAGAGAAGGAAATATCAGGCTACTATGATGGCAATTGCTATTATGGTCCCTTAGTTCTCTGTTCTCCTCTTAATTTGGCTTCTCAAGGAAGCTTTCCTGCTGGGTAGATAATGAACAAAATGTTTTAGATGAGGACTCTGGTTGACTTGGCAGTTCTTTCTCATTAAAAATAAGCAAATTGGAATTCTGGCTTATAAATAAGGCTCATGTGGATTTGGTTGTGTGCATCCACCTGTGAGGGATCAGACATTGCAGGGTGAGCTAAAAGTCAATCACTCATCAGAGTGTCCATGAGAACGAAGCCTTGGACCCCATTCCTGTCTCATCATGATCACAATGAGGCCATGGAAATTTTTAATTTGTTTGATAATAATTCATTGCACAAATACTTGTCTGCACATGAAGATATAGCAGTAAATTTGATAGACGAGGCCCCTACCTCTTGTTATTCCTATTTTTGATTGAGGGGTGGTAGAGACAGACAAAGAGGTAAATAAATAAAACAAGATTTGATACTGATAGTGGCTGTAGGCGGGATAAAGGATGACGGGCCGGGAAGCAACTTGGGTTGGGAGGAAAAGTATTTAAATAGGGAAGACTCTCTGAGGGGTAACATTTGAGCAGAGACTTGAATAACAAGGTTTGGGGGCATGCGAAGGTTTGAGAGTAGGGTATTCTATGCAGAGGGCACAGCAAATGCAAAGGCTGTGGCCAGGTGCAATGGCTCACACCTGTAATCCCAGCACTTTGGGAGGCTGAGGCGGGTGGATCACGAGCTCAGGAGTTCAAGACCAGCCTGGCCAAGATGGTGAAACCCCGTCTCTACCAAAAATACAAAAAATTAGCCAGGCGTGGTGGGGGCACCTATAAACCCAGCTACTCGGGAGGCTGAGGCAGAGAATTGCTTGAACCCAGGAGGTGGAGGTTGCAGTGAGCTGAGATTGCACCACTGCACTCCAGCCTTGGCAACAGAGTGAGACTCCACCTCAAAAAAAAAAAAAAACAGGCCACGAGGTAGGACATAGCTGAGCACTATTAAGGGGTCAGGAGGCTGGTCAGTATGGTGGCAGTAGAGAGAGGAAGATGGTGCTATCAGGACATGAGGTTCCAGAACTTAGGAAAAAAGTCTGAATCATACTCCAAGTTTTCCTAATCAGCATGAGTGTTTATTTATCACACAGTAGGATTATGAGCACAGCATTCTGTAATTTGGCTGTATAGGTCAGCCCCCTGGCTTCATGATTTGTGTGATCCTGGGCAAGTTACTTAACTTCTGTGCCTCAGTTTCATCATCTATGAGATGGGGATAAATATCACAGGGTTGTTGTTGGGTTTAAACAAGGTAAGCTTATAAAAGATTAGAATGGGGCTTCCTTGCATAGCAATTGCTTAATTAGCATTCGTTGTAATCAATAACTATTTCTTGTTTATGTAATCTATGTTCAACACTCCATGTTTGCCTTATGAATAGTTCTCATTTATCCATTCTTCAGGCTTTATACAATCCATTCTTAGGCAGAGAATGTGTCCATTATGGGTCAGAGTTAGCCTGCTTAAAAGCCCTAGAACGGGGCTGGGCACTGTGGCTCATGCCTGTAATCCCAGCACTTTGGGAAGCCAAGGTGGGTGGATCACGAGGTCAAGAGATCAAGACCATGCTGGCCAATGTGGTGAAACCCCATCTCTACTAAAAATACAAAAATTCACTAGGTGTGGTGGTATGCACCTGTAGTCCCAGCTACTCCGGAGGCTGAAGCAGGAGAATCGCTTGAACCTGGAAGTCAGAGGTTGCAGTGAGCTGAGATCAGGCCACTGCACTCCAGCCTGGGTGAGAGAGCAAGACTCTGTCTCAAAAAAAAAAAAAAAAAAAAAAAAAGCCCTAGAATGGCTTCCCACTTCACTCAAATAAAATTTAATTTCCCTGCCTTGAAAGGCCCGCCACAGTCTGAGCCTTGTCTACCACCTGGACTTCTGCTCCTCCCTCTCTGCATCCCATCTCTCACTCCATCTTAGCCATACTGACTGCCTGGCTGTTCCTGGAACCCACAAAGCACTCTACTGCCTTGGGGTTTTCACATTCATGTTCTCTTGATGAGAAACCTGTCATAGATGTTTGCTCTTGTTAAAGGTCCCTCTCCTTTAAGATTGAAAGAGGGAGAACCTGCAGGTGATGAGGCTATCTAGAAGTATTCAGTTAAGTACTAGGAGCATCTTTTAGAAGACAAAAGAACAAAAGCAAAGCGCAAAACACCAACTGGAGTTTTGTAAGAAGAGGACTCTGCCAAAGAAGTCAGTCATCCAGACACGTGGCTTAAGAAAGGGCGATGAATGTGGATGGTATTGACAAGACGTGTATGATTGAAAACGTGTTGGTTTTTCGCTGGGAGATGAAGATTAAAAACCTTTGATTTTTAAACACGTTGAATTTGAGGTGGTGATGGTGACAAGACATTGAAATTAACATGTCCTGTAGATAAAATATAGACTGTGCTTGGGTGAAGTGGCCAGATGGGAAGAAAATATTGATTTGGGCAACATCAGCTTAAAAATTAATGAGTTCTCTGGGGAACAGTAAGGGTAGAAAGGGAAGATGGCCAAGAGCTGAGACTTGGGGAATGTTCAAGTGGAGGAGGCAAGACCTGGGCAGAGGAGGGGAAGAAATCCAGAATCACAGAGTGCTGCCCAAGTTGGTGTGTATTTTGGCAGAAGGTGGTCACAGATACCCAGTGAAGCAGCAGGGATGTGAGAGAATGCCTTTACATGGAGCTGGGGCTTTAGTGTAGATGCAGAATGACTTGTTTTTCACTGTTGTTTAATTCCATTTAATAAGTTTACAGGACTTAATGACATATACAAGGTTCCATTCTTGTTGTTTTGCTGTTAAGATCCAAAAATTATTCCTAGGTGTACATTTTAACAATTAGTTTCATTTTCCCCTTACATCATTTCTTGCAAGGTAAGCATTGAAGAATTCTGACCCTCTGCAAAAGCATTACAAAGTGAATGTATGTATTTGACATGCAAAGGGCTTGGGTTTTGCCATTAATTCCACCATTTATATTATTAGGCAACTTTGAGAAAAACCTATACAACTCTATAGTTTAGTCTCACAGTGTATAAAATGGGATTAGTATCTCACTCACCAGTAACGGTTATAAAAATGTAAGTTACAGGCCGGGCGCGGTGGCTCACGCCTGTAATCCCAGCACTTTGGGAGGCCGAGGCGGGCGGATCACGAGGTCAGGAGATCGAGACCATCCCGGCTAAAACGGTGAAACCCCGTCTCTACTAAAAATACAAAAAATTAGCCGGGCGTAGTGGCGGGCGCCTGTAGTCCCAGCTACTTGGGAGGCTGAGGCAGGAGAATGGCGGGAACCCGGGAGGCGGAGCTTGCAGTGAGCCGAGATCCCGCCACTGCACTCCAGCCTGGGCGACAGAGCGAGACTCCGTCTCAAAAAAAAAAAAAAAAAAAAAAAATGTAAGTTACTGTTGTAAGTGACTTTGCTCCCCACAGCTGGGAGGCACCATAGGCATGGACAGTTATGTTTATGTGTAGTAGAGACAGCTCGTGCTTGGGGTATGAATCTATTTAGACATTTATGAGAAGCTATAACTAGCTTTCTTTGAATTTCAAAATGACACATAAAACATCTTTTCCAAATTGTAATTGTTCCATAGCACTTGATTGCTTTTATTTCCAAATGGCTCTGTCCTCTAACACGCCCAAGGCTGTGTATCTGTGGTGCCAGAAGAATTGTTGTTTTGTCATCATAAGTCCAAAGGATCTTTTTAAGTTTATTTTTTCATCATAAAAGTAATAATGTGCCAGTTATAGAAAAGCCAGAAATACATACAAACATAAAGAAGAAAATCATAATGAATTCATAGCCCCAGCACTCAAAGAAAGCCAGCAAGAGCATTTTGGTGTATTTCTTTCCAATGACTGATAAGGAGTAAACAAAAAAAACAACCTAAACCAAATGAGATCCATGTGTGATGGTTAATATTAGGTGTCAGCTTGACTGGATGGAGGGTTGCCTACATGGCTGATAAAGTATTGTTTCTGGGTGTGTCTGGGAGGGTGTTGCCAGAGGAGATTGGCATTTGAGTTGGACTGGAAGAGGAAGACCCGCCCTTTCCCAGGCTGGATGGGCAGCATCCCATGTGCTGCCAGCACAGCTGGAACAAAGCAGGTGGAGGAAGGTGGGATGATCTGGCTTGCTGAGGCTTCTGATTTCCTTCTTTTTCTGTGCTGAATGCTTCCTCCCACTCCTCCTGCCCTTGGACATCAGACTCCAGGTTCTTTGACCTTTGGACTCTGGGACTTGCACCAGTGACTTCAAAGCAGGAAGAGGAAGGTGGGATAAGCTTGCTTGCTGAGTCTTCTGGCTCTCTTCCTTCTTCCCATTCCTCCTGCCCTGGGACATCAGACTTCAGGGACTGAAGACTTCAGACTGTGGGACTTACATCAGTGGCTTCCCAACCTTTGGCTGCAGACTGAAGGCTGCACTGTTGGCTTCCCTGGTTTTGAGGCTTTCGGGCTTTGACAGAGCCACTACCAGCCTCTGTCTTTCCCAGCTTGCAGACGGCCTGTCCTGGGACGTCGCCTTGTAATTGTGTGAGCCAGTTCTTCCTAATAAACTCCCTGTTTTATATACACATATTCTGTTGGTTCTGGAAAACCTGAGTAATACACCATGTACATGTTTGCATCTATGATCTCATTTGATCCTCTTGCCGGCCCTCTGTGGCGGATGTTGTTCCATAGCCCAGCTCCACTCACCAAGGATCTGAATAGCAAGGAATGCAAGCAACTTGCCCAGGGTCATTGAGAGCGTGTGGTGGATGCAGGATGCGTCTTCTGACTCAAAATATTATGCTGCTTCTCTTACACCTGCCTACATCTTCGTAATTCAGCCTGCCAGCGTGGTAGCTACAATCTTAGGCTCTGAGAGAAGCTATATTCTGTATTGACGTGGTTTTGTCAATGTGTTTGTGTGTGTGTCACTTGGTGTCACCTTCCCAAACCTAGTGGCAGTTTCTCCCTTTAACTTTTCTGCCATCCCAGACCCTTGTAGCCAATGATGCAAAAAATCTTAAGTTTTTATTTCAACTTGCCGTTTCTGTGTTTTCTAGAGTATGCTGGAGAGTACTCAGAAGGCCCTTTAAGCTGCTTGAGAATCAATTATTTTCACATCCTCTGCCTTTTTCTACTCTAGGAATCCTTGTCAGTGACAAGGTTTTAGCTTGCCTGCAGGTACTGCATCTTCCGTCTGAGTAAATAGCAATGTCAGAAGAGCAGTGAATGGCAAACATGCCATCTTTCTGGTATTTGGAGCCCCCAGTGATAACCAGTCATCCCTGAGCCTTTTGATATGTACTGAACTGCTCCAGAATGACATGATTATTCTTGTAAAATTCAGATTAAATTTTAAAAATTATTCTTAGTAGACTTCATTTTTAGAACGATTTTAGAGTGACAGAAAAATTGCAAAGCTAGAACAGATGGTTTCCAGACACCCCACATCCCATTTCCCCTATTCTTAACATCTTACCTTAGTATTGTACATTTGTTACAGTTAGTAAACCAATATTTGCATAGTATTTTAAATTAGGTTTATACTTTATTCATTGGTTCTTACTGAGTGCATTTTTTCTGTTGCTCAGTCCCATCCAGGATACATTACATTTAGTTGTCCTGTCTCCTTAGGTTCATCTTGTCTGTGACAGTACCTCAGACTGTCCTTGTTTTTTATGATGTTGACAGTTTTGACGATTACTGGTTGGTATATTTTAGAGCGTACCTCTTTGGGAATTTATCTCATGATTAGACGGGGGCTGTGGGTTTTGAAGTGGAAGATCACAGATGGAAGTGGGACTGTCATCACATCACGTCAAGGGTCGTACCATCCACAGGACTTATCTCTGTTGATGTTGACCTTGACCATCTGGCTAAAGCAGGGTTTGTCAGGTTTCTCTATTATAAAGTTACTTTTTTCAGCTTAACTTTTGCTATTGGTTCTTTTGTGGATCCTTCACTTACGTTATTTTAAAATTGCATTACTAATTTACATGTAGGGAGCGTGCAGCTAAAATGAAAGAACTACATCATTATTTGGTTAAGATTGAAAATGTGAATCTGAAAGGAAATCTTGCTATCATTTATAGGAGCATCACCACCATATTGCCCTGAGACAAGGAGCTGCTCAGTTCTGTAAGATTTCCTTTAGGTCTCGGATATTTAGGGGCTAAAAAAATTGCTTCATCAGTTTCCGAAGCCTTGTCCCTGGCTTCTTGGCAAATGGCTGCCCCAACTTTTTGCTTTCACTTAGATTTTTCAAAAGGATGTTTATCTTAATTCTACTTTTTGCACCTCAGATTGATTCTCCATTTTAAAGTTCATGTAGGTGTTGATAATGATTTCCCTTTCAAGCCAGAACTCCAGGTGTGATATTTAAGTTTCTCTTGACTAATGATCTCATCAGAGTTTATTTTCTCAATGGCCCACTGGGTGGCTTAGGAGGATGCCCACTGGCATCCACTTATACACTGGCATTTTCAAATGATCAATATGGAGTTGTGATTTTTGCACCAATAGTGTGGTTTGGTTAAACAGACACTGCCTCAAAGTCTAGAAACTTGGATTCTGATATCTAAGACGGATTTCATGCATTAAGCTTTTCGAAAGCGCTTTACTGTGTTGACTTATTTGAGCTCCCTTAACCTCATGAGAATCTTAGAGGAGAGAATGCAGTTTTCATTTTGTAGACGGTAGAGCCTCAGATGTCAGGCTTTGACAAAGGAAAATAAATCGAGGAGGAGTCAGGACCAGGGTCAGGTCTTATGGCTCCAAGATGTCCCCTCTTCACTGTGTATGTCTTAGAGCTGCTGCATCAGTCTCCACCTCTTGTGAAATGGAGCTTGCGCGGATGTAGGCATCAGGGTGGTGTGGACTTGGTTATAGCCTTTCCTGTTTCCCTTCATAAGTTACCAAAGGAAGGTTGGCTAGAGCAAGGATGGGGCAGGACTCATGCAGGCAGCCAGGCTCTGGGTGACATGAGGGGAGGATCTGGAGTCACTTTGAGAGGTTTCTTCTTTGCCTGCTTTCCCATAACCTTAAAAACTTTCATTGCAATCTTGACTAGCCTGAATCAGATCTGAAAATGACAAACTCAGACAAGGAGACAAGCAAAGCAGGCACACACTTCCCATGGGAAAGCACAACTGATGATCACAGCAGATAACTGTCAGAGATGAACGATCTAATATGTGTTTTTCCACTCTGAGGCTGAAGCAAACTGGCCATTTTATCAAAACTGCAAGCAGTGTATCAGGTTACGCAGTGGCAAAAAAGCTTCCTGCCCAGTATAATCTATCCACATTTCTTATTTAGGTAACTATGAGTTCTGTTGATGCCCAAATATATATTATGAAAAATAAAATATATGCAAACTGTGTATTTTATAGGGTCATATTTTTTCCCCGGGTTTCTCAGGCTTGAATGTATCCATCATTCAGGTCCCGTGTTTATAATTTATCAATAAGATCACTCCATAAAATATATTCTGATACCTCACAGCTGTGTATAATTTATTCTGTCTATCCGTGCAGTGAAATAAAATTTTTATTTGCATCATCTAAAAGAAATACCAGTGTATAAATACATAAGAAAAGCTCATAAGAAACGGTCTTCTGACTACAGATATTGCTGAGGGGCTGTTGTGCAGCCAATGAAAAAGCTGAGAGATGGCTTGATTATCCATGTACATAGATAATACATACCGTACTCAGCAAATTGTGCAGTCACTCAATTTCTCAAAAAGGTTGCACCACATTCTACAAGGGCTGCCACAGCCTGCTTCTAAATTCTCCTTCGAATATTTGGAAATAAAGCCTCTTCAAGGAAAACATATTTGCCAAAAAGGGCTCCTTTTGGATTGAGATACTGGAATATGTAGGTGAAACAGGAAATGTTTCAGTGGTTGGAATATTTTGCCTTCAGGAAACTAAATAACTGTGTCTTTCTCAGCCACTAAGAGCCTTGGAAGAAACAGTCCAGAGGATGGAGGATGTTCTTTACACTTGGTTTCTGTAGCCTCACCCTGATTATCTAACAGGAGGCCCCACCAACACCTCCTGAACTTCCCCAAAGTCAAGGTGTGGAGTTGCTGCCTCCCCTACACCCCTCCCTGCAGGAGCACCTGCAAACAGTTCGACTAGAAGACCCGGATTTCACGCATCATCTCCTTCCTCCTCACACATACAGCTTCTCAAGGGAAGTCTATTAAGTGCAAAGATTCTTCCTCCAGGCATCTGAGGCCTGGGTGAAAACCTTCCAGGCCTTTTGGTAGTGTGGCTGGAATACCCATGGAAACCATCCCATCCTCCCCATTACTGGGGTTGGGTTGGGAGTGACACAGGATTCTAGTTTTGGAACTCTTTCTCTGCCCAGTTTAACACATCCTTGGCAATAGGATTGATTTGTGGTTATTCAGTTTAACAATTCACTTGTGTTGGAAACTCAGCGCTGCCAGGAGTACCTTATAATTAAACTGGTTCGTTTATGTGGAGGATATTTTAAAATGCTCGCGATCGCTTTGACAGTTTTAGCTGACTTTCCAAAGACTACGCCAATGCCCGTGGTAACTCTCGGCGTGGTGTGGTTTTTCAGCAGGTGAAGGGAAAGTTCAGATGGATCTCCAGTTTTCACCCCATAACTGCTAGTATTTTAAAGCTGCCTTAATCCAATTCCAATAACATGACAGCTGTCTTATAAGTTCAGTTAATTGCACTCTGTAGTCGGCCTCTGCAGGAGCTGTATAGCTGGATCAGAACTCACTTTGTTTCTCTGCATTCCAACGTGTGAATCCCGTGGGGTCCTGAGCAAGAGACCCTGGTCTTGGCAAAGCTTCGAGAACAGTGCCGTTGAAACCGGCCGATGCGTCCCTCACACATCATGTGATTTCCCTCGGGCTCACCACGCTCTGCCTCATTTTACGGAAAAGGAAAGTCTTGCGCTCCCTCTACTGCTGTCGATCCTCGTGGCTATATGTGCAGCTGGAGGCTTCTCATCATCAGCTCTCAGCTTATAAGCTCACCATCCCCAACAAAAAAGGGGGGCTTTCCTGGCCTGTCCTTCAGAAATACCATCCCCAGCCATTCTGCTGTCACCCTGTTTTTCTTCTTAATTTTTTTTTACTTTGAAATAATGTTTGATTGACAAGAAGGTTGCAGTTTTAGCAGAGTTGCTGTGGTCCTGCTGTTTCACAGCACTTCTGGCTCTCTGAAATGGTCTTCTTTTCATCGTTTTTCTCTCCCAGTACAAGAATGCAAGTCCTGAGGGCAGTTTTCTCTACGTCCCTCTCTGAAATGCACAGGACGGAGAGAGAGGCAAGCCTTCTGGGATGAAGCTGTGTTCAAGAGATGAGGGTCTCAGCAGTATAGACGGAGGGAGCTGGCTCACTTTGGGGCTGCTGGCTTGAAGAAGAAAGAATGGGCTTTTTGAATAGAAGGCATCAGATCTAGAGTCACTGACAAGAGTGCCTGTCACCAGGTAGACAGTTGAATACTTGGTGAGTGGTGAGTAAACACGTGGGACACAACTGGCCCGTGGCCCCGCAGCTGATGTGTGGTAGAGCTGGTGCTGCTGCAGGGTGCGTCTTCCTCCAAAGCCTGGGCTATTCTGCCTTTGAGCACATGGAAGGCATGGGCTCAAGCGACAGGAGGAGGGAGACACACTTACTCAAGATCTCCATGCTGCCAGTGGTTGCACCCTTGCAGCCAGGAGAAGGACTTCTGATGCTTCCCATTCAGAGAGTCGACTCTTTTCACCTCCAAGCAGCCGTTCACGGGTGTCACAGATATCACCATCAGAGCCAGCACCTCCACTTGCTCTGCCAGAACCCTTCTCGCTTGAATGCAGGTTCATCCCTGAAGACTCAGCCCATCCACACCCTGAAGACCACACGTCCTGGGCCCATAGTCCCCTCCCTCCTTCCTTCCCCATGCGGTCGAGGGTTGCAGCTCAGCCCTCTCCCATTGGCTGTATTTCGGACTTTCAGTTCATTCCTGTTCCTTGTCCTCTTGGTCCTCAACACCTGAGAGTTTTAAACACTCTGTGACCAGCTTGAGAATTTCTCAGAGGCTGTTTCAGACAGTGACTACGGGAGTAGTAATCCTTTGGTAACCTGAATATAACTGCAGACTTCCACATTGAGCATGATAAAATGGTGTGGATTTAAAAGTATTTGGGGAACTGTAAAATGTCTAGGATTAAAATTTCAATACCATTTGTGCCCAATAAATGTGAACTCTTTAGTAACTTAAAACTGTGCTATTATGACTCAGGTCTGAAAATTATGAGTCCTGCTTGAAGAAATGGGAATAACATGTGAGGGAATCTGGTCCCATCCTTCACCTTGAGGGATATACTGTGGTCGAACCAAATAGCAGGAGCATGACCTCATAGGAGAGCAAGTCCAGAGAAATTAGCGTATTTGTTGAGAAAGTGATACACCCTCCAGAAGAGAAAAATGTTATACTTTCCGTGAGGATTGTTTATGGAAATGGGTCTAAATTGAACCTGTGTTGGTATATTAACTGGTTCAACAGACAGGACCCCAAGAAACAAGATCATATAATAGTTTATTGAATGACTTGATTTTTTTAAAACATAAACCAGTCTAGTCAGTCTGAACTGGAAAATTAATTTTGTCTATAGAATCACTTACTAAAGCATATAAAATTAGACTCCATAAGTGCAGAGAGGAGAATTGGCATTATGTTTAACAGATTCACTGGGACTTAAATAAATGGATTTAGTCTTAATACAGCTAAAGCCATGTGACTTTTAATACAGAGCAGATCCTAAATAAAGTATCAATTCATCATTTCAAAAAAGTCACTTTTGCATTTTTGTTGCTTGTTGAAGGACTGAATTATATATCTTGTCTATGATAATACCCCAGCACATGTTACAGGTCTTGAAGGAACAAATTAATTAACTTTTGTTTTCTTTAAGTTACAAAATTTTCATGGTTAGATTGACAGAGAATTCAGCAGTTTTAACACTTTTCATGACTTAATGGGTTCTAGTGTTTCCCTGGGCTTATTTAACTTCCAAATATTTTCACTGTGTCATTTATGTAATAAGCTTCTGATGCCAAACTCTTCCTGACTAGAGTGAAATATAGGGCTGTTTTCCTTTTGATTCAGGGGTGAGCTTATGGAACCAAGGAAGAGCTGATGAAGTTGTCAGTGCCTCTGTTGGGAGTGGGGACCTCTGGATCCCAGTGAAGAGCTTCGACTCCAAGGTGAGTTCCTCTCCTTTTCTCAGCTTTGAGACTGCCGAAGCTTTTAAATCACATTAGCTGCTTTGGTATTCTCTCATTCAAGGGTTGTCTCTACTCACTTTAATGCTAACTCTATCCTTAGAGAATGGAAGCTTTATTCTTAAGCCAAAAATATGCAAACCAATTTTGATGTGACAGTGCTGATGAGGGATCCAACATTATTTGCATCTACTGAAAATTAGTTTTTGAACAAAAACCAGGGGTTACAGTCCCAGATATACAACTTCCATGTTCAGTTTAACTGAATGAATGATGGGCATTTTTCTATATTTATGTCTATTTAATTAACATTGATTTCCTCGAATTGATTATTGCTAGAAATATATTTATGCAACTTAAAAACCCATTTGTCATGAGTTTTAATGCAATCTAAACTTTATTTACTTTGACATGTTTGATTTGAGCCTTTTATGATGTAAAAGAATAATATAAAATAATTGAAATAATAGTGATTAAATTTAATATCTTGGTGCGTTTTATCTGCTAAACTGACATGACTTTCTTAAATTTCAGTGCTTGTAGGAACAGTTGGAAAGTGATAAAAATCTATGGAAATATGAGCTCTTTGAAGAGATCATACAGATGGCTTGGTCCTTGCATTATATAGAACTATTTTTAGATCATTTTTCATAATAGCAGATTTTTTGAAGAGCAGTTGAGATTGTGAACATCCTCTGTCACTTCCTGGAATGGTTGCAGTGGGCCACCTTTATATGAGTAATGATAAGGTGATTTCCATCTAGGGAGCTTACCTTGGAAACTGAGCTTTTAGAAAGGTTGGTGGTTTGATTAAAAGGCCCAAATGCCAAATGTGCACATTTTTTCTAACTTTGTTGTTTCACAGACATTGTTGCAAATTGAATATACAAGGTACAAGTCAAGTATAGTGGTGTTGATATTTTCTGGAAGAAAAACTTAAGATATTAAAGAAAATTCCATCATGCTATTGGTCAGCAAAATTAAAAACAACATAATAGATACAGTAAAAGAGGAGTGGGCTTTCGTTATAAAGAAGTTGATTTAAAATATTGATATACATGAATAATAGAAAAATATGGAATAATCTAAAGTTTCTTGGATGTTGGGAGCCATTATGTAGACTTTCCCTGGGGTTAGAGTTGCCAGATTTAGCAAGTTAGAAGTACAGAATGCCTGGTTAAATTTGGATTTCAAATAAACAATGTATTTAATTTTAGTGTAAATATGTCTCGTGCAATATTTGGGACATACTTTTTTTTTTTTTAAGTATTTGTTGCTTATCTGAAATGCACATTTAACTGAATGTGTCCTGTCTTGTTTCTGACAACCTTCCCTGGAGGGAATCGGAGGGACAAGCTGCTGAGGGCTATGGGCCTGCCGCTGGGGTGGACCAGCTCAGGCCTTCTCTGGTTTGTGACCCCCAGCTTCCTCCTTCCTACCCTCCAGCCACCTGGCAGACATCACAAGGCATGTTGGAGGAGGGACTGGCACATCTACTGCTGGCCAAGCTTACCACCTGGTGCTTGTGGGTCACAAGCATCATCTTTTAGAAGACTAGGAAGAACCATGATTATTAGGTAGCTGTCCCAACTCTTCTGGGTTTCTGTCTCCAGAATGAGAGCCCTGTGGGTGACAGGCATACACCTACTGCACTAAAGAATTCCAGGTTAGTGACGTTATGTAGGGGCATGATGACTTAGGTAAGTTGGGAACAGCATTTTGTTGTAATGCCAGTGGGCTCATCTCAACATATAGTTTATGGCATCAGTGTATGGCCATAAAATTACAATATGTACTCATATTTGGTGGGTAACCCCGAAAGCTTGTGTGAGGAGTGGTGCATGTCAATGTCTGTTACGTGTGTGTACCTGTTTGCAGGAATTCCCCATGGGGAAGACGTGTATACATGCTGTGGGAATAGGCATTCTGGCCAAAGGTGTGTATGTGTGTATCTGTCCTCATTACCAGTAAGTCAAGATTTTCATTTTGAACTGAATCATGCAGTATATCTTCAGTATACAAAACATACTCACGTGAAGAATATTTTTGCAGAACAACGGTGCCTGCTGTGCCTCAGAATATAGACTTTTAGATTTGCTTCTCACTCCTTGCCTCTTTCTGTTCAGCCAGTTTTTAACTAAGCACCTATTATGTGCCAGGTGCTAGGCATACAGCCAATGCAGAAGGCAGACACGCTTTCTGCCACCTGCAACTTACGTTGCAGTAAGGGAAACATAATTAAATAAATTCACATTGTGATAAGTGTTAAGAAAAAAACAACAAAGTATTCTAGGGGCCAGCAGGGAAGATGGATTTTGATAGTTTGGCCAGGAAAGCCCTTTCTAAGAAGGAAAGATAGTTTTTTCAATAAGTTCTAAAGAGCCAGCCATGAGAAGAGCCAGAGTGTAAGAGGCTGGAGGAGCAGGGAGGAGGCAGGTGTGTCTAGAGCATGGAAAATAAGACAGACTTGGAGTGATGCGGGAGCAACAGGGGCCAAGATTTCCCACAGGGCTCCTCCCATGTGTGAACTCACTGTGGAAGTAGTAGCCTGTAGGAAACAGACATTCACCCTGAGATAGCGACATAAACTGTGACCTTCTTTCTCTGGTAAATATTCTGATTTTATATGACTTACCAAATCATAACATTAATTTTTTGTGACTCTTTTTCCCCAGAGGTGACATGCAGTGTTCACAACCATGAAACACATTCCTTATTTATACAGAAATGCCTAGCTTTTTGATTTCTTCGTATTATTATTTATTTATTTATTTTGGTAGAGATGAGGGGGTGGGGAGGGGGTAGGAGACAGGCCTCCTTTGTCACCTAAGCTGGTCTCAAACTCCTGGGCTCAAGCAATCCTCCTGTCTCGATCTCCCCAAGTGCTGGGATTATAGGCTGAACCACTGTGCCCTGCCAGAAATCCCTAACTCTTAAACATTTTATCTGATGGCCATGGCAAGTCCAGTAAGCCAGATCTGGAAGTTTGGCCAGCAATTTCTGGCTGGGAATGCCATGGGAACCTAAAGAAAGGGGGCCTCAAATTCCAAGTCACATCCTTTCTGGCTTTCTTCCGGACAGATTTCCACAACTGTTTTCCTAAAATGAAGATCTAACTCATCATGATTTTCCTTGAAAACCTCAGAGGCATTCCTCACATCCGCATCCTAGAGTGTGAAGACAAACTCTAGGCTTGGCATGAAAGGCACGTCGCTCTGTGACCCAGAGGCACTAACCACAGCCCCACGCCATGGCTCCGGGGCTCTGACTGTCCCTCCATTCTCTCCTCATGTGCATTCTTCTTCATCCTATGGTGCCATAGCATGGGGCCACCCCTGTGACCTCAGGCAGCCTGGTCACCTGCCCCGCTGTGCTTTGTCTCAAAGCACTTTGGGCTAAAAAGTGGTAACAAGTTCCTGGGGGTTCAGTGACTCATTCCCAAATCTGGATTATGTGCCTGCCATGCACCTGGTGCTGGAGCTGCATCTCTGCCCTGAGGGTGGTCAGGAAAGGCCTCTCTGTGGAGGTGACATCTGAAGGTGACCTAAATGACATGAAGGGTGAGCCTGCCATGTGGAGTTCTGGGGAAGAGCATCCAGGCCGAGGAAACAGCGACAGAGGGAGCCAAAGAGGGAGCGTGTAGAGAGGTGAGCAGGGCCCTGACAAGGTAGAACAGCCATGAGAAGGTTCCTGGGGGCTTGGAGCAGGACGTGCAAGTGAGTTTTAACAGTGACCTCTGACAGCTGTGCCCAGACTGCAGTGTAGGGCCCTGAATGGAAATGAGGAGAGCCATGGGGAATCCAGTGCAACTGTCCAGGAAGGAGAGGGAGGCGTCCACACTCTGACCACGGACAGCACCAGAAGCGATTGGACTGGAGACGTACTTTGAAGGGAAAGTTTGTTGGACTTGCCCGTGGATTCAAGGTGTTAAGGACAACCCCTGTGTTTTGGCCCTGGCTACATAGGTGGCAGGAGCTTCCATCATATACACCCCCAAAGAGAAAGGACCCCCTGTCTAATTTGGTGTTCACCACGTCATTGACTTACTATGTATACTGGTTCTCACCCTAGCTGCATTTTAGAATCACCCAGAAACTTTTACAAATAACAGTGTTCAACCTCCAGTTGTTGAGAGTTAATTTAAATGGTTTGAGGCAGGTCCATGCAGATTTCTTAAAAAAAAAAAAAATACTCCCCGGTGATTTTAGTGAGCACCCAAGGCTTAGATCCACTTGGGGAAATTGATGCTGCATCCAATGCCAGATTGCTGGTCAAGTCGATTCGGCTGATTTAGGTAAAATTACTGTCAAGTTCTCTGTCTCTTTCTTTCTGAATGGGATGTTAGAATGTCCTTTCCAAATCAAGAATCAAGCCATCACTGCCACTGATAATTTAGTGGAAAGAGTAGAGGGACAGGAAAGGAGGTGACCTTGTGTGTGTTGGAGAGCTTGCACTTTTTTGTTCATTGGTTGTTGTCTATAATGCAGGGATAAACTTATCTGCATTCCCTCCCTCTAAGGGTCATTGTGAGAATGAGATGAAACGATGGCTGTAAAATACGCTAGAAACTTAACACTACTACAGAAATGTAAGGTGACACTGAAAGTTTACAGTGTCTTTAGGAACCAAATTCCAATTTCATGTCTTGAAAAAATTAACCGCGGAACCAGCGAAGACATGTCAAAATGTGATTGATCGTGAGATGACCTCACTTGAGCTCGGCCTTTGAATACTTCAGGAAATGTCCAATTTCCAGCTTCCTTGAGTGAGAATGAAGTTACAGAAAGAGTATAAGAAATGGAAAATGGAAGGCAAACCCATTAGAACATGAAACCAAAGCTTCCCTTAGCATATGGCAGGTCTCAAATATCAAATAGCAGCTAATTAAAATGACAGAGGCACATTCTACTCCATACATTTCCATTTGCCTTTTTTTACAGCTGAGAAAACGGAGCCCTGCTCTCCCCTCCAATAACCATCCCCATTCTTTCCTTCACAGCCAGACTTCCCAGAAAGGTGATCCGCATTCACTGGCTTGCCTCCCCCCAGTTCCCTCCCAACCCTTGGTAGCAGCTCCCATTCCCAACATGTCATTGGAATGGCCTTTGCCAAGGTCAGAGATGGCTTCCTAATTTCCAAAGCCAGCACACACCTTTCACTCTTTATCTTACTTATCTTGATACCCATTCCCTCTCCTCCTCTGAACTCCTCTCTTCTTTGGGCTCCTGAGACCCCGTTCTCATGTTTCTTCTCATATGTTTTTGTTTTTGCTTTTCATTAGCTTTCCTGGCTCTGTCCCTCATTCTTGGTGTCCTCTGAGTTTCTTTGTGGCCCCACTTCTGATGAAGGGTCCCGCTGGTGATGTCCCTCTCAACTGTGACCTCATGGTCTACTTGCACCTAGGGGCTCACATAAGTGAAAATAGCAGTGAGAGCTACCACACGTGGAGTTCCCACTGTGTGAACCGCTGTATCAGGTGTTACGAACAATAACTTCGGCTTTTGTCATCTAGCATGCATTGACTTAAAATCCACACCTCTCATTCTGCTTTGACCCCTGAGATTTGATCATCTACTTCCAATCAATTACAGGTACCTCCAGCTGAAAGTTCCCAATTATGCAAATGTATTGTCCCCCAACGTAGACTCTGCCTCCCACTTAATTTAATTGTCCCTAGAAGATAAGGTTGTCATCTTCCTTCTCCCCTGAAATAGTAAGGTTTGAAACACTTCTTAACTCTACTGGCCCAGTATCCTGACATGTGCTTCTTCTTTCTGCTGTCTACCACTGCCTTCATTAGTCTTCCTCCATTCTACAAAAGGAGGTAGGGTACTCTGTCTAAAGCACAGATAGAACCTGTTCCCTTCCTGCTTTCCAGTCCTTCGGAAGTCCCGGATGACACCTGAATTCAAAGCCAGGCTTCTTAGCATGATGCCCATGGGACTGGGTAGCCTGGGCCATCTGGACTCTAGAGCCCCCACCCCTACATCTTAGCCATGAAGCTTGTCAGGGCAGCCAGTTGCCTAAATAGGCCACGTTCTTTACACCATGCTTGCACTATGTTCTGTCCCCATGTCCCCTGACTCCCTCAGTCCTACTCATTCTTGAAGCACCACTTAAGCACTCATTCTTAAATGGCACCTTCTCTTGTGAAACCCATCCTGAACCCCTGGCCTCCTGGCCAAATTCTTCCTTCCCATACCTTTGTCTTTATAAGTTGTCCACATCTCTGTGATGTGCAATCATATCATGCACACATTTAATTCATGCAAATTCAGCCTTGCACATGGCAGAAACAGATGCTGCAGAGACGCAACTTAAGTGACATAGGTGATCACATCCCCTTGGGTCCCCAAGGAGCATGTGGGCATCTGCTGTTTTCTTAGTTCCTTCTGCCTCTCATGAGGCAAGCTTCTTACTTCCTAAGAGCAGTTCTAGTTCTTTCTGTTGGATATCATGAAATAGCGCAACCCCTAAAATAAGCCAACTCGACTATGCTCAACCCAATAAGCAATGCCCCAGTGCTCTGTGGAGAAGAAATGCTGAACCTGTATAAAAGCATGAAAGCTGTGAGGCTTTCAAAGATTAATTTGGACTGTGCCTCAGGTGCCACCTCTACCTTCTATACTGGCCTTAGACCCCAACCATGCATGACTTTGGGATTCAGCTCTCTGGCGCGATCACAGAGTACCATCATTATTAGTTTTTATCCCTGCTTCTCCCAACCAGCCTGTGCCCTCCCTCAGGGCAGCAGCCACAGCTCTGTGCCCTTCCACCTTGGTGCAGTGCTTGGCACAGAGTGGAGTGATTGCAGGATGCTTGTTGACTGACTCTGAGACTTTATCCGTGCCTGGATCCTGAGCCTTGCAAACCACTCTGACTACCACAACTTTTTAGATGTTTCCTACCTCCTTTTGGCAACTCTGGGTCCTTTAAAATCATTTGGAGGCTGCGTCTAGCTGATAGAATGCTACCTTCTTCACTTTAGTGCTATGTGGTATCTTACCTGGGACACCGCCCCAAGTGTAGCTCTGTGCCAAGAGCAGTGCTGTTACTCTACATGGGTGGGTTGACATAGCCAGACCTATATTTTTTATCTAAGGGATTATTCGAGTAATTGCAGGAGTTGCTCAGGCTAGATGGTAGCACCTCCAGCTTGGCTGAACAGGCTCAATAGTTAGCCTTTCAGACTTAGGAAGCATCTATTTTACATTAGCTTCCAAGCCAGCCAATGGTGTTTCCTCTTAAGAATGTAATGACTAAAATACCTACTGTGGAATAGATATCATCATATGACATGCACAGTGGCTCATGGTTGGAACACTGTTCCCAGACTCTCTGGGTTCCTGGGTATGGTCTGTCCCACTCAGTTTCTTACCTTCTGTGGGAACCCCAACCCCACCCTTGGCCTGACAATCCTCATGAAGCTGTGTCTGCCACACAGGAGGCTGCTGGAGGCCCCAACTCCTGCACCAGACCTCATATAACCCATCATTATGGAGAGAGGATTTGGAGAGGTAAAAGCTGGCACCCTTGTATCTTGTCTGGGAGCTCAGCTGTTTAAAGAATCATTTCCATGCATGGTGGGAGGAGAAGAACCGTGGATGTTGGAACCTGCAGAAATGGATTCGGACTCCCTCTGCCTTGCTGTGTGGCGTTGGGCTTGTCATTCGCCCTTGCTCAGGCTTTGTTTCCTTAGCTGTAAAGGAGATGGTGATGGTGGCCTTGTGACCTGATGCCATGCCCTACACATGCTGGATCCTCAGCAAATGCCAGCCTCTCTCCTGTCCCTCACCGGGTCCTCCTATCACTGCCCCAGGGCTGGATAAGCCTTTGCTGTGTGTGGGGGGAGGGCACTGGCCTGGGAGTTCCTGGATGTGTAGCAGCATCCCTGATACACCTGACTGATGCCAGCGCCACCCTCTTCTAGTCACAGATGTCTCCAGGCATTGCCACGTGGCCCCTGGGGTGTAAAATTGCCCCGGGTTGAGAACCACTGCACGGTGAGAAAAGATGTGGAAGGACAGGAAACTGGCAGTTACTGGGATCCCCGTCTTGGCCTTGGACGGAGCCAGACTGGGGTTCTGCAGATTTTTCTGGGAAGAGCTGAACAGTAAATATGTTCAGCAGCACAGGTCACAATGATACCTGCTGAAGCGACTCAACTGGGCTGTTGCGTAGAAGCAGCCCTAGATAATACATAAATGAATGAGCATGGCTATGTTCCAATAAAACTTACTGGACGTTGAAATTTGAATTTAGTATCATTTTCATGTGTCATGAAAAATCTTTTTAAACAATTTTAGAATATGAAATGAGTCTTAGCTTGCAGGCTGAACCAAAACAGGCAGTGCATTGGCTTTGCCCGAGGGCCATAGTTTATAACCCCTAGACTAGATATTCCATAGATATCAGCTCGCTGGATGCCCCCAGCAGCCCTGCAAGGTGGATGCTGTTGTGCACATGAGGTTGCTGAAGCCCCCCCCCCGACCCCCAGGTAGAAAGTTAAGCGAGAAGACTAGCATCTGGGCCAAGGCCTGTCAGATTTGAAATCCAGTATTCTTTGCATATTCCTCTGCTACCTTTCAGAAAAATCTTTAACTTTCTTTCCCCTGGGCATCATATCAGGACTGCTTCATACATCTTGACTCCAGACAGCTGAGGTCATGGTTCAGGGGGCAGACGTGGTGAGCACTCGCCAGCGCTCTCTCCCTCCCTGTCTGTCTTGCCTCCGAGGGAGATCTGGCTTTCTTCAACAAGATGTGATTGTTGCATCCCAACTCCCTGCCAGGGTCTTTCCTGTTCACTCCTCCTTTTTGGCCAACACACAAAGAGGAGAAAGCAGGCCAAGGTATTGTACTTGTTTCAACTGTGTCCCTGGCTTAGGGAGCTCTCATTCAACCAAGGAAGGGCTCTGCATTTCCAACAACACTCACCACCCACTCGCTTGTTTCTTGTGACCTCTTAGCAAGGCCTTAATATCATACTTTTAAATTGTTTTTATTGAATCGGGTTGTCTTAGATTCTGTACCTTTTCCTTCCCCTACAAGCTTCTGTCATCATCATTAAACTGGGTCCTTTTGAAAAAAAAATCATATTTTAAAATAACTGAACAAATTTGGATAATGCAGGAGATATCATGATTTACCTTCTTGAGACAGAAATTGTAAAATATATTTTTGTAATCCTGAGTAATGCTTTTTATGTTTGACTGACATGTAGGGCTTATAGTTACTTGACATTAGGAGAGAAGGAGTTTGATGAATTCTGTTTTCAGTTGTACATTTGCCCAAGGACGTATGAATGCTTGTTGTCTTTGAGACCCGAGGTCAGGTTCCCAGGAAGCAAGGATGAATGGGACCCAATCCTGCCCTTGAGAAGCTCACAGACTGTAGTAAATTTGAATAAGTACTTAGTCAGACATATGGGATTTTAAAAAATAAACAACTTATTTTAAAAAAGTTTTGGATTTATTGAAAAATTGCAAAGACATTACAGAGAATTTTTATATACTGCATACCTTGGTTCCCCATTTTTCACAATTATCTTTGTGTAGTTCATTTGTGACAATATTTTTTTCTTTTTAAGCCTGACATTTTTTAATAAGAGAGAGAACATTCTGGGGATTGAGGTCATTTGGAAGAACATATAACTTCCAGAAAGGATTAGGATTCTAAAATCTTACTTTAAACTGAAGAGCTTATCTTCCCAAGAGATTTAATGGTATTAATGTTGCACTTTATAATTTTATGTCAGAGGAAAGCTGAGGAAGCCTTCATCTACGTGTTTACTGTGGAATTTCTTTGAAGTTGCAACATATAACCAGTGAGGACCGTTCCTTAATAATCACTCAATAAGTAGTTGTGATAGTGATGAAGATGTTTTTGTTCAACCAAAATGTAAAGTTCAGATTTTTTTAAATCCTCCTATTCTTTCCCTAAAAAGTGAGAAACATTTTTATACCTATCCTGACAGTGCCTGCAACCACGTATATAAAATTATATTAAAACAACGCTTGACTACAGCACCGTTGTAGAATGTAACATATGCCTGCATAGAGAGCCGCTGTGGGAAGAATTTCCTTTTGGATATATTTAAGACACTCCTCATGCTCTTGTGTCTTGCACGTGTCCCTGAGAATGTGAGGAAGACATGCATTGTTGGTGGTGCACACTAGTGTTTTACCAGCATTTTTTGTTACCGCCTGCCTAAAGAGAAAAACTAAATGAATTTAAATTTAGTTTCTTTCTAACAAGAGAACTTGAACACTAAGGAATAAGATTTTATTGGGTTGTGCTAAGCTAAACTTTGGAGGGTAAAAACCTTTGTAATAGCGAAGGTTTTCGTCCCCTTCCTAGTACCAATTTTGCTCATCCCCGTTGAGAATGCATGGTGGGCACCACACGTAAATGGTCAAAAGGAAACACGTGTCTCCCAAGACTACATGTGTTTAGAGAAATCTGCCCATTAGAGATTTGGGGCAAGGAAGAATAAAAGTCAATTCCCACCCTTCCATCCTCCCAAGACTGCTCTTGCTAGATCTTTAAAAATAAGCTTTTTATATAAGAACAATTTTTAATTTATAAAAAAATTGCAAAGATAGTATGGTTCTCATGTACCTCACACCAAGTCTCCCCTGTTGTTACACTTGTCACAATTAACAAGCCCTTATCAGTGGATTATTAGGAGCTAATGTCCGTACCTTATTCTGATTTTCTTAGCTTTGACTCAATGTTCGTTTTCTGATGGTTCATCTGGGACCTCACATTATATCGTGTTCAGTGTCGTGTCTCTGAAGGCTCCTCTTGGTTGTGGCGGTTTATTGGGCCTTCCTTGTCCTTGATGACCTAGACGGTTTTGGGGAGTAGAGATCAGGTGTGGCATAGACTGGCCCTCAGCTGGGATTTTCCAGCGTTTTTCTCATGATGGGACTGGGCTTGTCTGTTTTGGGCAGCAGATCACAGAGGCAAATTCCCCATCTTGTTACACCATATCAAGGGGACATACTGTGCATATGTCTTATCTGTAGGTGCTTCAGCACCTGGCTGAGGTTGTGTTTGCTGGGTTTCTCCACTTACAAAGCTCCTTTTTCCCCCTTCCCATGCTGTGTTGCCTGGAAGGAGGTCACTGTGCGCATCCCATACTTGAGGAGTGGGGAGTTACGCTGCACCCCTGGATGGCGAGGTAGCTGCATCCATTATTTGGAATTCTCATGCATGTGAGATTTGTCTGTGCTCCCTATTTATGTTTTTAATCATTTAACGACATTAATGTGGTCTTATGGTTATTGATATGGTTTGGCAGTGTCCCCACCCAAATCTTATTTTGAATTGTAATTCCCACAATCCCCCACATGTTGTGGGAGGGACCTGGTGGGAGGTAATTTAATTACAGAGGCAGGTCTTTCCCATGCTGTTCTCATGATAGTGAATAAGTCTCACGAGATCTGCTGGTTTTTTAAAGGGCAGTTCCCCTGAACATGCTCTCTTGCCTGCCACCATGTAAGATGTGTCTTGCTTCCCCTTCGCCTTCTGCCATGATTGTGAGGCCTCCCCAGCCATGTGGAACTGTGAGTCAATTAAATCTCCTTCCTTTAAAAATTACCCAGTCTTGGGTCGTCTTTATTAGCAGTGTGAGAGTAGACTAATACAGGTATTTATTTTATACTTTAGAATATAATCCAATACTCTTATTTATTTTATTGTTCAAATTGTTCCTACTTTGGCTATTGAGAGTTCTTTTCACTGGCTCCTGTGTCTCTTTGACATACACCCATGGATGCATGTGTGAAGGTGTGTGAGAGAGTGTGTGGGTGTATGTGAGTGTGTGAGTGTGAATGTGAGTTTGAGTGTGTGTGAAAGTGTGTGTTAGAATGAGTGTGTGTGAGAGAGTGTGGCTCTGAGAATGTGTGAATGTGTGAGTGTGAATGTCACTGCATGAGTTTGAATGTATGTGAAAGTGTATCTGTGTGTTAGAATGTGTGTGTGTTTGTGTATGACAGAGTGACTCTGAGCTTGTGGATGTATGCGAGTGAGAGAGTGTGAATGTGTGTGAGTTTGTGTGTGAAAGTATATGTGAGTGTGTGGGTGTACATTAGTGTGTGAGTTTGAGTGTGTGAAAGTGTATGGGAATGTATAAGAATGTGTGAGAGTGTGTGTGAGAGAGATGGTATGACTGTTGAGTGTGTGTGTGTGTTCTAGCACTTCCTTCCTTTCTGGCACTGCAAGCTGCACTGGGTTCATCTGGTATATTTCCTGTACCTGTCCTAAAGTCAGCCATTTCTCCACGAGCCCGATTCCTTGGAGAATGGTATTAGAGACTCTAGGTACTAGATAGGCTCACTGCTACTGGGCAGTCATTGCTTCTAGGCCTTCTCAGCTGACAGAGTGTGGGAAATATATGTGTATGTCTGCTGTGGGTAGATTATAAAAGAAACAGATCTCAAGTGCTGGCTCATGGCTGAGACACACCCTATCTTTTCACATAATTAATTTAAAATGGCATAAAATTGGGAGGCTGAAGCAGGAGAATTGCTTGAACTCAGGAGGCGGAGGTTGCAGTGAGCCAACATTGCACCACTGCACTCCAGTATGGGTGACAGAGCAAAACTCCATCTCAAAAAATAATAAAATAAAATGGTATAAAAGGAAATATGCCAGGAATTTGGCTCTTTATGGATGTACCTATAGACATAAATAAAATAGCTATGTTCAATAAGTTAAATCAATTACTTAGAAACCTAATCATTAGGCTCTTTTCCCTGGGGGAAAAAAACATTTCTTAAAAAAATTAATTCCCAACTCTTCAGTATTTGACCTAGCTCTGGTATTTCACATTCCTTGCATTGATCCATGCCTCAAGGCTGCCTTTCTGCTAATTACTTGAAATTAAATTGACCCTTTTCTAAAGTTGGCACACAAAATGTTTCATTCAGCTGGCATAATGTCTGCCATATGCACTTTTTACTCAGCAGAGGTACTAAGGGTCTTCTTTTTGCTTGAACCTACTAATTTTCCAAGCATATTGTTTAAAGATTTGGTCAAAAACCCAAAACAGAGTTGGTGAGAGCACAGAGCTACTGAGATCCAGGGTTGTGGATTGGGTCTCTATTAAGATTTCCCGTTTCCATGGGAGCCATTAGCTTGGCTGTGTTCCTCGGCCTCACCTGGCAGGTCCCACCCCAGAGGTGTCTCAGGAAGGACTCCTCAGAAGGGCTGTGGGTGGATTCGCTCAATTGCAGAAACATCACAGGTACAGCACTTCCCATCATTGATGGACTCGCGGTGATGTTTCTGTATATGGAGGCAACATAGTTTGCATCCATGTTTCTCAAACTTCAGTCACCCAGGACCCACCAGCGTGAATTTAACCTAATTATAAAAGCAATCACATCATTAATATTACAGCTTATCATATGAATAGCTTATACATGCTTGAGATACTTAGTGATTTTTTTTCTCAAACACTAAAACTGATTAAAATGAAGTGTGCTGTATACCTCTTAAAATGTATTTGTCTGTCATGGGGGAACACATTATACCACTTGGAAAATGCTATTTTAGCTATTGTAGACTTTTAACAATTTTCTTTTCTTTTTTTTTTTTTTTTTTGAGATAGGGTCTCACTCTGTCACCAATGCTGGAGTGCAGTGGCACAATCAGTGCACCATCACCCCTGGCTAATTTAAAAAATTATTTTTTGTGGAGATAGGTTTTTGCCATGTTGCTGAGGCTGGTCTCAAACTCCTGAGCTCAAGCGATCCACCTGCCTCAGCCTCCCAAAGTGCTGAGATAACAGTCATGAACCACCGTGCCCAACCAATTTCTTTAATTTTTCCACCTTGAACACCTCATCAGGTGTATGTTTTCATCAATTTACATGTATAGCCATGTAAATTGAGCCCTGCGCAACTTGGGGCTTAGAGTTGAATGGCTCTAAACCTGCTCAGCTGCTGAGGGCGGAGGCCCTGCCTAGGATACTATTGGGTGGAATTATCTCCATGAGTTTTGACTTAACACTTTTGAGGGGGAAGAAATTACGATTAGAGATTACCCTGCTTTTCTGTTGAGTCCTTTCTGTATATTCATTTAATCAACAAATATTTATTGAGAATCCTTTATGTGCCAGGCCCTGTGCTAAGTGATAGAGATATTTTGCCCTTTTAAAAACTGCATTAAAACTGGCCATTTCATTTCAGAGCTACTTTGCAACTTGCTCAAACAGAACTCTTAGAAATGTTAACTCCTCCTGCACTACAAACATAAGGAAGAGTTAAGAGCCCATCAGGGGTAAAAAATTCTATCATATCTCCTTTGAAATCCAGCTCCTTCTTTTGTAGTTCAAAACAAGACCACGGGGGCATATAATCTCTGGTCGTGCCTATTCAGCTAATAGGAATGCGTTTGCATTGCCAAAAGTTATTGCTGGTTTTAGTGTTCCTTGACACAGGCAAATCTCATAAGTGGACTTCGTGGGAATGCATCGGATCGCTGGGAGCTGTCGGTCAGCCAGACACTAGCTGCCCATGTCTGTGTCTTTGCTTATAAAGAGCATTGAGAGTGGGCATTTGCTGTCCTGCGATTTTCATGTCTGGATCTGCTGTGGAAAAGTGAAGAATCACACATCTACAGACACCCTTGCCTTGCAGTTTTAAGTAAAAAGAGAAGGGAGCTTTGTGAGGTTGATCTCCAGAACGGTCTCGGTGGAGCTCCAGAGACTGAGTTTCCAGCCTGCTGTTTCATTGGCAGGTACTGAGCCTCGTCTGGTTCAGTCTGGAAGTGTTTCTGGGAATGCAGCTGCCATGGGAAACGCCTGTGATGGGCAAAACACAAACTGGTCATCCTCCCAGCTCCAAGGATCAAACTAATATTCTGATTTTTATGCCACATACTTCAGTTGCCCAGACAGGGTTATAAGGAGCCATCGGTTGGAAAGGACAGAAACAGCATCCTTAAGTCAAATACAAAAGATTGGATGCATTTTTGTTGGTTATAACAGACAGGAACACGGAGACGTTCTTTTGGCTCCAGCAGGCATTACGAGGAAAGAGCTGGCGAGCAGAGTTGGCAGGTGGGGAAATGAGTTGGAGAAACTTTAAAGATCTTTTCCTATAAAATAAATGTCCAGAAGCTGTGGAAACGTACGTCTTTAGTTAAGTAAATACCCTCGAAGACAACACATGTACATTTTTCAGTGAAAGCTGACTAGCTACAACTGCCATGTTTTCAGATTCCAAGAATTTCAGCACACATAGAATTGACCTATCATGCTCATTAACCTCAGAGCAACTCCTTTCAAGAAGCTCTTGCAACCATGACGGCAAATGAGTTTAACTGTTTCATTTCAAATGCAGTGACTTGGAGCGGCATGCTTACCGTTTCCTTGCCCTGCATCTCAGGCCCAAATGAGAAGGAACGTTAATTACCTTACCAGTCCTAGCTTCTGTACAAACTGGGGCAGTCTGCTGAAACCCCCGCTTCTCCCTTTCCTTCCATAGAAAGCCTCATAGCAGGGGTTTTGAACGAGGCTCTGCATTGACTGTGCTCTGAGAGGCAAGTTCCAGTCCTCTGTTTATGTTTGCAAGTGACTATTAAGTACCTATTCCAGCTAGATTTGGGGTTGGGTTGAGGAGTTTTCAGATTAAACAAGGCCCTGAATATCATGCTGGGGGCTTGACTTCAATTCTGAAGGCAATGGGGAGCCACTGAAGGTTTCTGAGTAGTCAAGTGACATTTTGGGGGTGTAATTTTAGACAAGGTTTGAAAATAGAGTATTGAAAATTTTATATAGACAATGGGCTCTCAGACAAATCTTCTTTTCCTGAAAATGTCCATGTCGTATCTCTTGATTGATTTGAGTGTGTCTCATTTATGAGTGGAGGGTGCTCCCAAAATTTGTCCCAAATTCAAAGCAGAACTTCTTAATGTGTGGCCCCATTGAGGTGATGTTCCAAAGGGCAGCCAGACGTTGGCCTGCAGCCCTAACACTCCCTGTGCCCTACTCTGTCTGCATTGAAACTCCCTTTGGAGCACCCCCCTCACACCATATCCTCACCCCACAGCATCCCCAGCTGGTTTCTGCTCTCCCTCACCAGGGACACCTGGTCTCCTCTCTAACAATCGAGCTGGCTACTTTTCCCATGGTTGTGGGACTTGCGTCCATGTCCCTCTCTCCAAGCTTACTTCCTGCCCCACCCTCAGCTCCTCCAGCAGTCCTCAGACCACGCTACTCCTGCCAACCTGCTCAGGTCGGTGGTGATGCCTCATCCTCCACACTTGGCTTCTCATCTTATTCCTGGCTTGGCTCCTCCTCTGGCTTTTGTCCAGGAGAGCCCTGGGAATGTCCTTGGGAATGCCTGTTCCTGACCTCCATCCGTGAGTGCCTACAGCACCCCATCTAGTTGCATGGTGAATGAGTCCCTTCTCGTCTCTGCCTTAAAACCCCTTCCTTAGGGAAGTCTTCCTTCCCTCATTATCTCATTTAAGCAGATGCCCACTCGCTTGGTTGCTGTAATTATTCTTTGTTTCTTCCACGCTCTGCCTCACCATTTTCTTTATCTGTTTATGTCCTCGTTTAATGTCTGCCTTTCAGCCTTAACTGTCCATCCCATGAGGAGAGAGACTTATCTTTTTTATTCACCACTTTTTCCTAGAGTTGACCACAGAAGCTTCTGTGATAAATACCAGTGATATATGTGTAGGTGGATAGAAGGGCAGGTGGGAAGACAGACAGACAGATCGACGGATGGACAGATGGATAGATGGCTGGATGGACAGATGGACAGATGGATGGATGGGGCTCACACCTTGAAGCAGGTGGTGTTGATGAGGTGTATGTATTCTCTTCCACCCTTTTATATGGTCATCTTATATGTCTGGCTATTCCATATGAGATCTTAAAATGTTCTGTTTCCCAGGTGGGAGACTTTGACCCCATACTTTGCATTTTCAAAGTTAAATTCAAGGGCTTTGTGATAGCCAGCTTCCAAGGTGATCCTTGCCCTTCCAAGGCCCTCTCCTTTGTGAGGCAGGGTTGGTCTGGGTCACCAATAGAAGAAGGCAGAAGTGTGTGACCTTGAGGTTAAGTCATAGGAGACATTGTACTTTTCACCTTGGTTTCTTGGCCCTCTCAACTGGTGGGGGAAACCAGCTGCTGAGCCATGAAGATACTTAAACAGCCCTGTGGAGATACCATATGGAAAGCCGACAGCCAGCGCTGACTTGCCAGGCATACTAGGGTGCCATCTTGCAGTGGGTCCTTTCATCCCAGCCAAGCTGCAGGCTCAGGTGATGACTGCACCCTCATGAGAGACCCTCAGGCTGGGACCTTTCAGCCAAGCTGCTCTGCATTTCTGCTGCAAAGAAACTGTAAGCAAAGTAGCAACGTGTGATGTTGTCTCTTCATCTGAACCAACATGGCTAATTTATGCAAGTAAGTAATAATGTATTACTGAAAAGTAAAAGAAGAAACTGCAAAATCTGAAGACTTGACCATAACTACCTGTTAGCTTTGGCGATGTGGCTCACATATGTTCACGTGCATATGTGGCTGCGATGAGAGGGCATCGTTCCTGGTTTGTCAGCGCCTGAGATGTGCTGATGTCCCCGGGTTTGACGGCACCATTGTCTAACAAGAGAAGAGAAGGCAGTTGCTTGCTGCTGAAGAAGGGCAAAGTCTACAACATAAACAGTATTTAATAAAGCCAGCCACAATCTTGATATCATGTTTGGCTTAGTGTTTAGGTTTAATTACAACGAATTCAGAGAGACTTCTGCCTATTTATGTTCTCCTCCTCCTTAAAGGCTCCCCACAGGCCTGCCTCCTCCCTGAAGCTTTCCCTGACCACCCAGACTCCACTGACCACACGGCATCCATATCTCATTAACCACATAGTCAGGACCATCCAGCCACACACAGCATTTCTTCTCTTGTGTTTGGTTTGTTGAAGGGAGACAACTACCTAAATTAAGTCACATTCATCCAGAGGCACGGCCAGGTTCTCACTTCAGGACTTGCTGTTCTGGAGCTTGTGGAAGACAGAACCCAGGTGTTGGAGAGGGAAGGAGCAGGTGTGCTTGGAAGGCCCCGCTGTCGGGTTCCCTCTGCACCCATCTTGTGTCCCCCGCTGGTGCTCTGCCATGGGTTTCTCACAGCCTCTCTGACGTCGTCTCATTGCAGCTGTACAGAAAATGCAAACCGTGGTCTTGACGCTTATACTTCACTTCTGGTCACCAAACGTGGGTTTTTTTTTTTTTTTTTTTTTCCACACCAACCAATTCTCCAACTTTGGACACCAGTTGGGTGTCCTACAGTTCAGTTATGATGCTGACTACCTGGAGTTAGCACCGACCCCACAGGCAAAGGGTTCCATCCCACAAGATGCTCCACTTCAGACGCCAATTGCAAATAGAGGGTCCCCAGGTGACCCACACTTCTCTCTGACTTGGCTACAAGTGAAGGGGTCCCATGACCCCCTTGTCAGGCTCAATAATTTGCTATAATGACTCGGGACTCACTTATTTACTTAGTCTTGCTACTTTATTATAAAATATATGGTAAAGGACACCAATGAGCAGCCAGATGAAGAGGTGCCTATAGAGCAGGGTCTAGAGGGTCCTGAGCGTGGGAGCTGCTGTCCCCGTGGAGTTGCAGTGCACCACCCTCCTGGCACATGGATGTGTTCACCACTCTGAAACCTGAATCTCCTCTTTTCAGGATGTTTATGGAGGCTTCATCACTTTGGCATTATCGATTTTTAACTCCAGCTCCAGCTCCTCTCCCCTCCCCAGAGGATGGGGGTGGGCTGGAAGTTCCCAGCTTCTAATCATGGCTCAGTCTTTCTGGTGACCAGCCCCCATCCAGGAGCCCACCAAGAGTCACCTTATTAGAACAAAAGACGTTCCTGTCACCCGAGAAATTACAGGGGTTTTAGAAGTTCTGTTCCAGGAACAGGGGGCAGAGACCAGATACATGTTCCTTATGCCACAAAGGTCTCATCTGCTCTGCCAGTGCTGTGCCCTAAGCACTGTGCTACTTTTTTATAATTGTTTTTTGGAGATTAGATTTAAAAAGAATTATTTTCCTCTCCCAGGTTTCTCCTCCCACTCCAGCCCCAGTTATACTTCTGTATTTATTCAGCAAACATGCATGGAATGTGGCATTGCCAAATAAAATATAGGATGCCCGGTTAAATTTAAATTTCAGAAAACCAATGAGGAGTCTTTGAGTATATCTCATGCAGCTTGTGTGCGTGCAGGTGTGTGTGTGTGTGTGTGTGTGTGTGTGTGTGTGTGTGTGTGTATTTGTGTGTATGTATAATGAGGAAGACCCATAACCCACTAAAAAGGTGGGCAGGAGATTTAGTATTAGCTCAGCTCAGAGGAGGCATCCTAGAGATTTTCCCTGCAACGACCCTTAATGAAGACTGGCATTCCCTAAAGGCAGGGACTTCTTTCCTGCTCCTTAGGGTCCACCATATCCCCTTGCACAATAAATGCTTAACAAAAATGTATCATCCCTCTCATAGTGCACAATTTCATATTTTGGTCCCATTCTCACCAAACAGCTATGAGACTATGTTAATAATTTCCCTGTACCTGTGCTACTCTGCATTACAACCTTCTTTTATTTACTGAGAAAGTTCTTTTGTACCTTCCCATTGATAATGAGACACATCCCACCCAGTGATCCATAATTAAAAACAATATGATGGTATTTACATAATTTTGAGAGTTAGCACTCCAGTTTCCATACTGTTACCTCTGCACCCACCTGCCTTTCTGCCCCTACCTCAGCCACCAGGCATCTCAGAGGCAGCTGATTGCTTTTAGTGGCTGCTGTGTACCATGGGTTTTGCTGTGTAACTATTGCAGCCTGGTTCTACCCTACCACTTGCTTGGAACATCTTTTGGCAAGGTCAATAATGCCTTGGTAAATACCTTGCTTCTCTTACATTCTCTGGGGTCTTTAATTATTGGTATTTGTCATTGGTGATTTCTTTCTCTTACTTGCAATTGCTGCCCCTGGATTTCTTGGTCCCAGGTTTTGCCTTGTTCTCCTCCGACCCCTTTGACCACTCTACTAGCTTCTTTTCCCACTCCTGTTCTCCACCAGCCTTCTAAATGTATGCAACTCCCAGGGTTCTGTCTTCTGTCTGCTTGTTTTTTACTGCATTGCATCTCTGGACCCTTTCAGAATACTCCAAAATATCATCTATCACTTTTTTTTTTTTTTTTTGAGACAGAGTCTCACTCTGTCACCCAGGCTGGAGTGCAGTGGCTCAGTCTTGTCTCAGCACATCCTCCGCCTCCTGGGTTCAAGCGATTCTCCTGCCTCAGCGTCCTGAGCAGCTGGGATTACAGGCGCATGCCACTATGCCTGGGTAATTTTTGTATTTTTAGTAGAGATGGGGTTTCACCATGTTGGCCCGGCTGGTCTTGAACTTCTGACCTCAAGTGATCTGCCCACCTCAGCCTCCCAAAGTGCTGGGATTACCTGCGTGAGCCACTGCACCCAGCCCATTTCATCTGTCGCTTCTGTTAACATGACACAAAATCTTTACCTGCAGTTCTAATATTTTGCAAGGCTGAAGTCCATATTTACAACTGTCTTAGATCATCTCAATCTGATTATTTAACTATTCTCTCTAACTGCTAGTCCAGCCCCTAAAACTGCATTTCTCTGCTCCTCCAAAGCTTAGTGGCTTATTGATGTCCATATTTGCATTGTGACAGAGCCAACTCCCAAGAATGGATTCCCACTCAGTGTAATGCAATAGGAGCACTTTAATTTTATCTCCATTTTCTGGACCCAGTGCATCATTCTAGCCCTTTTTTCTTGGAATGAAGTCTGGCTGAGAATGATGATCCATTAGTAAGAATTACTTAATAAATCAACTCTTGGTTATGAGTGGCAGAAAACTAAAGCCGGCTTATGTTACATTGGAATTTGTTTTCTGTTTACAATACCCAAAGTCCAGGGGCATTTTCTGGCTTTAGATATGAGAGACTCCAGTGACTCAACAAGTGTTCCCAAGACTGGAATTTATTCTTTCTGTTGTCTCTGCCCTCAGAGAGAGCCGACCTTCATCATGGCAAGATGGCTGACAACAGCTACAGTCTTGTCTCCCCTTCTCAACAACCCCAGCTGCAAACATTGTCTTCCTCAACGATGTAAATAGAAGTCCTCAAATAGAGTCTCTGAGATCTCATTTAGGTCATGTGCCCTCATTTGAAACGATCAATGTAGTCAAAAGGTGTAGAATACGGTGATTGGCCAAGCCTGGGCCATGTGTCCACTCTTGGCATAGGGGGAAGGAGATAGTCCACTGAAATCACAGGACTGGGTGGGAGAACCGTGGTTCCCCAAAATAACTCTGGGTTCTGGGATGATATAAGAGGTGAATAGAAGGCAAGCAGGCAAAAATGGCAGATATCTACTCAGTTGTATAAATGCATCTCTCTACTTGTCCCAGAAGGGGCTTCATGACAGCTGACACATACATCATTCTTGGACTGGTAAGGGATAAGATCTGACCTTCAACAATGGATACGATATTAAAGGGTCTCCAAGACATCACAGCTGTTACTTGCAGTTGCTAACTATGAGATGATAATGCCTCTTATCTGAGATGAGATGTTCAGTTTTCTTCTACCACAAAGTACACCAGGCATCGGCCAAGTTGCAATGAATATTTTTAAACTTCTAAGATATAGTTTGAGGGCATTTCCTCAAATAGAAAATCACAATTTGAAAAAATAGTCAAAACATCACTTAAGATTTGAGTTAATTTTAAATAGTGGCTGTGTAAAAGTTTGCTTTTATACTATCAAACAATATTAAGTCAGTCAATAGTAAAAGCAATATGTCTATGGTGATGCTTAAAGTGTTAATAGTGAAAAAAGAAAAGACTTGTGTTGAAAGTTTGCTTGACAAAGTAGTATAAATTTACATATAATTTCTGGCATCATTTAGGAGGCTGAGGTACTGGGTGAGAAAGGCAGAGTGAAATCTTCCACAATCTGCTGGTAACTTGGGAGACAAGGTCCAGCAAGAGGAATGGGGCTTGCAACAAACACATAACTAGTCTCCCATGTCATGTTTCCTGCCCAAGTTGCATGGGCAAGAAAGCTAAAGAGTACGCTTCTAGTTTGCAAAGATAAAACTGAACTTCATCTGTAGTCTTTTGTAGTGTTTGTGGGCCAAAAAGACAGATACTCCAGATCCTAAATTAAAAGCCTAGGATGGTCACCGTCAAGGAACCATCCTTGAGGATGAGCCTTACTAAGGCTTGGACTGAGCCTTACTAGAAGTGCAGCCCAACCCTGACCCAGCTCAATTCCTGGCAAGTGAGAGACTGATCACATCAGTCCAATTTTCCTACAGATGAAAGGCTGTGCTCTCTCTGGTGGGAAAATCATCTGGATCCTTTATGGCACTGCCATACACAGTGTCTAGCATAAAATAAAAAGTAGCTAGACATGTTTTCAAAAGCAGGCATGAGGGCCAGGCACGCTGGCTCATGCAAGTAATTCCAGCACTTTTGGAGGCCAAGGCAGGCAGATCATTTAAGGTCAGAAGTTTGAGACCAGCCTGGCTAACATGGCGAAACTCTGTATCTACAAAAAATACAAAAATTCCCCAGCCTGGCCAACATAGTGAAACCCTGTCTCTACTAAAATACAAAAATTAGCTGGGCATGGTGGCATGCACCTGAAGTCCCAGCTACTCAGGAAGCTAAGGTAGGAGAATCGCTTGAACCTGGGAGGCGGAGGTTGTGGTGAGCCGAGATCGCGCCACTGCACTCCAGCCTGGGCAACAGAACAGAGTGAGACTCTGTTTCAAAAAAAAGAAAAGAAAAGAAAAAAATACAAAAATTGTCGGATGTGGTTGTGCATGCCTGGAATCTCAGCTAGTTGGGAGGCTGAGGCATGAGAATCGCTTGAACCCCAGAGGCAGAGGTTGCAATGAGTGGAGATTGTGCCATTGCACTCCAGCCTGGGTGACAGAGCAAGACTCCATCTCAAAAAAAGGCAGGCAGGAAACTGTGACTGACAAGAGAAAAAAACAGAGCCACCAATATATAAATATTGAAATTAGCTGAGAAGGACTTGAAGCTAATTAGCATTGGTGTGGTAAAACAGCAAAAACGAAAAACAAAATCTCTGAAATGGAGAAAAATATGCAGAATTTCAGTAGTGACCTGGATTCTACAAATATGATTCTATAACTGAATAATATGATCAATATCTAAAATTAAGTACTCATTGGAATGGAAACAGAAGTTGTTGGGAATAGTGAACTTGAAGACAGATCAATAGACATGAAACACAGTAGACATGAATGGAAGGAACAGAACAGAGCACAGAAGCCACATGGAACGGTGAAAAGTGTAACTACATATAACTGGAATCCTATAAGGAAAGGAGTGAGAGAGACTGGGAAAGAAGCAATGTCTAAGGAGATAATGGCTGAGAATTTTTCAAAAGTTATGACTAATAGTTAATTATAATTTCAAACTCATTTAGCCCCAATTAGAGTAAATGCAAAGAAAACTTCATCTGAGCCCGTGATAATCAAACTGTTGAAAGTCAAAGTCCAAGAGAAAATCTATTAAACATTCAGAGGAAAAAAGACTTTCAAAGGAGCAAAGTTAAGACTGGTGGTTGACATTTCAATAGAAACCGCCAGAAGAAAATGGAAAGATATCTTGGAAGGTCAAGATGTAAGAAAAACTGCCAATGCAGAATTCAAACTGGGAGAAAATTCTCTTAAAAATGGAGGAAAAATAAAGATATTTAAAAACCAAAAGCAGGTGATAAAATTCGTCTCTAACAGAATCAAACTGTAAGAGCTATGAAAGGATGTCCTTCAGGTTGAAGGAAAACGATGCCAGATAGAAGCATAGAACTATAGAAAGAGCATAAGAATGTAAACATATTGGTAAATATAACACTATTAACTCTTTAAAACAATAATGCAAGATATTTAGGGCTTTACAACATATGGATAAGTAAACTATGAATAGCACAAAGGGAGGAACAAATAGAGCTCAACTATTATAATATTTTTGCTTATTCTGAAAACAGTAAAGATACTAAGTTAATAATAAGTCTGGGATCCTCATTTTTATCTCCAAAGTAGGCACTGAAAGGATGACAGTAAGATATAAGAAGCTGCTATAAGAGAAAGATGAAATAATAAAAATATAAAGTTTATTTTAAAAAAACAGGAAAAATAAAATACTAATACACAAGAAAATAAGTAGAAGGATGCCAGACTTAAACCCAGCTCTGCAGGAATTATAGTAAAATTAAATGGAAAAATTAAAAAACAAGGATTATCAGATGGGGTTAAGAAACCAAACTCCCTGTATATGATTTACAAGAGATACACTTTAAATGTCAATACATACAGAAATGAAGTATATATAAATATAGAACTTCCTACAGGAATCAAGTAAAAGGAGAGAAAAATATATATGCCATGCAAGCAAACACATCAAAATGAAGCTGACCAGCTGTAACAATATTAAATATAGTCGATTTAAGACAGGAAGTTTGATGAGAAATAGTCCTATCTCATAATAATAAAATGAGTCTACTAGCCTGGTCATAATTCTACTCAGTATCATTTTCCTTCAATCTGAAACAC
Source organism: Homo sapiens (assembly GCF_000001405.40). NCBI lineage: Eukaryota > Metazoa > Chordata > Mammalia > Primates > Hominidae > Homo > Homo sapiens. The sequence continues at coordinate 126,305,742 of NC_000010.11, read as the reverse complement.
TTGCTTTAGGATTTTTTCAAAATATATACCATAGAAATTTGTAGAATTAAAAAGAGAGAAAACCATATCACAGTGGAGATTTTTGTAAAAATAAACTTTGAAGTAAAACAATAAAAAGATAAAATACACATAAGTGGACAGTTTAATGAATTTTGACAAGTATATACACCCACGTAACCGTCACCCAAATCAAGACATTAAATATTTCCCTCATCCCAAAAATATTTCTTCATAGTCAGTTCCTTTGTAGTGTTCCTTTTCAATCAGTCTTTCTTATCAACTCTGGCTTCAAGTAACGACCAATCTGTTTTATAGCACTAAAGATTAGATTTCTCTCTTCTAGAAACTCATATGTACGAAATCATGTGATTGTACTCTTTTGTGTCTGGCTCCTTTTGATTAACATAATGCTTTTGAAATTCATTTGTGTTGTTGGTATCAGGAGTCCATTTCTTGTTATTGCTTGAGTAGTAACTCATTGTTGGATATTCTGCAGTTTGCTCATACATTCCCCTGTTGATGGATATTTGGGTTGATTCAAGTTTTGAGCTATTAAGAGTAAAGCTGTTATAATTAACTCTGTGTAAGTCACTGTGTAGAAATATATTTTTATTTCATTTGGGAATATACCCAGGAATGGAATTCCTGTTTCAAGTGTTTAGCTTTCTAAGAAATTGCCAAATTGTCTCCCAAAGTCTACCATTTTACTTTCCCGCCAGAAATATATATGTGTTCTATTGTTTCTATCCTCACCAAGGTATACATTATATGTCGGTGGTGGTGGTGATTTATAATTTACACTTGGTATATTCAGTCTTCTTCAACTCAACCATTATAATGGTTGGATATTGGTATCTCATTGTGGTTTTAGTTCACATTTCCCTGATATTTCATGAAATTGACCATGTTTACATGGAACTTATTGGCCATTCAAATATATTTTTTTTTTGTAAACGTTCAGATTTTTTTTACCCATTTTTACGTGCGTTAAGGTGATTAACAGTTCTTTATATATTCTGGATACAAGTCGATTGTGTAGCAAATGTTTTCTTCAACACTGTGGCTTAACTTTATATTTTCTTAATGGTGTATTTTGATCAGCAGAATTTTAAAATTTTGAAGTCCAATTTATCAAATAGTATTTCATCTTCTATAATATATCATTTACTGCTCTTTGCTCTTTCAGTTTTAATCTATATGCATTGTTATACTTATAGTGGGTTTCTTGCTGACAGCGTGTAGTTAAGTCTTCCTTTTTCACTGCCTGTGACCATCTCTGCCTTTTATTTTGGAGTATTTAGATCATTTATCTTTAATGTAATTATTAATATGGTTGGCTTTTTTGAAGTTGCTGTTCTTTATTTTCTACTTTTCCATCTGTTTGGGTTTTTTGTTTTTCTCCCTCCCTCCCTCCCTCCCTCCCTTCCTTCTTTCCTTCCTTCCTTCTTTCACTTCCTTTTTGTTACCTGGTTTTGGATTTTTAAAAAATCAGTATTCTAGTTTTCTGTATGTTGGTTTCTTAGCTCTTTGTCTCTATTGTATTATTTATTTGTTAACTAATTTATTACTTTTGGGTGTTTGTGTGAGGCACGGCCTTTCTTAGAGTGTTTCATCGTAATCACAGAAGACAGAGAAAAATGATTGAGTGTCTTTCTCAATTCTCCCAAGGATGATGCATAAGTAACACCATTCTAAATGCATAGGAGAGACATTAATTCATCATATATGATGGATGTGTTAAGGTATTACAGCTCAATCTCTGGAGGAGGTCTGATCAAGAAAGACTGTGAAATTTATAGTATGGTTCTATAATGTATTCATAGTCTACTGTCAAATAATAGTATACCACAGTGGGAGAATTTAAAAATATCTTCAGTCTAGGATCTTTGCCCTTCTGTGAACCAGCCAATTTGGTGTATAATATGATGGTGTTCTCACAATTAGGACAAACAAGGTGAGGCATCACCTTACAATGAATTAAGGAAGCCAAACCCACCACAGGTAAAGAGAGGCTTTGCTATGCAGGGTTAATCTGTCTCAAAGCTGCTCTGTGGCTAGGCCAGGATTCAAACATATTGCTTATTTCCCTGTCCTGTGACCTTCTAAAGCCTGTGCAAAAATTATTTTCCTTTACCACATTCCCTGGTTTTGCTCAAAGCATATCTCACTTCAAAAATGCCCAAGAGCCAGGAATAGGGTGATTTTCTTAATTGCCCTGAATGCTCTGTGTGAATCTTCTCCTCTCGGAAAGTAATTTAATGACCTGTCTTGGGAAATGGACTGGGATCCCTGTACAGGCTATTACATTACTCTTTCTAATAGGATTTCTACAGCGATTTAACTCTTCCCACTAATCACAAACAACCAATTTAATAAAAGGGAAAATGACAGTTTTGCTTAGAAAGCTGTACAAACATGTTTGCGCTTTTCCAGCACAATGACAGCAGCAATAAAAACAGCTGTTGTTACATTGGTGATATACATAGGATAGTATGAGCAACTGGAAATACCAAAAGGATTGAAAGCTCCCAGTGATGAATGGGGATTTTACGCATGTAAAAAGGAATATCGATGCTTCCCAAAACAGCAATGGATCACATTGTACTTTAACACTACTTTCAAGTAGGTAAAAATGTTTCACACATCAAATATCAAAAATGATCAAATCAGTCCTGTCTCCCTTATTTTCCTCTGGGTGTCAGTGTCCTCCCAGGCACCCAGCTCCCTACTTTGCTCCATTCTTGAGTTCTTTTTTATCCTTAATGCCCAGCCTGTTCCAAAACCATGCCCCCTCTTCCTTTGTTCCCTTCTTTTAAAAGTCACTTCTTTTCTGGCGTCACTGCCATTGTGCTCAACTAGTGAAAACTGGAAGTACTAAAGTCTTTACTGCATTATGCCTCAAAAATACACACAGGGCATTTATCATTCTGAAATGACACAATTTTGGTAATGGTACGTGTAGCCTATTTCCAAAACCTTTTCCTTTCTTTCTAAATGTTATTTTTCAGGAGTGATTTATAATTTAGCATAATGAAACATCCTCACCATTGGTGGTTTCCTTTTAAAAAACAATTGAATACAAACTGACTCTAGACAGGAGACAACTGTGCTTTTGTTTTAAACTTGCAGAGATCACTTCAAGCTCTTCAGACGTCCTCCCCTTCCACCCTCCTGTAGCTTAGACCCCTGCTCATTATCCTAAGTGTCCTCACGAAAGGGGTGAAATCTTCCCATCTATCTGTGTTCTTCTTTCTTTCTTCTCGTCATCATTTCTGTTTTTGCCGAAACACATTGATCCCATTCAAAGTATCGTATAATAAAAGACCAATTACTTTCTAAAAAATGCTGACTTTCCATTTTAGTCCAAATGCCTTGAGATCACACACAAAAGGAACACAGATTAGAAGCACATCTGGGATCACAACAGGAACAAGTTAGTGAGAATTTAATCTGAGCCCCCATCTTGTAAAAGGATAGTCCAAAGGCTGAAGGCTTAACTTGCAGAATTTGGCACAGAAACAGACTTGGTGAAGCAAAATGAACAGTTTGGACGGACAAAACCCTGGGGGTGGGGTTGGTGGGGTTTGAGGAACAAAGAGAGAAAGCCAAACGATTATTTGATTTAAGCATCAGAATTGGATGACCCTGAGAATCCCTCTGGAGAACACACTAAAGATTGTTTCTCCAGAGAATGTCGAAATTTTAGATAAGACCAGGATGTTTTTGTATACGATTTGGACTTGAAAGTTTTATTAAGTGGCTCAAGCTGTCCCACGGTCATGATACATGCTACCCATATATGTTCCATGAATTTGAAAAGATTAAGTAATTAGGCCCCAGGCTCAGAGTATAAATTATGATTTAAGGAGGCAGAGTAT